>NC_000008.11:18041920-18344951 GCF_000001405.40 Homo sapiens | reverse complement strand
CATGTATCTGTGGCTATTTTTATATATTCTTTGAAGTAATATCTATTCAAGTCTTTCGGACATTTTAAAATTCATTTTTTGGCTATTGAGTTGTAACTCACATAGCTTAAAAAAAAATCCTTATGTATTTTGGATATTATCAGGTATATTGTTTGCAAATATCTTCAATTCCACAGGTTGTATTTGCAACTCTAATTCTTTCATTTGACATGTAGAACCTTTTTGTTTGATGTGGTCCCACTGTTTTTTTTCTTTCATTGCCTGTGGTTTTGGTATCATATCCTGTAAGTCATCCCCAAAACCAATGTTATGAATCTTTCCCCGTATGTTTTCTCCCAGAGTTTTATAGTTTCAGACCTTACATTTAAGTCTTTAATCAATTTTGGGTTGATTTTTGTGTATGATGTAAGATAAAGGAACAATTTTATTATTTTGCATGTAGATATCCACTTTTCCCACACCATTTGTTTAAGAGAGTATCCTTCCCCCATTGTGTACCCTTGGCACCCTTGTCAAATATTAGTTGACCATATATGTAGGGGTTTATTTCTGGGATATTTATTCTTTTCCATATTTACATAGGCATGTAATATATTTTTAAATCAGGAAGTGTAAGCCCTCCAGCGTCTATTTTCTTCTTTCTCAAGATTTTTTTTGGCTACTTTGGGTCCTTTGTGCTTCTATATGAATCTTAGGATGAATTTTTCTATTTCTGCAATAAAAAAAGGCAGTGTGACTTTGATAGGGATTGCATTGGATCTGTAGATTGCTTTGGGGAAGTGTTAGACCCTTTGTGTTGCTATAAAGGAATACCTAAGACTAGGTAATTTGTAAAGAGAAAAGGTCTATTTTGGCTTATGGTTCTGCAGGCTGTACAAGAAGCCTGGTGCCAGCATCTGCTTCTAGTAAGGGCCTGAGGAAACTTCCACTCATGGTGGAAAGGAAAGGGGGGCCAGGATGTCACGTGGCAAAAGAGAGAAGGGGGAGGTCCCGGACTCTTTTAAACAACCAGATCTCATAAGAGCTAACTGAGCGGGAACTCGCTCATCACCGAGGGGATGGTGCTGACCATTCCACCGCCATGATCCAGTGCTTCCCACTAGGCCCCACTTCCAACAACAGAGATCACATTTCAACGTGAGATTTGGAAGGGACACACATCCAGAGCATATCCGGTAGTATTGACATCTCAACAGTATTAATGTGTTAATCCATTAACATAGGATTTCTTTCCATTTATTTGTGACTTCTTTCATTTCTTTCAGCAATATTTGTTAACTTTCAGTGTGAAAGTCTTTCACCTCCTTAGTTAATTACCAACCATTTTATTCTTTTTGATGCTATTGTAGATGAAATCTTTTCTTAATTTCCCTTTTGTATAGTTCCTTCTTGTTGTAGCATCTGATATTTGTATGTTAAACTGATTTTTTTGTTTTTTGTATCCTGCCCTCTTACTAAATTAATTTATTAGTTATATCATTTGTTGTGTAAAATTTAGGGTTTTTTATATGTAAGATCACGCATCTGCAAACAGAGATAACTTTATATCTTTCTTTCCAACTTGGATGCCTTGTATTTCTTTTACTTGCCTAATTGCTCTGGCTAGAAATCCCAGTATGACGTGACATAGAGATGGCAGTGGTGAACATCTCCTGTGGTTTGAATGTTTGTGCCCTCCAAAACTCATGCTGAAGTTTAATTGTTGTTGTAACAGTATTAAGAGGTGGTACTTTTAACAGGTATTTAGGTCATCAGGGCTCTGTCCTCATAAATGAATTAATGGCAAAATTAAAGGGACTTTAGGGCTGAGTTTGCTCTCTTACACTTTTCTGCCATGTGAAGACACAGGATTCCTCTCTGCCCTTTTGCCTTCTGTGGTGGCAGCATGTGATGGAAGAAGGGCTTTGCCAGAAGCTGGTGCCTTGATCTTGGCTTTCTCAGCCTCCAGAACTTTAAGAAAATAAACTTCTGTTTGTTATACCAAGTCTTTGGCATTCTGTTAAAGCAGTGCAAGATGAGCTAAGACAGCATCCTTGCCTTGTTCCTTCTACACTTTCGAGGAAAAACTTTCCATTTTTAAGCTGTTGGGTTGTCATATGCATTCCCTTTATTGTGTACATTTGTTTTTTACCTAATTTGTTGAGAGGTTTTATGATAATAGGTTGTTGAATTTTATCAGATGCTTTTTCTCTGCATATTGAGATGATTGTACATTTTTATCCTTCATTCTGTTAATGTAGAGTGTTATAGTAATTGTTTTTCATATGTTGAACTATCCTTGTATCCCTTAGATGAATTGCACTTGGTCATGGTGTACGATCCCTTTAATGCGATGTTAAATTTGGTTTGCTAATATTTTGTTGAGGATATTTGTATCCTCAGAGCTTTTTGCATTTATCAGTGATATTGGCCTATAGTTTTCTGTTTGTTTGTTTGTTTGTTTTGAGATGGAGTCTCGCTCTGTCGCCAGGCTGGAGTACAGTGGCACAATCTAGGCTCACTGCAACCTCTGCCTCCTGAGTTTAAGTGATTCTTGTGCCTCAGCCTCCCAAGTAGCTGGGCTTACAGGCGCCTGCCCTAACACCTGGCTAATTTTTTTGTATTTTTAATAGAGATGGGGTTTCATCGTCTTGGCCGGGATGGTCTCGATCTCCTGACTTCGTGATCCGTCTGCCTTGGCCTCCCAAGGCTGGGATTACAGGTGTGAGCCCTCACACGCAGCCAGTTTTCTGTTTTTTCAGTATGTTCGTCTAAGTTATCAGGGTAATGCTGGCTTCATAAAATGTGTTTGGAAGTGTTCCCTCTTCATTTTTTTGGGAAAAATTTGAAAGATTTGGCATTAATTCTGAAGTGTGTAGTAGATTCACCTGTGTAGCTCTGGTCCTGGGCTTTTCTTTGCTAGAAGATTTTTGGATATTGATTCAATCTCCTTATGAGTCATAAGTCTGTTTAGATTTTCTGTTTCTTCAAGATTCAGTCTTGGTAGGTTGTCTGTTTCTAGTAATTTATTTATTTCTTCTAGATTATCCAATTTGTTGTTGTGTAATTGTTTATTATGATCTTATGATCCTTTTTATTTCTGTGTCACTGGTTGCAATACATTCTCCTTCATTTCTGATATTATTTATTTAAGTCTTCTCTCCTTTTAATCTCAGTCCAGTTAAAGGTTTGTCAATTTTGGTTGTTTTTGTAAAAAACGACCCTTTGGTTGAATTTTTTCTATTTTTTTATTCTATATATTTTTTAACTGTGTGCTCTAGTCTTTATTATTTCTTTCCTTATGGCAACTTTGGGCTTAGTTTGTTCTTTTTGTATTCTGTTGAAGTACAAAGTTAGGTTGGGCATATATATATATATAAAATAAATATATAACTATAAATATGGAGTTATATAAAATATACATTATTATATTATATATTATGTGTCATATATTTGTATTAATCCAATCTCATGCTGCTATGAAGAAATATCCAAGAGTGGGTAATTTATAAAGGAAACATGTTTAATTGACTCACAGTTCCAAGGGCTGGAGAGACCTTAGGAGACTTAAAATCATGATGGAAGGGGAGGCAAATATGTCCTTCTTCACATGGTGGCAGCAAGGAGAAGTGCAGAGCAAAGTGGGGAAAAGCCTTTTATAAAATCATCAGATCTCATGAGAACTCACTCACTATCATGAGAACAGCATGGAGGCAACTGCCTTCATGATTCCATTACTTCCCACCGGCTACCTCCCACAACATGTGGGGATTACGGGAACTACAAGTCAAGATGAGATATGAGTGGTGATACAGCAAAACCATATCAATATTCTAATATATAATGTAATTATATATTACATTACATTATATTATGTATAACATGTATTTTTTCAATGCAGGTGTTTATCACTGTGAACTTCCCTCTTAGCACTGCTTTTGCTGCATACCATAAGTTTTGAAATGTTGTTTCTTCCTTTTCATTTGCCTCAAGATATTTTCTAATTTCTCTTTTTATTTTTTTCTTTGAGTCAATCAAGAATGTTGATTCATATTCACATATTGTAAAATGTCCAGGTTCGTTTCTGCTACTAATTTCTAGTTTTATTCTGTTGTGGTCAGAAATGATACTTGGTATAATTTCAATCCTCTTAAATTTTTAAGGCTTGTTTGTGACCTAATGTGATCTATCTTGGAGAGTGTTCCATGAATTTGAGAGGCATGTGTATTCTCCTGCCGTTGTGTAGAATATTCTGTAAATGTCATATGTCCATTTAGTCTGTAGTGTTACTCAAGTCTACTGTTTCCTTCCTGATTTTCTATCTGAATCTTTGATCTTTTATTGAAAGTGGGGTATTGTACTCCATTTCTACCTTTAATTCTGTCAATATTTGCTTTATATATTAGGTGCTCTGATGCTGTATGCATGTATATTTATTGTTGTATTTTTCTGTTAATGGACACTTTTATCATTATATAATGTCCTTCTTTGTCTCTTATGAGAGTTTTCGATGAGGTCTTTTCTGTGGAATGTAAGTGTAACCACTCCTGCTTTCCTTTGGTTACCACTGCATAAAATGTCTTTTTCCATCCCTTCATTTTCAGCTTATGTGTATCTTAAATGTAAAGTGAGTTTCTTGTAGACAGCATATAGTTAGATTTTGCTTTTTTAAAATCCATTCAGCCACTCTATATCTTTTTATTGGAGAAAATAATTTATTTGCTTTTAAAGTAATTATTTATAGAGAAGAATTTACTATTGTCATTTTGATAATTATTTTCTGTCTGACTGTAGTTCTTTTGTTTTTCTGTTCATTTTCTATTTTCTTCCTTGGTGTTTTATTTCTTTTGTATAGCCTCTTTTCTATTTTCTTTGTGGTTACTATGAGGTTTACATAAAATATCTTATAGTTGTAATAGTCTCTTTTAGGCATATAACAACTTATCTTCAATAGCATACAAAACTTTACACTTTTACTTCTCTCCCACCTACTTTTTTAATGTCACAATTTACACATTTTTATGTTTTATATTAACGTGTTTTATGTTATAATTATTTTAATGCTTTTCTCTTTTAATTATTATAGTATAATTAAAAGTGATTTACCCACCATTATTACAGTATTACAGTGTTCTGTATTTGCCTATATATTTACCATTACCAGTGAGGTTCGTACTTCCATATGCTTTCATATTGCTGTTAGCATCTTTCAATTTCAACTTAAACAATTCTCTCTGTATTTTTCCAGAAGCAAGTCTAGTTGTACTGACCTGTCTCAGCCTTTATCTGGGGAAGTATTTATCTTTCTTTCACTTTTGCAGGATGTTTTTCCTGGGCATATTATTCTTGTTTGGCAGTTCTTTACTTTTAGCACTTCAAATGTATCATATTGTTCCCTTTTGGCCTGTAAGGTTTCTGCTAGGAAATCTGCTAATCATCTTATGGAGATTCCCTTGCATGTGACATGTCACTTCTGTCTTGATAATTTCAAAGTGTTCTCTTGACTTTTGAAAATTTAATTATAATATATTTCAGAAAAGAATTCCTTAGGTTTATCTTACTTGGAATTTGTTGAGCCTTCCAAAGTTGGATGTCCATTTCCTTCCCTTGATTTGGGAAGTTTTCAGCCATTATTTATTTGTATAAGCTCTCCAGCCCTTTCTCTTGCTCTTCTCCTCCAGGATTTCCATAATGTGTATTTTGGCTTGCTTGATGGTATCTTATAAGTCCCACAAGCTATTATCATTCCTTTTTTAATATTATTTTGCTCTTCTGACTGGAGAATTTCCAAGGACTTGTCTTTAAGTTTGTTGATTCTTTCTTCTACTCTCTCTATTTTGTTGTTAATCCCCTCTAGTAAATTTTTCAATTCAGTTAGTGTATTCTTAAGCTTCAAGGTTTCTTGTTAGTTTCTTTTAAAATAAATTCCGTCTCTTTGTTAAAATCTCACTTTATTCCTGCGTTGTTCTGACCTCTTTGAACATCTTTATGATGATTATTTTGAATTGTTAGGTAATTATATATTTCTCTTTCATTAAGGTCAGTTTGTGGAGATTTATCTTGTTCTTTCATTTGGAATATGATTCCCTATTTCTTCACTCTTCTTGAATTTTTGTATTGGTGTCTTTGAATTAGAGAAAACAACCATCTTTCTAAGTTTTCATAGACAGGTCTTGCACAGAAGACCCTCATTAATCGGCTCAGCCAGAGAATGTGCAGGCCTCTCAAATATTTGTGGTAATCCAATCCACTGTCTTTATTTTTAGCAGCTCCCAGATCTCAAGAGTATGTTGTGTACCATCATTGCTCGAAGACAGGCATAACAAAAACAAAAGCTCCGTTCTGTAGCTCTTTGAAAAACTGGAAAGTTGGACATACAGTTCACCTTTTTTCCTTCCTAGGGAAATGCTAAAATTTAGTATTTGTAATCCACTTGCTATGGAGGAGGGGCTATGGTGAGTGCTTGTGTGCTAGCTTGAACTGCCTTCTGTTTTCACTCTCCCCCAGGCATTGAGCATATGCTGTGTCCTATCAGTGCTCCAAGACAGGTGAGACAGCAGCCAGTTCCTTGGACAGCCCCAGGAAAAACTGAAAGATTGGGTGAATGGCTCAACTCTTTTCCTCCCCAGTTAGAAGCACCAGGCTAGGGTTTTCTCCCAATAATATAGCATTGTGCTGGGGTGGATTATGAGAGAGTGTCTCAAATTTTGTTAACCAGCTTCTGTGTGGCTGTTTTTCCATTCTCCCAGGTTATGGTAGTTTCTAAAGTAGTTTCTGTAGTTCTCACAGTGATAATTTATCCATGTATTGCTGAATTGGTATACCCATAAAGGGAAGGAGGGCCCAGGGCTTTCTAGTCTGCCATCTTGTTGACTCACATATCTTTTTTCAGCCAAGTGAGAGTCAAAATGGCTCTCAAAAGCACAATATAGAAAAAAAGATTTGTCACATTTACAACTTACATTGTAGAACCCATTGAGCACATTGAGCACAGAAAATCTGTTGTCCAAAAGCGAGGGTAATCTACTATTATGAATATGAGAAACGTATGTTATTAAGAATTGCCAGGCTGGTCATGATGGTCAGTGCCTATAGTTCATGGAAGGTATCTTAGGTATCTTGGAAGGCTGAGGCAGGAGGATTGCTGGAGGCCAGGAGTTTGAGTCCAGCCTGGGCAATGTGGCACCCATATCTAAAAGAAAAAACAAAAAATGAATAATTAAAAAAGAATTGCTGTATGTTGAGAAATAGAAAATACCTTTTATACTACACAGAAGTATATGTCAACAGTATATGCTAGCACTTACATTTAGTTCTAAAATATTGCTTTGGTGTTCTCTTAGCTTTTCATCTTAGATCTTATTGTCCAGGCTTTAAATCATCTTACCTGACTCCAATTCATATTTTCCATTTTTATTTTCATTTTTTTTTCAGATTTAAACAAAGTGGATCCAATGTGATTAGTAAACTGCGTGTTCTACATCTCACAAGGAGTAATTTAATTTTAGGCTATACCGTGCCCACATGCTGAAATAAGAAATGTGTTGCATTTCTACTCTGTTATGGTTGTCATTCTTTGTGTTTTACTAGGCTTTCTCAGTTGATTCCACTGAAACCCGTTAGCAACAAAGTAGAACATCAGCTTAACTTTTTGCGGTGTAAACATTAAAAATCCATTTTTTTTTAACAATTTGGAAATTGCCTGCTCTCTTGCTTCAGCAAAAAGAAGTCTCATGACCTTCTTGCAGAGGGAGACTTCTGTTCTCGAGTTATCACTGAGGCAAACTGGAAAGTAAGTTATGGGAGTTCCTACTTTGCTTTTCAGGCACAGAGGGGTTTCCCAAGCTCCTTTTATAGAGAGATTTCAGAAATTTACATCTTGAGCAAGTTGAGGAAGAAGGCACGGAGTGCAGTCTCTTCTGTTCTTGTTGGAAGAGGCCTCCAACAGGGAGAGATTGCACGGCTGAAATTATCATGAAGCAAGTTGAGGAAGAAGAAGTGCAGTGAGTGCCTACTGTCCTATTCAAGCAAGCAGAAATCTCACACCCTCCTTGCAGGGAGATACTTCTGAAGTAATCACTGAAGCAAACCAAGGAAGAAAGCTCAAGATATGCTCACTTTTCCTTTTAGCCAGGGTGGTGTCCCCAGACTCCTTAAAATGAGAGATTGTAAGGGATTTATTGCTGGAGCAAGTAAGAGAAGAAGACACAAGGAGTGCCATCACTCCCATTTAGGCTGAAGAAGCTTTTGTTTTTATTTGCTATGTAAGCTTCCAGATACTGGCTTCTTAGGAACCAGAGCCACAGATAGCTGCTGGGAAAGTGTGAAGCCAAACTCTTTCCACGGGTTAGATTGGAAGCTGTCCTGATCCTGGTGACAGTGGTTGCTGGAAGTGCTCGCATGTTTTAAAACCCCCTTTGCCCTTAAGTAAATCTTCTGATGATCTGTCCCTGATGTTCCTCAAGGAAGGTGGTTTAATAGCCAGGTTCTCTGGCAGAGACTGTAAAATTGGGGCACTGTATGTGTGGTACAAACCCCTAACTCTTCAGGAAGAAGCTAGGAATTGAGGATTCCTTCTAGGTTGTAAGGCACTGTGCTCAGGATGGGGTTAGTGTGCAAGTTTTTCTTCGTTTTTTCTACTCGTTTTGATGTGGATATTTTCTCAGTAATCCAGTGTGTAGGAGTCTTTTAACTAGAGTTTGGCTTTCTCTTGGAGAGAACTGATCTGTGTGTAGGTGTCTACTCAGTGTGTCTGTGGGAGGAGAGTAGTCGAGAGCCTTCTATTCCACCATTTTGTTGCTGACATCACCCTGAGGACTTTTTCTTTTATATATGAGACAGAATCCATTCTCTGTGCTGTGTGTGTGTGTGTGTGTGTGTGTGTGTGTGTGTGTAAAAATATATTTATGCATATAACATATAAATAATAGATTTGTTTCTCCGGAAAAAGTATAATCCAGGGAAAAATTTCAGAGAATAAACATTGATAGTCTTTCCTCCTCTCTGGCCTTTTAGTGAGGGAGTATTTTATGTTTTTCTAATCAAGAGAATATGTGGCTTTGTGGAATTAAAAAAGCCAGAGTAAACAGGTGGGCTATTTTGTAAAACATCTTTAATGAAATATGATTCACATAATTTGACAGAAAGCAAGCTGAGTTTCCATGGTTTCTGCTTGCCATCTTCATTGTGTTTAACTTCTTTGGCTGCTGACTCAAATGTTTCATCTAAGGTAAAGGTGACCCCAAACACCTCAGGAAGATCCTCAGAGCACTTCTCTGTCCTTGGGAAGAAGAATGAAAGTGCCCTGATAGCCTCTAGAATATGTTTGATGAACTAATTATTAATTGAAGGTATTGCCAAGACAAAATAGATTTCTAAAATCTAGACCTGTATTCAATAAAGTAAGAATGCTTCTTTAACAATTTTGCTATTTATTTCTTTGCATTATAGAAAAATATATCAGGCTACGATTTCAGGTTTCATTTCTATAAATAAAAATTCCTTATTATTAAAATTACTGTTGGGCTGGATGTGGTGGCTCATGCCTGTAATGCCAGCACTTTGAGAGGCTGAGGCTGGAAGATTGCTTGAGCCCAGAAGTTCAAGACTAGCCTGGGCAACATGGTGAAACCCCGTCTCCACAAAAAATACAAAAAATTAACTAGGCATGATGGTACGTGCCTGTAGTCCCGGCTACTTGGGAGGCTGAAGTGGGAAGATCACTTGAGCCCGGGAGGTCAAGGCTGCAGTAAGCTCCTGCACTTCAGCCTGGGCAACAGGGCAAGATTCTGTCTAAAATAAAATAGAATTACTATTAATCTCAATTCTGCTTGAGTTATAATTTTAAAAAATAAACACACTATATAAGTTCTGATAAAAGAAATATAATAAAAGTAGCTCTGCAACTTTAGAAAAGCCAGTTAATCTCCCTGAGCCTCAATCTCCTCATTTGTTACAGAGTGGAGTTGAGCTATGTGATCACAAGGTCTAGAACAGTGACTTTTCACCAATAGGATATAATTAGGATCTATAAAAGTTACACATGGTTTGTATTTTTTAAATAATGAGCAAGATTGAATATACTTCTTCAAACTTATACACAGAGCCTTTGGCTGGTGGGAAATCTTAGAAGATACACCAAGAGTTGAACATAGTGGGATGTGATAGAAATGATTGAATGGCACCAAATTTGATCTGTCATTGCTATAGATCTGTGACTTTGATGTCCATTACATAAGTGACCTATAATATATGTGTGCTTAATATAAAATAGATATAAAATAACACCTGATATTAATAATAACTACCATTTTAGGAGCTTTCTGTATGCTGGGGAAAATGATAGAATACTTGAATAAAGTTGAAAAGACAAAACTATTAAAAATAACACTACCTACAGTAATTCTAAGGGATATATAACAACTTAACTTTGACCACAAAGAAAAAAAAAATAACAAATACACTTTAACATTTTTATATTGCTTATCCCTTAACCAATTGTTGTAGTTCTTGTTCTTTTTGATAGTTTTGCCTTTTTTAAAAAAATTATTTTTTGAGATGGAAGTCTCGTTCTGTCACCCAGGCTGGAGTGCATGGCGTAATCTCAGCTCACTGCAACCTTTGCCTCCCAGATTCAAGTGTTTCTCCTGCCTCAGCCTCCCAAGTAGCTGGAATTACAGGTGCATGGCACCACACCTGGCTAATTTTTGACATTTTTAGTAGAGATGGGGTTTTGCCATGTTGACCAGGCTGGTCTTGAACTCACCCTCAGGTGATCCGCCTGCCTTAGCCTCTCAGTGTTGGGATTACAGGCGTGAGCAACTGTGCCCAGCCAGTTTTATCTTTTAGTCTTCCTGCTTGAGATATAAATGGTTTACAGTAGTCTTAATTTGTCTGTATTCTTTCTTTTGCCAGTGAGTTTTAGATGTATACCCATTAGCATCCTTTTCTTTCCTATTGAAGAACTCACTTTAGCATTTCTTGTAAGACTGGTTTGGTGGTGATGAATTCTTTCAGCTTTTGATTGACTGGGAAAGTCTTTATCTTTCCTTCCTGTTTGATGGGAAGCTTTACCAGATAGAGTGTTCTTGATTGACAGTTTTTTTCTCTTCAGCACTTTGATTGTATTATCCCATTCTCTCTCTCGTCCTACAGGGTTTCTACTGATAAATCCACTGAAAGCCATACTTAGGCTCTGTTGAATGTGATATGTTTCTTCTCTCTTGATGTTTTGAGTATTTGTTCTTTGTAGATAAGTTTTAACAATTTGATTATAATGTGCCTTGGGAAAATCCTCTTTGGATTGAATTTTATTTGTGACCACTCAGCTTCCTGTATGTGAATACGGTATAGTCTTTCTTTAGATGTGGGAAGTTTTCAGCCATTATTTCTGTAAGTATCCTTTGTAGACATTTTTCTCTCTCATCTCCTTTGGAAATTCCTATTATGTGAAGGTTAGTTTGCTTGATGGTGGTCCATAATCCTCATAGGCCTTCTTCACCCTTTTTAAATTGTTTTTTATTCTTTGATCTTCTGATTGAGTAATTGCATGTGTTCTATCTTCAACTCATTGATTCTTTCCTTTGTTTGAGCAAATCTGTTGATGTTTTCTAATGAGTTTTTCAGGTTTGGTTATTGTATTCTTTATTTCTAGGATTTCTATTTGGTTTTCAAAATTGCTTCTATTTCATTTTAAAATTTCTAATTTTGTTCCTGGGTTATTTTCAAAATTGTATTTAGTTTTCTATTTATATTTTATTGTGATTCCCTGAACATCTTTAAAAGGATTGATCTAAATTATTTTCAGATATATCATAGATTTTTAATTTTTCTAGACCCTTTGTTAGTTTCTTTTGTTGGAGTTATATTTCCCTGAGTTTTCACAATCCTTGCACCTTTACAGTAATGCCTGTGCATTTAAGGAGACAGCCACGTCTTCAGCTATTGCAGGTGTTCTTTGGTGGTGTTAGATCTTTACTAATTAGTATCAAATCTTAATTTCTAGCTTGTTGTTGTTCCTCTTCTGAGAAGAATTTATAGTGCATACCAGAACCAGAACACTGCACTGGAACTAACTTTCTGCCCTACCATTATTTCCTGGTTTATGAAGGTCTCACAGTGAACACTGGAACTTAAATGCTACACTGGAACTAAATCGCAGCCCTGCCTTTGTTTCCCAGTCTGGTGAAAACTTACAGTGAGCACGAGAACTCTCATGCCGTCCTTTTAGTTGTTCAGGCCAGGGGATGTCTTCAGACAAGCACCTGGGATTTATGGGAAATAGGACTAGGGATTGGGGCCTTCCCATGAATTGTGCCCCCTGCAGTGCAAGGTGCTGGCCAATCTCTTTAGTATGGCATTACCACTGATCCGAACATAGAATGTCTACCAAGTTGCTGCAATCAGTGCCCTGCACTTTGGCCTCACCCCACCTCAGGAGGTTCACTCCTGTTGGCACTCCCACTGGTTCTTGTAGGGCAGGACCAAAGTGGGTTTCCCACAGAGATTCCCAGATCCGTGGGGAGATTGGATATCCTCCTCCAGTTCTCTCCTCTCATTCAGCAGCTGTGGGCTTAGGAAAATTTTCTGTGAGTGGCATTAGGGGGCTGGCTTGGGGGAGAGGGTGGCATACTCTAAAATGACTGTTACTCTTACCAGTTGTGATTTCTTTTGATTCTGTGGGCCCAGGGTGTTTCATTTTTCCCTGAATTCTAGTAAATTCAGGGTGGTTCTCTTGTCTTTGAATAGTTTCTAATTATACTTTTGTTAGGTGAGTGATGCCAGGGGATCTTCTATTCCACCATTTTGCTGACATCTTCTCTTAATTGGACTCTTAAACCCTGCCATGGCCCATTTCTTCATGGATAATTGTCTAATTGTTGTTGTGGTGGTTTTTTGGTGATTTTTTTTGAAGGACAAAGACTGGTATTCTTACTCTGCTAGCTTGCTGATATCATCGATGAGTTTTATTTTGGATTATAAATATAATGCATAAATGTAAGACAGGCAATGGGAAGTGCGACTGACAGGCAAAAATTTTGCATTTTTTATGCTATTCTTGGAGGAAATCATTATTGCAGTTTGAAAACATTTTCACGTGTATATAAGTATGACCATAAATTTTTTTCCGCATTGGCACATACAGAGTTATCTATTATTATCAACCACAGATTATTCTGTTTCATAAACTATAATTTAAAAGCAATTTTCTATTAAAAATATTTAGTTTCTATTTTTTGTCTTTACATATTGTTCTGTAGTCTTTATACTTACACATTATTTCACAGATGTATTTACTTCTATGTGATGAATTCCTGTAAGTGAAGGTGCTGAGAAAGTGTCTACATGTTTGTATAGCTATTGCCAGATTTCTCTGTAAAAGAGTTTACCAATTTTATTCTCTGACTAAAAGTGTACGAGAATGCCTATTTTCCATATCCTTAGTAACACTGAGTACAACTTCATACTGTTCGCCATATGATGGGCAAAAATTGTTGCTCTTATTTTCATTTGTTTTTCTATAAATATGAATGACATTGAAAATCTTCATGTTTAGTGGATATTGGTACTTTTTTTTCTCTTTAAACTACTTATTTACGTACCTTTGACATTTTTATTAATTTACAAGTTAGGTACATATTAGGGAAATTTTTCCTTTATCATATCAAATGCTATCACATATGTTGAAAATATACTTCCAGCTTTTCATTTATAATTTGAATCTCTTCATGTTTTTTAACTGTAATTTCTTTCTGTATTCATGAGTGATAGTTCTTGATAATCTATTTTTGTGATTTTTTTTCCTTTTTAAAAATTTCAACTTTTGTTTTAGATATAGGGAGTACATGTGAAGGTTTGTTACATGGAAATATTGTGTGATGCTAAGGAGTATGGATCCTGTCACCCAGGTAGTGAACATAGTATCCAATAGGTAGTTTTTAACCTGCTCCCTTCCCTTCCCCATCTAGTAGTCCACAGTATCTATTATTCCCATATTTATATCCATGTGTGCTCAGTGTTTTGCTCCCACTTTTAAATGAGAACATGGGTTTTCTGTTTCTGCATTAATTCACTTAGGATTATGGCCTTCAGCTTCATCCATTTTGCTGCAAAAGACAGCATTTTATTTTTTTTTAATGACAGTGTAGTATTCTTGGTGGATAGGTCCCGTATTTTCTTTATCCAGTCCGCCATTGATGGTCACCTGGGTTAATTCTTGTCTTTACTGTTGTGAATAGCACAGTGATGAATATACAAGTACATGTGGCTTTTTGGTAGAATGATTTATTTTCTTTTGGTTATATAACCAGTAATGGGATTGCTGGGTTGAATGATAGCCCTGTTTTAAGTTCTTTGAAAAATCTCCAGACTGGTTTTCACAGTGGCTGAACTAATTTACATTTTCACCAACAGTGTACAAGCATTCCCTTTTCTCTGAAGCCTCACCAACATATGTTGTTTTTTAACTTATTAATAATTACCATTTTGACTGGTATTGATATCTCATTGTAGTTTTGATTTGCATTTCTCTGATGATTCATGATGCTGACCATTTTTCAGGTTTCTTGGCTGCTTGTATGTCTTCTTTTGAGAAGTGTCTGTTCATGTCCTTTGCCCATTTTTTTAATGGGTCTGTTTGTTTTTGCTCGTTGTCTTGTTTAAGTTTCCTATACATTTTGGATATTAGGCCTTTGTTGGATACATAATTTGCAAGTATCTTCTCCCATTCTATAGGTTGTCTGCTCTGATACTGTTCATAAATTGTTAAAGTTTTAAGTTTTCAAGTTGATATTAATCTTTTCTTATATAATTTTTACCACGTTTTAAAATTTTCTTTATCTCATTTTCAGCACATTCATTTGTATTCTTTTATGATTTCATTTTTACAGGTAATCCTTTTTATCTATCTGGAAAGTTATTTTGAAACTTTTTGGGAGTACATCTCATTCCATTCCCCAAAAGCTAGCCAATTACCCAATACCATTTATTGAGTCATCTGTCTTTCCCACATTGATATGAAATGTGATTTTTATTCTGGTGTAAATTCTTCCATATATTTAGATATATTTCTCTTGTACTTAAAAAGAAGTTTGTTTTTCTTTTTTTTACCAGCAGAAAGTTTTCTTAGTTACCTAGCTTTATAACAAGTTTTAAGGTAAAAAAACTGAGGGACCTGTTTTGAGTTCTGTTTGAACAGGAGTGCTTTTTGGATCCTATGAGACTTGCCGGGTGAAGTCAGAAGATTTAGCAGGCAGTCAGAAAAATGGGTCTTAATCTTTGAAGAGAAATCCAGAGTAAGATAATACAGTGAGAGCCATCAGTTTGTAGGTAATAGAAAAATCCATGAGAGTGGATGAGAATTCATTGAGAGAAGTTCTGAGGAAGATGTAAACTTGGAGTCTTTCTATGTAATGGAATTTTTCCACACATGTAAGCATTTCTATCAAACGTTTGTTGATTCTTAAAATTTCTTTGCTTTTAAAAATGTCAACCAACAGGAAAGACAATATACTAATGTGTTCATCTAGAGTTGAAAATCAGAAAATCAGTGAATATTAAGTAGAGGTTAGGATTCTTCATACTTGAAACTTTAAAGCAATGACTTTTAAGTTTTATTGTGACCTCTGTGATAGCATGGAAAAGCTGATTTGGGTGTGAGTGTGTGGCGGGGGGCGGTTAATCTTGCTCTTCATTAATCTGAACTCTTAGAGGTCAGAAACTGTCTTGTTAATTTTTTAATCCTGAAAGCAAAAAAGGTGCTCAATAAATGTTATAATATAATCAAATATACCAAGCTTCCCAAGAGTAGGCCAGTAATCTTGTTTTATTGAACCATACAGGCAGGAGGCAAGTTTCTTTAGTTGTAATAATCTTAGCTTTAATGTGGACATTGCCAGCTCTTTTAGATACAAATTATCTTTGCTTAGACTGATAACTTATGGATCACTTGTGAATTAATGAGCTGCTATAATTAATTATTCTAAATCAGCTCAAGGGCAGACCTTGTATATGGGGACTGCTATTGTAAAACAAAACAAAACAAAAAAAAAACCTCAAGGAGACAGAAGTTTGCTGGTTTTGGAGGATTAAGCTATTAAAAAATGCCACCTTTTTACTTTTTAAATTGAGAAAGATGTTTCATCCATAGGATGTAAGGCAAGTCTATTTACACATACATTATCTCACACACATCTCACATCCTGGCCTTTACAAGTGTTGCCTAGTAAAGAGGAGGGGAAGGCAGGTGTCCTCCAGGGAGAAAAAGTGCTGACATACTGTAAGAGGTATCATCGTAGTCAGGCTACTTTTCTTTTCTGTGTGAGTTTCTTGCTGACGTTACCCTTTGTCCATGCTCAGATTTTAGGAAATAGAGTAAAAATTGGTTTTCATCAAGGATTAACTTTTCCTCTAAAGCGAAAAATAAACCTCTTGTTTTATTCCACACATTTTTTAAATTCTTGGGTCTGGATTAGTAGCTCAGAGCTCATAGTGTTGAGGGAACATAATTGAGAGACTAAAATGGTGATGAGCAAAATGTCATTGTCAGGTTTGACGATAGAGTTGAAGAAGACTTCGTTGTTTCCAAAACCTATTTTTCAAAAATAATTTTAAAAAGTTTACAATAATTTTGTATTTCCTTTGGCTCTTTAATCAGCAATAATGACTAAATCATTCATGTCTCTGAATAGTAATTAGAAAATACTTTGACATAGTTATCCATTACAGAAACCATAGTGTCTGAGAATGACTGATTAAATAGTAGAAATTTCAAGAAATCCATGGGTCACCTAGACAGCATATATCACTTTAAAGGGAAAAAGTTATTTCATGTACTTATTCAAATTCATTAAAATAGGTGTTTCTGTGTTGTGGTTTGTATTCATTGGTTTTATAAAACAAAGCTCTTCCTTTTCATTGATCAATATTTGAGATTCTTATGGATGTTTGTTCAGCGAGGCTTTCAGTAACAAAGAGAATTAATCTGTGGATTCTAAAATAGCTCTGTTTTCCAAATATTTGGTGCTTCTCAGTTTTATGTAAAACGTCAAACAGCATCTATTTTTTGGCCAGTTTGAGTTTGGATAGAACTAAATATCATAGAAGTTAGTCCTAAGTATTACATCACCCATATAGGATCCCTTTTTGAATTTTTGCTTCAGTTTATGGGCTCATCCTGTGTCCTAAAATATACAAAGCTAAAGCACCTAGCACACTGTCTGTCATAAAGTAGGCTCTCAAAATTAATGTCTTTCACTGTAAATTTAAAAGATGTTTTAAGGGGAAAGAAACTAACATTTATATGGGGAAAATTATGAGGTATAATAGGAGACATTTGGGGTTATTGTAAAGTGACTTTCATTATAAGTAATCAACTTTTATTATTTTATTTCAGTCAGGAGGAGGACATAGAACACTGATGCATCATAAATGTACACACACACACAGAGAGAACCTCCAGAAATTATTGTCTTTTTCCATATCTTTTTCCCTCTAAATTTCAGAGCACTGATAGTTAAATGCTTTAGATTAAGTGACTCATAAGCTTATTCTGCCAGATATGGAGGGTTGAGAGCCTCTACAGTTTTGCTAATGAGTGTCTGCACAGCAGCTCCCATGCCATTTGCCAAGAAGAAACAGACACTGGCTATTAATGTAAAAGGTATCCGTATTGGCTTATGAAATACCAGCATGCATATTTCTCTAAACATCTTTTACAAAAGACTAAGAAATATCGTGTTACATGCCAAATGTAGGGTTCTTAAAGTTTTTAGTAGATGTGAGAAATGTGCTCCCACTGACAGAGGGGTCGGGTTTCTAAAGTGTCATATCATAGGTAATTTCAGGGTGAGAAAAGGAGTGGAAATGAGTGCTCGCTTCTGCCTGGGAGGCAGATGATGTGCTTGCAGCACAGGGTGTAGGAGGTGGAGAGGGAAGAAGATGTCGAATGAGGAGAGCAGAGTGCTGGGAAAGGACCTCAGTAGATGACAGAGCAGTGAAATTTCTTCTTTAGAAACCCTGAGTTGTGAAACATTCAAGACAGGCAACAATGTCTAGATAGATTTGTAGAAAGTTTCTGTAAGGTCTGTATTATTTAAAATTCCTGGATGTCCCCCATTAGAAGAGATATAATAACATTCCACGGTATTTTTCAAGATTGCCAAACTGTGCTTTCCCATATGGCCTCTGTGCGAAGACAAAACCCAGTGCACTTCTTGGGCTTAGAAGGGTAATACTTTAAAGCATCTTATTTAGGCCAGGCACGATGGCTCATGCTTGTAATCCTAGCATTTTGGGAGGCTGAGGTGGGCAGATCACTTGAGCCCAGGAGTTCGAGACCAGCCTGAGCAAGGTGACAAAACCCCATCTCTACAAAAAATATAAAAATTATCTGGGCATGGTGGCTACATGCCTGTCATCCCAGCTTCTTGGGAGTCTGAGTTGGGAGGATCGCTTGAGCCCAGGAGGTGGAGGCTGCAGTGAGCCGAGAATGTACCACTGCACTCCAACCTGGGTGACAGAGCAAGACCCTGTCTCAAAAAAAATAATAATAAAAATAAAAATTAAAGTATCTTCTTTAGAGGCCGTGATGGTTAATTTTATGTGTCAACTTGACTGGGTCATTGGGTGCCCAGATTAAACATTAATTCTAAGTGTGTCTGTGAGGGTGTTCTCATATGGGAAATAATGTTTAATCTATTCAATCCATTGAGGGCCTGAATAGAACAAAAGGTGGAGGAAGGAGGAATTTCCCCCTCCCCGCCTTGTTTTCTGCCTTCCCACTTGAGCTAGGACATCTCATCTCATCTTCTCCTGCCCTTAGACTGAGATTTATATCATCACCTCCCCTAGTTCTCATGCCTTTGGGCTTGATTGAATTCACCACAGTCTTTCCCGAGTCTCCAGTTTACAGATGGAAGATCATGTGACTTCTCAGCTTCTATAATTGCACTTTCTTTCTCATTATTTATCCTCTACATCAGATATAGATATCTGTTTAATTAAGGACTCGTTGACAAAGGTGACAGAGAGAAGATGGCGGAGATGTTATCTACAGTGTCTGAAATTAATGAAAAACTGGTTTGTGTGATATGCAAGATACTCCTTGCCATCAACAAGAATAAGACAGAAGTCCTAGGAGAAAAAGGCAAGAATATAAGTAGACAAATTACAGAAATGGTTGCAAGTATATGAAGAGAACTCTAATTCATTAGTAATTATAGAATTGTTGATTCAAACAGCAATTAGGTATTATTTTTCTCCCATAAGACTGACAAGATATTAAAAAGTTGGATAAGGGCATAGGCACCCTCACCCATTTATCCACTACATGTGGGAAAGTGGGAAGTAGATTTGGCATCCATTCTGCAGAGTGAGCTAGAAATACGGCGGCAAATAAACACACACACACACACACACACACACACACACACTCTCACGGACCTGGGTGAGAATTTATTTGTAATGTATCTTGGAGTGATTATGTATAATATATTACAGATTACAGCAATTATGCTTCCAAGATACATTACAAATAAATTCCCACCAGGTCCATATGGGATCATGAAGCTGTTCATTTATAGCAATGTTTGTGGTGGCAGAGTTGGAGGCAATCAGGGAGAGTAGGTAGAGAAAATTGGTGCTTGCATACCATAGAGTTAGTAGTAACAGATTAGATGTACACAAAGCCATATGGATTAGAGTTTAAAACTATTGTGTTAAGTGAAAGAGTATGAAATAGAATGAAATCCATTTATGTAAGTTTAAAATACATGCCTACATATATACACATGTGCATATACACACAAACATGCATTTCATTGCTAAAGTTTTACAGGGACAAACCCCAGCTATTTAGAATGAACAAATGAACAATATTTAATTTCAAAGAGGGAGATTTATAATAGCTTGACATTTTAGCTCTTACTGAGCTTTTCTCCATCTCCCTTGGGAGGAGTCTAGTTGCAGATTAGAGTGACAGCTCTGTGCACTGATCTAAGCTAAGACATTGGTCTTGTATCTCTATTTTCAAAGTGTCTGTATGAGAAACTGTCCAGACAGTAAGGAAACAAGGAAAGAAAAAAGAATGAAATAAAAATGTTCTTTGTAGCACATAGGCAACACAGTATATCTGTATATCACATTGTGCGTACAAAATTTATAGAATTTGTTATGATTACCACAATTAATGCCATAACAACCTGGGATAGATTACAGCATTTGGCAGTGGAAGTCCTCCTGAATCAGGACCCAAAGTATAGTATTTCACAAAGTTTTTTTTTTTTTTTTGAGACGGAGTCTCGCTCTGTTGCCCATGCTGGAGTTCAATGGCAACCTCTGCCTCCTGAGTTCAAGCTATTCTCCTGCCTCAGCCTCCCGAGTAGCTGGGATTACAGGCGCCCAGCACTGCTCCAGGCTAATTTTTGTATTTTTAGTAGAAATGGGGTTTTGTCTTGTTGGCCAGGCGGGTTTCGAACTCCTGACTTCAGGTGATCCACCTGCCTTGGCCTCCCAAAGTGCTGGAATTACAGGCATGAGCCACCGTGCCCAGCCAAATATTTTTTTAAATCACTTTTATTTAGTTTCCATAATAAATAAAAGAAAGCTATAATCAATAATAGGTATATGTAGACATAGAGTGTGGAATAATAGACATTAGAGATTCAGAAGGAGAGACGGAAAGGGGATAAGGAATGAGAAATTACCTAATATATCCAATGTACATTATTCAGATGATGGTAACACTAAAAGCCCAGACTTCAGCACTATGTAGCAATATATCCATATAACGAAACTGCATCTGTACCCCTTAAATTTACACCAATAAAAATAAATCACTTTTTAAATTATTACATACCCATGAAGGGTTCCACGTACTGTAATTTTTCTTCTAATGTGTGGTTGCTTCCAGTTTTCCTAAGATGCGATTATTGTAGTTTCAGTTTTTTAAAGATTTGTCTTCTCAGAACACAGAATGCCTTTGTTAATCCTATTTAGATATCATCATAAAGAACTGTCTAAATTTCTTACTAAACTAGTTGTAAGCTCACTGTTAAAATTATAAAAGTAATATCTTTCTCATTATGGAAAATGTAGAAAAATGTAAGAAGAATATAAAAATTACCTATGATCTCACCATTCAGGACAGACACTGTCAACATTTGATGAATATATATATATATATATATATGAATTATCCTTTTTGTCGATGCCATTACAAAACTGGGATCATATCATATTGTAGTTATTTACTTACTTATAAAGTGATTTTCTTCCAGAAATGTTTTAATTTGGCTTATATAAATACACACAAAATAAAATAAAAAACAAGTGGAAGAGAAAGGAGGATGATAGGAAAAATGAGACTAGGGAAGGTAAGAGAAAGTCAGGTGTCACGTTAGTATACAATGCATAATGCACTCCAGTATGTTTGGGAGAAGTGTAGCACACATTCAGCTCTGAGTCTGCTGGCAGCAAATGTTAAAATCCAGGGCATGAATTCCTAGAGTCCATAAAATATATACTGCCATGAAATCGGTGATACATAGCTCTTGCTGACAGTCAGCCTAAGGAACTCTTCTCTCAAATCATAATCAGTAGACAAAGAACAAGATAGTGAACAAGAGCCTCCTTAATGTTTTCCCAGTAATTACAACACTCTCCTTCTTGGGGCTTGGGAGAATATCTTTGCAAAATCCACATCTGATAAGGGGTTAATATTCAAAATACACAAGGAACTTAAACAACTCAATAGAAAGAAAACAACCCAGTTAAAGATGGGCACAGGACCTGAATAAATATTTCTTAAAACATACAAAAGGCCAACAGGTATATGAAAATATGTTCAACATCACTAATCATTAGAGAAATACAATCAAAAACACAATGAGATAGCAAATTGCACCTGTTAGAATGGCTGTTATCAAAAAGACAAAGGAAGCTGAGGCAGGAGGATTGCTTGTGCCCAGGCATTTGAGGCTTCAGTAAGCTATGATCATGCCACTGCACTCCAGCCTGGGCAACAGAGTGACACCATATCAAAAAAAAGAAAAAAAGAAAAAGAAAAAAGAAAAAAACTAGGACAAAAAATAACAAGTATTGGTGAGGATGTGGAGAAAAGGTAACCCTTGCACACTGTTGGTGGGAGTTTAAATTATTATACCCTTCGTGGAAAAAAGCATGAAAGTTCTTCAAAAAAATTAAAACTAGAATTAACATATGATCTAGCGTTCCTACTACTGCATATATATTCAAAGGAAATGAAATCTGTATGTTGAAGATACATTTGCACTGCACTCGTATTTATTGCAGCATTATTCACAATAGCCACGATAAGAAATGACAAGTATCCATTAACAGATGAATGGATAAAGAAAATGTGGTATATATATGCAATGGTACACTATTCTGCAATAAAAAGGAAAGTAATTTTGTGACTTGCAACAACATGGATGAACCTGGAGGACATTATATTATGTGAAATCATCCATATACAGAAAGACAAATACTGCTTCATCTCACTCACTTGTAGAATCTAAAAATTTTGATCTGGTGGAAGTAGGGAGTAGAATGGTGGTTGCCAGAGAATTGGGCAATGGTGGTTGGGAGTTGAGAAGATGCTGGTCAAAGGATCCAAAATTTCATATAGATAGGAGGAATAAATTCAAGAGATCCATTGTACATCTTGGTGACTATAGTTGGTGATATGGTTTGGCTCTGTGTCCCCACCCAAATCTGGTGAAATTGTAATCCCCAGGTGTCAAGGGAGGGAACTGGTGGCAGGTGATTGGATTATGGGGGCAGTTTCCCCATGCTGTTCTCATGATGGCGAGTGAGTTTGCATGAGATCTGATGGTTTAAAAGTGGCAGTTTCCTCTGTGTGCTTCCTCTCCCGCCACCTTATTGAGAAGGTACTTGCTTCTCCTTACCCTTCCGCCATTTGTAAGTTTCCTGAGGCCTCCCTAGCCATGCAGAACTGTGAGTCAATTAAGCCTCTTTTCTTTACAAATTACCCAGTCTCAGGCAGTTCTTTATATCAATGTGAAAACGGACTGATACAGTTAGCAACGATATATTGTGTTATCGAAAAATGCTAAAAGAGTAGATTTTAAATGTTCTCACCAGAAAAGTGACTTTGTGAAGTAATAATATGTTAATACTGCTTTTCACAAATGTGTATGCATTTCAAATCATGTTGTAAGTGATAAAAACGTACAGTTTTATTCGTCAATTTTATTTGTCAATTAAAGTAAATAAATAAATAATGTGTGGGACTGGTACCACAACGTCTAGGACATAGGAGCTCTGTATTAAGGGTTCCTGCTTTATTACTTTACTTATTGTCACTGCATTATACCTTTGCAAAATATAGTTTTCTGTTTCCAACCTAAAAATCCTGATTAAGCAACTGAATTTGTCCTTGAAGAAAAAATAACTGCTAGTAATATCATCAGAAGCCAGACCCAAAAAGGCTTTATAACACCTATTTAATCCTTTTAAATGAAAATGTATTTAAATATATAACTTCATGTATTCATTTGAAATAAGCTGCTAACTCTAAATATTTAAATATTCCCAACTACACTCCTGTAAATTGTACAGAGCAAATTTTATTTTCTACCTATCATTATTTTCTGCTGTATTTCACACTTAAGCCAATGCTCTGATTTCAATTTTACTAAATAAATATTTGTGACTGGAGGTATGTTTTCAATCACCACCCTGGGTAATATGGTAAATGTCAGTTGTCCCTAGTTCAAGTGGACTTTGAGACTATATTATCTCTCAGCAGCTATTCTTCTTTAGTAAAATACCCTAAGAGAAGGTTGCATATTAAAAAACAATGTATTCTTCCTCAGGCAGATTGATGTTTTTTATAGAATATATTTGTATTTTTACTTCTGTATTTTTATTCTCTTCTGCAGGCAAAGTGATAAATTTAATAAATATTTAAAAACTCCATCAATTACCTCCTCTCCTGTATATTCAATTGCTCTTTCTTTATTCTCGTCAATATTGAAATGGCTGCAGTATCTTCTGTGTCTCTTGCCCTTATTCACTCTCTCCTTACAATTTGCAGCCAAAGATCTTCCCACTATCCTATTACTCTAAGGGAGGAGACCACTCCTCATGTTGTCTTATGCGTAATTTCCGCCTCCAAAGAAAGAAGAAGTAAAAACTAAAAGGCAAAAATGAAATCCACAAGCAGACAGCCCGGCGCCACACCCTGGGCCTGGTAGTTAAATATCAACCCCTGACCTAATCGGTTATATTATCCATAGATTACAGACATTGTATAGGGGAAAGCCCTGTGAAAATCCCTGTCCTGTTTTCTTCTGATCTAATTACCGGGGCATGCAGCCCCCAGTCATGTACCCCCTGCTTGCTCAATCGATCACAACCCTCTCAAGCAGACCCCCTTAGAGTTGTGAGCCCTTAAAAGGGACAGCAATTGCTCACTGGGGGAGCTCAGCTCTTGAGACAGGAGTCTTGCCCATGCTCCTGGCCGAATAAACTGCTTCCTTCTTTAACTCAGTGTCTGAAGGGTTTTGTCTGTGGCTTGTCCTGCTACAACTCAACTTGTATTTCTCATTCCACTGCAATTCTGCCTGCACTCCTTCACCAAAAACAATTTGCTAATTAAAAAAAATAAAAATTTAATAAGTAAACTTATTCTTTGTATAATTTATAAATTTAAATAACTGTAAAAAGAATACCTGTATACACTTCACATTCACCAATTACTAACATTTTGTCACATTTACTTCATCTCTGTCTCTTCATTTTTCCCAAATATTTTTGTTTTGAGACAAAGTCGCACTCTGTCCCCCAGGGTGGAGTGCAGTGGCACAGTCTTGGCTCACTGCAAGCTGCGACTCCCTGGTTCAAGCGATTCTCATGCCTCAGCCTCCTGAGTAGCTAGGAGATTACAGGTGCCCACCACCACGCCCGGCTAATTTTTGTATAGTAGGAATGGGGTTTCACCATGTTGGCCAGGTAGGTCTCAAACTCCTGACCTCAGATGATCTGCCCGCCTTGGCCTCCCAAAGGGCTTGGATTACAGGCATGAGCCACCATGCCGGGCCTCAAATATTATTTAAGAATAAATTGCCAACATCAGGACACCTCACTTCTAAATACTTTGGGTATTAAGAATAGAGGCACAATTTCACCTAATAATTACAATTTGCATTGCACAAAATTAACAGTAATTCTATAATAGAAACTAAAATGTAGTCCTTATTCAAATTTTCCTAATTGTTACTAAAATATCTTTAGAGCCATTTAGGTTTTGCTTTATGCTTTCATTTAATCATAGCTTCTTAATCTCTTTTAATCTACAACATTCCATTACCTTTCATTGTTTTTGTTTTGAGTTGATCTTTTTGAAATATCCACGCCTTATCCTGCATAATGTCTTTTATTCCAGATTTTTCATATCCTCTAGGCTGGCAGGGAGGACAAATGAATTATTTATCCTGTGTGGCAGGCAATGCTTTATTTACTTCATTGAATGAATGCCTCTTGGTCTTTCAGATAGCTAGTGTAACCATTCCCAGGTCTCAGAGTACCATATTCTCCCTAAAATTTTCAGGATGCCCTTCCCATTATTGGGAAATAAAGCTCCAGAGAGCCCCCAAATGGTAAATGATAGTAATTATGGTGCACCATTCTGCGTGAAGATGTTTCTTTTCCATCCCCCCCATTCTACCAGTAAGAAACACTTAATTATAACCAGGTATGATGATGTGTGCCTGTGGTCATAGCTATTTGAAAGGCTGAGGTGGGAGGATCACTTGAGCCCAGGTTACAGAGAGTTATGACCATGCCACTGCACTCTAGCCTGGGTAACAGAGTGAGCAAGTCCCTATCAAAAAAGAAAACACACACACACAGACACACACACACACACACACACACACACAAACCTTAATTAGATGTTAATATGACTTTAATAATTTTTATTAAAATGCTGATAATCTCATTTTCAACAATAACAATGTGCCCCCTGTAGACTCTGTGTTGTCAGGGAAAGGCAGGGTAACAGGTCAATCATAAAAAATGAAGAAACACAAAACCATGTACAGAAGAAATTTTGAATACCAAAAGATTTCCGTCAAATTCAACGTATTGACATTTTTGAAGCACTTACTATGTGCCATGCTTTGTGGTTGTGGACACATAGATAAGCAAGAAGGGATAGCTGTCCTTTGTCCGGTTACATACACAAGTAATTTCATGCAAGCCAGTCCCTAATAAAGCCCTATAAAGACACAAATTGTAAAGAAGAAGACAGGAGTGGGAGCTCTACTATGTCCATAGTGACCCTGAGGGCCTGCTGGAAGCCAGCAGGTGAACCAGGCCCTATTGGGCATTCGAGATCTTGCCTGAAATTAACACTAGGGGATGGTGAGGGAGGAGCATTAAAAATTCCGTATTCCACTGGCAAAAGTAAGTGCCAAGTATATCTCACAAAGGGGCAAAATTCTGCTTAAAGGAGTATCAAGGAATAAATACAACATGAAGGTGGGTATTTTTCAACTGGATTCTTTCAGTGCTGTGTGGGTGACTGATTCCTCCGTATTTATAGGGCATGCACTGGCAAATTTCTACATAGATTTTTAGCCAACCTGTATCTGGTGGTTGACACCCGGATCATAGGAATGGTTTGCATATTTCTAGCAATACACAATTTGAACTTTGTAGCCTGTTGTCCCTTAATTCTGCTCATGCAACCCAGCTCCAGGGTCTGTAGTTGAGCCATGAATTCACAAGCTGCTCTTGGCAAGGGATGTATAATTGTCCTACGGGAAGGTCCCCTGCCTGATGTCTGTCTTCAGACACTAGGTAAATAAAATCTCTGAAATATTGTTGAGTAGAAATGACTCTATTAATAATGGAAAAAGGAAACAGCAAGATCACTCATGTGAAAAGAGAGCACACTTCACTGAAATCCAAGCTCTTGTGACCATGCTTAGCCGTCCCTGATTGTTTTGTGGGAGGGCGGTGAACCCAGCACTAGAGGATGGAGACATTCTGTCACAGAGAGAATGCAGCTGGGGAAATGATTAAAATTACTGTGTGGGTGGCAAAGGAAGGGAAGCCTTTGTTAAGGCGAGAACAGTCAGTATTTTAATATTGCTACTCTTGCACCAGGAAGCCAAGAATTCCCGTTGCCTCTGCCTTGTGGGATAACAGACAGGACGCTTGGACACCCTTGGAGTGGAATGAATGGGGAGCTGTTGGAAGACAGCTGTTCCCAATGTGGGGACAGCTCTTGAGCATCATCCTCCGTTCACCCCTTTCGGCATGGGAATCTCTGCTGGAGAGAATGGTGAGGCCCCTGCCAGAAGGGAGTCTAAGATACAGGCGCTCAAAAATGTTTATTGTGTGCTCACTATGGGCTGACACTATGATCGTCAGTGGGAATATAGTGATGAATAAGATAGGCCCAGTCCTTGCCTCCTTGGGATTCTGGGAAAGATAGAAAAGTAAACAAGTCAAAATCAAGTAAACAAAGATGAACTTCAAAAGGGCTTATTAAGAAGATGACATGGAGGCTTAGGTGAGGGTATCTAATCAAGTGTATGTGGGGTGGGGAGGAGAAGGTAAGGCAGTAATAGGCAGGGAAAGCTTCCCTGGGAAGGAATGACTAAGCTGCAACCTGAAGAATAAACAGAAAGCAGGAAATTGTATGAAGACAGAGTGTTCCAAGTAGAACAAGTCTAAGGCCATGGTATGATCTGATGCACAATTTTATTTATTTTTATTTTTTAATTATAGGTTTATGGGGTACACGTGCAGTTTTGTTACATGGCTATATTACGTAGCGGTAAAGTCTAGTCCTTTAGTGTAGCCATCACCCAAATAGTGTACATTTTACCCATTAAGTAATTTCTCATTTCTACCCCCCCATCGTTTTACCCTTCTGAATCTCCAAGTCTGTCATTCCACTCTATGTTCAAGTGTGCACATTACTTAGCTTCCACTTATAAGTGAGAATATGTGGCATTTGACTGTCTGTGTCTGAAGTAGTTCACTTAAGATAATGGCCTCTAGTTCCATCCATGTTGCTACAAGTTCCATTATGTCCATTGCCAAAAAAGACATGATTTTATTCTTTTTTATGGCTGAGTAGTATTCCATGTGTGTGTGTGTGTCTGTGTATATATATATATATGTATCTCACATTTTTTTATCCACTCATCTATTGATGGACACTTAGGTTGATTCCATATATTTGCTATTGTGAATAGTGCCACAGTAAACACACTAGCGCAGATATCTTTTCGGTATAATGATTTCTTTCCTTTTGGGTAGAAACTCAGAAGTAGAATTACCGGACTGATAGTAGTTCTATTTTTAGTTCTTTGAGAAATCTCATTACTGTTTTGCATAGAGGCTGCTCTAATCTGCATTCTCACCAACAGTGTATAAGCTTTCCTTTTCCTTAATCATACACAATTTCCTACAATTTATTCTGCCTGAGGAATGGAGAACAAATGAGATGGGACCAGCGTGGGAAACCAAGGCAGGAGACTGTTATAATTGCTCAAGTGGAAGATGGTTGTGAAGGCAGCACTGACATCTTGCCCTTAGACTAACCGTATCCACCATTTTCGTAATAAAGAGTACCATGTATCTTGGGGGGAAAAACACACACTGTGGCCTGGCGGAGGATGGGGATGGGGAAGGGAGAGCTTCAGGAAGAACAGCTAATGGATGCTGGACTTAATACGTAGGTGATGGCATGATCTGTGCAGCAAACCACGATGGCACACATTTACCTGTGTACAAACCTGCACGTCCTGCACATGTACCCATGAACTTAAACTAAAATTTGAAGAACAAAAAAAGAGCCTCATGTGTCAGTGCTTTGAAGTTTTGCACCTGATGTAAATTTTATTTTATTTATTTATTTTTTTGTTTGAACAGAGTCTCACTCTGTTGCCCAGGCTGGAGTGCAGTTTTGTGATCTCGGCTCACTGCAACCTTCGCCTCCCAGGTTCAAGGGATTCTCCTGCCTCAGCCTCCTGAGTAGCTGGGACTATAGGTGCACACCACCACGCCGAGCTAATTTTTTTTATGTGTGTGTGTGTGTATATTTCTAGTAGAGAAGGGGTTTCACCATATTGGCCAGGCTGGTCTGGACCCAATGTAAATTTTATTAAAATTCACACAATCGTTATGTAAACAGAATTATAGACTAACATACAAATTGAGCTGTAGATATTGCTTGCTTGCTTTATTCAGGAAGCCACTTCTTTTGAAGGTCTGGCCCCCTTGCAATGCAACTAAAATTTTCCCCAAAATTGTTTATAATTTTTCTTTGAGAATAATTATGTTTTGTACTTAGTGGTGACCACTGATACAGAAAGCTGTTTTGAAAATGTCTACAAAGTTTTCTTATTGGCTGGGTGACCAGGAAAGGGAGGAAGTTAAGCATGACCCCAGGTTTCTGAGTATGGGAGTCTATGACAGAGGCTCCAGGGCAGAAGCAACTCCAGATTGGAGGCCTGGGACAGGATTGCAGGAGATTCTTGAATGTATGAAAGAAGAAAGATTGTTTATCTGGAGGACAAAAAGTTCCTGTTATTGCTGATATGATCCACATAGGAAAGAGCCTGGATCCACCTAGGAAAGAGCCTGGACAACATCAAAGAGAAAAAAGGAATATGGCAGTGAATTTAAAATTGACCTTCACCTAATGAAACAAACATAGCTCCATGGATTTTTCAGTCAGTGTTGACCCAGAAATCATGCAATTCAAACCCTTTATTTAACTGGTGAGCAGGAGGCCTGCGGAGGTTAAGTCACTTGTGCAAGGTCAGGTAGCTAAGAGAACTTAATTTCTTATGTCAAGTAATTGCAAAACAGCATCAGTTGCTAGGCATATGTTTTGTGTACCCTTCTGTATACACAAACTAATTGCAATTTATACTTTGTTAAAAGCTTTTTAAATTTTCTTTTCTATTAATGGAATAAATTTCTGAAATTTACAACACATTTTCCTTCATTACCATTTGTGTCTCTGCAATGAGGATCTTCCCACTAGTTAGTCATTCATACATTTACTGATCGGGGAGATTTTTTATTGCTCTTTAAAAATTCAACAAAAGGTAACTGTATTATGCAATAATGTGGGTACTCTAAGTCCTTGACGTTAGGAGCCCTTTCGTTCTCTTTTTCATGCTTTTTCTCTTTTGTTGTTCCTCTACTCCAGACAAATCAAAACAAAGCATGTTCACAACCAGGCCAGACCAATAAGTTAGGGTACTTTAAACCGTGTGTGTGTGTTTGTGTTTGGTGTGTGTATGTGTGTGTGTGTGTGTGTGTGTGTGTAGTCAGTATTTATTTAACAGAGTCTGACTGTGCTTCATGGCGAAGTAGAGAAGAGCCATCAGGGGCCCCATGAACCTCCTCTACTGTCCAGCACAGTTCCATTCTTGCCTCAAATATGAACACCTGTTCAGCAAAATAACAATCTTGCCATTAATTAGAGCCATCATCCTTAGATAGCAGTTTGTGTTTCTAAGTGTTTCCCTTGGGGATTTCAACCCTGGTTCCCATCCTAAGAAGTTTATCAAATAATTCCTTTCAATTCTCTCACGGAGAGAGACTCTAGTGATTTTAATTTCCTCCCACCTTTTCATGTTCGCAGTGTCTCACCCTTAAATCTCTGGTCCCAGGGTGCTCAGGACTCCTGGACATGGCCTTCCGAGGGTCTGTCCTCTAGAGAAGAACCGTTCATCACTCTCTAGCAATATTTCTTTTTCTTTAGGACACCACTCTCAGTTAGATATAGAATTAAGCGATCTAATTAAATACCCAATACTTTGTCTTTAACCCTCTTGCTTGTAATTATTGTATTTTGTCTGTTTTGAATCCTGGACCTTGAACTTTATTAACACCTATGTTGTTCACTACTGTACCCCAGCAGCTGGCAAAGTACTTGACTCCTGGTTGATGATAATATCTGCTGCAACAGTGAATTAATTAAGTTAATCCAAAGAACCAATAATGTGTTATTCATTATAAGAAATAGGGTTAGGTTCATCTGTGAATGGCAACATCTAAGAAAACTGTGGCTTACATAAGTTGAAAGTTTATTTCTTTTTTATCCAAAATGATGGAAATAGGTGGTCTGTGCCTGTAGGGTAGCTTTATTAAGTTCTCAGGGATCCAGAGTCCTTCTATCTTGTGGCTCTGCACCCTCAGTATGTGGCTTCTGCCACATAGTCCAAGATAGCAGTGTGAATTTCAGCTGTCATGTCTGCTTACAGGTATAAGGAATGGGGGCCTTGTATTAGTCAGTTCTCATGCTGCTATGAAGAAATACCTGAGACTGGGTAATTTACAAAGGAAAGAGGTTTTATTGACTCACAGTTCAGCATGGCTGGGAGGCCTCAGGAAACTTACAGTCATGGTGGAAGGGGAAACAAACATGCCCTTCTTCACATGATGGCAGCAAGGAGAAGTGCAGAGCAAAGGCAGAGCAAAACCCCTTATAAAACTATCTGATCTCCTGAGTTCTTGGGAGATGTAACTACCACAAGAACAGCATGGAGGTAACCGCCCCCATGATTCAATTACCTCTCACCGGGTCCCTCCCACGACATGTAGGGATTATGGGAACTAGAATTCAACATGAGATGTGGGTGGGAAAACTACCAAACCATATCAAAGCTAAAGATGGGAATGGCTCTTTTTTTTAAGGATATTTGCTACGTACCAAATTGTTTTCCCCCGGAATTCCTATGTTGAAGCCTTTATCCTCAGTGTGGTATTTGGAGATGAGGCATTTGGAAAGTAATAAGGCTATATGAGGTCATGAAGGTGAGGCCCTCATCATGTGGTCAGTACCCTTATGAGAGACACAAGAGGGCTTGTACACATGCACTCTCTCTCTCTCTCTCTGTCTCTCTCTCCCTTTCTTTCTCTCCCTCCCTTTCTTTCTCTCTCTCTCTCTCTCCCCTGTGTCCCCAGCCTCAAGTGCACAAAGAAGAGGTGATGTGAACACAAGTGAGAGTGAGATGACAGCTGTCTATAGGCCAAGAGAAGAGCCCTCAGAATGAGACTACCTCACTGGCACTTAGATATTTTACTTCCCAGGCTCCAGAACTCTGAGTAATAAATTTCTGTTGTTTAAGCCACCCAGTCAATGGTATTTTGTTATAGCAGCTTGAACTGACTAATACAATACTTTTTGAATGACGTACGATACTTTCAATATGGGTAGAACATAGTCATATGACCATACTCAGCTACCAGGGAAGCTGAGAAAAATAATCCATACTCTGAACAGCTTTGTGCCCAGCTAAAAACCAGGTATCCTATTGGTAAGGAAGAGGAGAATGGATACTGTCAACTTGGCATCCAAACATACCCTTTTTATCCAAACTTTGTTTCCAAATAAAGACAACGGCAAAATTTTGTCTTTGTCTAACGTGATGCAGCTATCCCTTAGACAACTAAAAGCATGATAACTGTCTCCCAAAAAGATGATTAAGAGAAATCTAGTCAACTCACATTCCCCCAGTTAATATCCTGAATTTAAATTATTAAATATAAGGGTAATGATTATTAACATGTTTGGCATTAGGTGGCAGGAGAATGGGAAAAAAAGAAAAGAAATTTGGCTAGTATGTACACAAATGTATTCATATAAAAATAAGTATAAAATACTCATAATCACTGTAGTCCTTTTTGTGCAGCTGGTCATGTGGCTGTCACTGGTATTTATAACTATTCTCTTCCATGATCCATTCTGTATTCCCTTTCCCCTCAGCAAACACATTAGCTGGTCATGGTTCCCTGTCCGGTAGTTTGACCTAAACGTGATTCCTGAAGGGTCTGGGCCATTAGCAGTTCTGCCTGTATTGGTTTTACTCTGACACTTACTTTAATCACAGGACATGATAGTACTCAAAGGTACTCTCGGGGATCTCCCACATTCCATATACTCCTACTTGCCCTCATTGAGTAGTGGCAGCCCACTTTCCCCTTGACAGTACAAATCACTCCTGCGAGTACACTAATCCCTTCTTTGTCTGTGGATACATGGACATATGGAGCCTTAAGTATTCAGGTGGTAGTCTCAACTAACATTGCTGGGTCCACTGTTTGAAGCATGTCTTCCTTGTGAACCAAGGCTTGTACACCTGCTTAACACAAAGTCATGGATATTGGAAAGATGTAGAGGTGGTATTCGGAGGAACCAATCTTTTGGGCGCCACCCCTTCGTTCTTGAACTCACAAAGCCTGGTGGTGGAAGAAATAGCGCTAGTTATTGACTGTTGATTTAGAGGATATACTGTATCCAAGAAGATATTACTTCAGCCTCACAGGCTTCCTTCAGGTGACATTGTAATTTTCAAAGGTCTATTCTACAAATCTATCAGGTCAACATGACAGAGAACAACAGACAGTAGTATCAGATGACTAGTGAACTCTGTAAGCATGAGTCAATAGCCTCACTTCCTTCACTGTGAAACAAGTTTCTTGGTAAGAAGTAATTTTGTGCTTCTTACCAATTTTGTGCACAAAGGTGAATAAGGCAGTCAGGGATGATGATTTTTGCAGAGGCTTTGCAGGTAGGGAAGGCAAATCTGTACTCCCAACTTCTATTCCAGTGAGAATAAAGTGCTGCCTCTTGTATGATAGAAGTAGTTCTGTGTAATCCATCAGCCACCAGGTGACTGGCTGATCTTCCCAGAGAATGATGTTTTCCACTCCATCCTGCCTTCCTACAGTCCCCTATAATTCAACCCTGTTAGGTTCCCTTCTAATTCTGGCTATTGTATAAGATTGGGCTGCAAAGCTTATACTCTGAGTTTGACCTCTTCTTTTAGGGGTAACTGCTTATTAGCAATTTATTGTTTTCCAGATTCTCAGGGCCAGCTAAATCCCCTTTACTGTTTCTTTTATTCCTCCTGCACAGTTGCTTATAAAATGTGGATATTGCTGCTGTCAGTGATTTTATCTTACCTATTCATATTTTGGATTATTTGGGTATCTTGTCACTTTGTTAAAGGTGTGCTGCATGGGTGTTGTGTGTGTGTGTGTGTCTGTGTGTGTGTGTATTCTAATATATTCTAGCTGCTGCTTCTGGTTTTCTTTCTTTGGGACATGGGATGAGGCGATTCAGGGAGATTAAGAAATGATTCCTCTTCTACCAACATTTTGTTTTCAGGTTCTATTAATATTATTTCAAAGCTCCCCAAACGTCTTAATGTGCTGCCAGAATTGAGAATCACTTCTCCAGAGGAGTGGAGAAAGTATTGTATTAGGTCAAACATCTAGATTTGCTCTCTGCCTTCTGCTAGACTTGAGGGTACTAAGAGGAGTTGGAGAAGCCTTAAGAGGCCTCTGTACATCTAAGCTCATGGTTCATCCACCAGTATCCAAGGCAGGGTTCAAGCTTGTCTTTATCTCTAGAGAATCCCTGGACAAGGAACTCCGTGCTGCTATGTGATTTGATTAGATTAAAATTTAGCACAAATACCTGGAAATTTTCACAGTCAGTGTGCTCTGGGGCAAGATTTCTCACAGCCCTTCTTGGCCATGACTGAACCATGTGTTTGACCAAAATTTCCCATTTGTCATAATGCTTGATACATAGGTTGGCTCCCTCATTAAGTAGGTTGCAGGTAGTTCAGGCCAACTTATATATTCTAAGGTCTCAGGTATTTTTGAGATACCATCCCAAGTTTCTGGTTTTCAGTGTTGCTATTTAACCCCGATTTTTGGTCTGTGCAAACAAAACAAAACTAAAACTAAAATAATTAAACCTCCTGCCCCACAAATCAAACAAAAAAAATCAACATTAAATTTTCTCCCAAATGTAAGGATGATTAATTATTCCAGAGTAAGAATAGGCATAGGGGCTTCAGAACCTTTGTTTATTTGTCTCTTTGACCCACTTCTATTTATACCTCCTAGTGACTCTCTGGAGTTTCTCTACATGTGGGTTCAGGTTCTAGCATGTTTACTGCAGCAGCCAATATAGTTCTTATGGTCAGAACCTGATTCTTTAAAGTGAATGTTGATTCTGCATGGTTTCCTTATCCAAAGTGTCAGTTTTCTTGTCTGCCAAGGCTTTCCTGTGAGGACAATTCATGTCCTATTCCCTTGTGTAGCTTTTGATGGCAGGTAGTCTACTGCACATTGTTTCTTGGAGCAGTAACTTAAAGGAATTGATTTAAGGCCCCACAGAGTGATGTCACTCATGCTTCCTAAGTAAGAAGACCTAGGTTTGAGTCCTGGCTTTGTCAGAAAACAGATGACTTTGGATTCAGTGCTATCTGCTGAGATAACTAAAAGAGACTGGGGTAGGGTTGGATATCCTCAGACAGAATTGAGCGGCTTGTATAAAGTTCCCAATACTATGAGCAGAAGTCTTGCAGGAGACATGGCATTTACTCACTTCTCCTTGTCGAGTCTTTTCCACTGTTGTGCCGTTCTTTGGGAATGTTAATACTCTACCAGGTGTCAGCCTGTATTCTAGATTGAACCTGTGAATGTTTCACAGTTTTCCTTTGTGATTCGGATGTAATTAGAACTGGGCCATTACATCTTCTTCAAATATGCTCATAAAGGATTTTTGTAATCATGGTATTTGGGGACTCTATGGCTCTGAGCAATCAAAAGTCGACCTTGCAGCATACATCATCAAGACAAGGGTCCAAGAGGTCACCGGATAAGCTCATCACAGGCAAATGTCAATGCTCACTATATTCTTTTTCCTGAAAATTGTTCTTCACTTGTTATAAAAAAAAATAATGAGGGGTCTGGGCACAGTGGCTCATGCCTGTAATCCCAGCACTTTGGGAGGGCGAGGCAGGTGGATCATTTGAGGTCAGGAGTTCGAGACCAGCTTGGCCAACATGGTGACACCACATCTCTACTAAAAATACAAAAATTAGCCAGGCGTGGTGGTGGGTGCCTGTAATTCCAGCTACTCAGGGGGCTGAGGTAGGAGGATCACTTGAACCCAGGAGGTGGAGGTTGCAGTGAGCCAAGATCACACCACTGCACTCCAGCTTGGGTGACAGAGTGAGGCTGTCTCAAAAAAAAAAAAAAAAGAGACACGGTTTTAGCCTTTATAGACTTTTTAAAAAATTCAAGTAAAATACATATAACAAAATTTATCATCTTAACGATTTTTAGGTGTACAGTTCAGTAGTGTTATGTATATTCACATTTTTGTGCAACCAATTCCAGCACCTTTCCATCTTGCAAAACCAAAACAACCACTCCCCATTCCCTTCTCCCCTAGCCCTGCCATTCTGCCTTCTGTTTCTATGGATTTGACTACTGTAGGTATCACATACAAGTGGAATCATATAGTATTTGTCTTTCTCTGACTCCCTTATTCCATCATTCCATGTAGCACAATGTCCTCAAGGTTCACTCATGTTGTAGGATGAGAATTTCATTCCTTTTTAAAGTTGAATAATATTTAATTGTGTGATATACATTTTGTTTATCCATTCATGCATTGATGGACTCTCAGAATAGTGAGGCTATGAACATGAGTGTGCAAATATTTCTTCATGACCCTGCTTTCAGTTCTATTAAGTATTTACTCAGGAGTAGAATGGCTGGATCATATGGTAATCCTATTTTTAATTTTTTGAGAAACCATCCTACTGTTTTCCGTAGTGACTGTACCGTTTTGCATTCCCATCAGGAATGCACAAGGGTTCCAGTTTCTCCACATTCTTGCCAATGCCAATGCTTGTTATTTTCTTGTTGTTGTTGTTTGTTTTCGGTAGTAGCCATCCTAATGGGTGTGAGGTGATATTGTGGTGTTGATTTGCGTTTTCCTGGTGATTGGCAATTTTGAGCATCTTTTCATGTGCTTATTGGCCATATACATATCATCTTTGAAGAAATGTATATTCAATTCCTTTGACCATTTTAAAATTGAGTTATTTGTTTTGTTGTTGTTGCTAAGTTGTAGGATTTCTTTTATATTGTGGATATTAATCTCTTATAAATATTTTCTCCCATTTCATAGGTTGCCTTTTCACTTTCTTGATTCTGCCCTTTGATGCACAGAAGTTTTAAATCTTGGTGTCCAATTTATCTATTTTTAATTTTGTTGTCTATGTTTTTGGTGTCATCCAAGAAATCATTGCCAAATCCAGGGTCATGAAGCTTCCCCACTTCTCTTCTCAGAGTTTTACAGTTTTAGGTCTTAAGTTTAGGTCTTACATTTAGATCCATTTTGAGTTAATTTTTGCTCAGTGTTTAGCCTCTATAGCCTTTTGAAATGGTTGATATCCTTGAACTTGGCTCACTCCTTTCTCCTCTAATTCTGACATGCTTTTCAAGTTCAGTGAATTTGCCTAAGATCTTGCATGTCAGATTTATCTCCAACTTAAAAGTGTATGTTGGTGACAGCTCCCAAGAGGCTACAAGACCTGGATGAGGCAGGCCCTATACTGCATGTAACTAAAGGAGATGATTTCTATGAAAGAACCTTGAAAAGTATAAAATGATAATCACATGTGCATGGAATAATATTGGTTCTACTGGAAGTACACACCAACCACACTTTTTAATTGATTTCTGTGAAGTGAAGATGGATGGGTTATACTTAGGAATTGTGAGATTTAGGTAACTACAGAAGGATGGCTGTGCCAGACATATGATGGGACTAAATGTAATATTAATAAAACACAGGTATGTGCCTGTATAATATATATAATATATATGTATACATACACATACATATATGTATACTTTTTCTTTTATTCTCTTTCTTGCTTTTTTTCTTTGCCTTCCGTCCTCAATAACTAGCCTGGTTTCCTTGCAAAGGTTCGTCTGCTCTAGAGCAAACTGAAATCCAATCAGAAGCAAAAGAACCCCTTTCAATGACCTTGAATACACTGCAGTTTGCATGGAAGGAAATGTAGTAGAAGTGCTCATGTGTGAGCCTTTCCTGGTCTGCTCACATGTCCTTGGCAGGACACTTCTTCCCGGAAGAAGGGATAGGGTGCAGTGTAGAAGCCATATGCTCACAGACATGATGGGAACTTAATTGGATCAGGGACAGGAGAGAGGCGTACTGATTGTGAGAAGTGGTGCGGAGTAGTTGGCAGGTGTGTTTGGGTGTGGGAGAAGAATTTGCATTTGGATAGGTGCCTGGATGTGAGGGTGGAAACTGGAAATTAGATAGGCAGGTGCCGGTGAGATGCAGAGCTAAAGGAAAAGATGGGAAATTGGACTGAGTCATGGAGAAGGAAATTCACAAGAGAAAATGAAATTGTGGTGGTGGAATGGCACTGGAGAGGGGTGTAAGGGAACAAATAGAAAACCTGGGAAGCAGGAAGTCTAAATGAAGGATGAGAAGCTCACCAGGGAACATGGAAATGGGTAGACAGTACTTACACTAAAAAAGAACAAGAAAACAAGAAGCAGAGGTGACTGTTACAGAGTAAGGTGAATAGCATGCCATCCCCTCTTTTAGAGGAGGTTATAAGAGTATAATAAAGAACAAATTATGACAACTGCAGGAGCAGAGTACAAACATATAAAGGAGATTCATAAATACAGAGATAAGGAAATGGGTTTTACTTATTTAATATTTAAAAGAGAAGAGCAAGAATTTCAGAGCATCCGAGTTTTTCTATATTTTTTTTCCAGAATGCAGAGTTTTGCCAGTGATCTTTGTAAAGCTAGAATTTAATTTCCTTTTTCCTCGAGGCATTGACCCTATATGCTTCATTTTCATTTTAATATTTATAGTAAAGGAAATACACATCAACAAACATGTATTGGCACAGCATTTCCTCTAACATTTTATTTTGAAGAATATCTTGTGCAAGTATTTATTTTCCTGCCTCAGTATCATAAAGCGTGTTCACTAATTTTGGAGGGTCAGGAACTATTAAAGGAGATGTCACATTAGCATCATGTAGTTTCAGATTACACAGCTGCTCTTATGCTAGTGGTAGGATTATATAATAGAAGTTTCCTTCTAATTATGTTCTATGACAGGAATTGACAAACTTTTCTGTAAGGGACCACATAGTAAACACTTTAGGTTTTGCTGGCCACATGAAGTTACATGGCCAACAAAACTTAACTCTGCCATTGTAGAACAAAAGCAGCCATAAACAAACCAAAAGTGAGTGAGCACGGTTGTCTTCCAGTAATATTTTACAAACATCGAAATTTGAATGTTACATAATTTACTTTTTTTTTTTTTTTTTTTTTGAGACGGAGTCTCGCTCTGTCACCCAGGCTGGAGTACAGTGGCGCAATCTCGGCCCACTGCAACCTCTGCCTCCCAAGTTCAAGTGATTCTCCTGCCTCAGCCTCCTGAATAGCTAGGACTACAGGTGCGTGCCACCACACCCAGCTAATTTTTTGTATTTTTAGTAGAGACAGGATTTCACCGTTTTAGCCAGGATGGTCTCGATCTCTTGACCTCGTGATCTGCCCGCCTCAGCCTCCCAAAGTGCTGAGATTACAGGCATGAGCCACTGTGCCTGGCCTATATAATTTTCTCATGCCATGAAATATTATTCTTTATCTTTTTTAACCTTCTAAAAATGTGAAAACCATTCTTGGCTTGCAAGTTTTACCAAAACAAGTGGCCAGTCAGATTTGGCCATAGGTTTTAATTTGCCAACTCATACTTTGTCATACTACACAGTGATTTCTTGTCATTTCATTTGCTTGTCAGAATTTCTCTTAGTAATTGTTTTCTAATGTTTTGTAAATCAATTTTTCAGAACATTTCCATTTCCAGAGACTCCACTATTTCTAAGAGACATACATCTATTTTCAGAAACACAGAATATGTAACTGTTTTTACACTAGCAGAGGGAATTATTTTGTAAAAGCACAAATTGGATTTAATTATTAGACTTATGTCTTCAAAAAATAACTACATTTGAGTCTTCAGAATAAATATGAGAAAATGCCAAATGTAATTTTTGGTTCATAGCCAGCAGTAAGATTTTTTCAGAATTGAAAAACACTAAACTTCATTATTTTAGACTAATCAAAATAGAGCTCAGTAAAAATTTATAATCTAATACTAAATCCATCTGATAATATAGCTGATTAAATTATCTCCAGGAAATCTAATCTACTTTAATAAAATATAAGTATGGTTTAATGTAAATAAATGTATTTAACTTACTTAAGGATACTTAAGCATTCTTTATGTTTCTTAAAGGAATACGTTATTTGTTTCAATACCATTTTTATATAATTCACTTAACCTATCTGTAAAGAAAGATTTTGATGTCCAAAACAAAGATATAGCTCAGCTTAGGCTGAGGCTGGAGTATCCAGTCCAGGAGTTTGAGGTTACAGTGAGTTGTGATTGTACCACTGCCCTCCAGCCTGGTTGACAAAGTGACACTCCGTCTCTAAGAAAAACCTGAAATTTATATGCTAACTTGGAATACAAAGTCAGTTTGTAAATTATTCAAATTAAAACTTGATTCAAGCAGAATTCTTTAAAATATTAATTTATATTAATTGACAAATAATAATTGTGTATATTTATGGGGTACAGTGTGACATTTTGAGTTATAATACATTGTAAAAAGATGCAATCAAGCTAATTAACATATCCATGTTTTTTGTGGTGAGAATGTTAAAAAAAATCTATTAGCCATTTTTGAAATATATAATACATTATTATTAACTATGGTCACCATGCAGTATAGTAGATCACTTACACTTCTTTCTCCAAATTTTCTTTATCCAATCCACCACTGACGGGTACCTGGGTTGATGCCATGTTTTTGGTATTATGAATAGCACTGCAATGAATATGCAGGTACATGCATCCTTTTGGTAGAACTATTTATTTTCCTTAGGCATATACCCGGTAATGAATTGCTGGGTCGAATGATAGTTGAACTCTTGTATCTTTGAGGAATCGCCAAACATCTCTCCACAGTGGCCGGACTAATTTGTATTCCTACCATCAGTGTGTAAGTGTTTCCTTTTCTCTGTAGTATCACCAATATCTGTTATTTTTTGACTTTTTAATAAAAACCATTCTGACTAGTGTGAGATGGTATCTCATAATGGTTTTGATCTCCATCTCTCTGATGGTTAGGGCTGGCGAGCATTTGTTTTCACATGTTTCTTGGCCATGTGTATGTCTGCTTTTGAGAAATGTCTGTGCAGTCTTCTGCCCACTTTTTAATGGGGTTGTTTGTTTTTTGCTAGTTGAATTAAGTTTTTTATAGATTCTGGATATTAGACCTTTGTTGGATGCATAGTTTGAGAATATTTTCACCCATTCTGTAGGTTGTCTATTTACTCCCTTGACAGTTTCTCTTGCTGTGAAATAGCTCTTGAGTTTAATTAGGTCCTACTTACCAATTTCTGTTTTTGTTGTCATTGTTTTTGAGGACTTAGCTATAAATTCTTTGTCAAGACCAGTATCAAAAAGGGTATTTCCATGCAGCCATAAAAAAATAATGAAATCATGTCCTTTGTAGCAACATGGATGCAGCTGAAGGCCATTATCCTAAGTGAATTAATGTAGAAACAGAAAACCAAATACTTCATATTCTAATTTATAACTGGGAGCTAAACATGGGGCACACTTGGATGTAAAGATGGGAACAATAGACCCTGGGGACTCCTATGGGGGGAGAGAGAGGGAGGCAAAGGGTGACAAACTACCTGTTGGTTACTATACTCACTACCTGGGTGAGGGGTTCAATCATATTCCAAACCTCAGCATCACACAATATACCTTTGTAACAAACCTGCACGTGTACCCCTGGTACTAAAATAAAAATTGAAGGAAAAATTTAAATAATAAACAATAAACAGGCAAAAAATACATTTCTGCAGTCTAACTGAAACTGCACTTTTTCATCAACATGCCCCTTTCCACATTCCTCCCTCTCCCTGTCCAGCAGCTCTTTGGTAAAAGTGAGTACAGTTGACCTTTGAACAACACGGTTTTGACCTGCATGGATCCACTTACACACAGATTTTCTTCCACCTCTGCCACTCCTGAGAAAGCAAGACTAACCCCTCCTTTTCCTCCTCCTCCTCCTCCTTATCCTATATTCAGTGTGAAGACAACGAGGATGAAGAACTTTATGATGATCCATGTCCACTTAATAAATAGTAAATATATTTTCTCTTATGAATTTCTTAATAACATCTTCTTTTCTCTAGCTTACTTTATTGTAAGAATACAGCATATTATATATATATACACACACACATATATACGCATACCATAAAAGAAGTGAAAGATCTCTGCAGTGAAAAACTATGAAGCACTGATGAAAGAAATTGAAAAGGACACACAAAATGGAAAGATAGCCCATGGTCATAGATTGGAAGAAGTAATATTGTTAAAATATTCATACTACTCAAAGAGATCCACAGATTCAATGAAATCTCCATCAAAATACCAATTACACTCTTCACAGAAATAGTAAAAACATTACTAAAATTTTACTTTTATAGAAATACAAAAGTCTCCAACTAGCCAAAGCAATCCCAAGCAAAGACAACAAATGCGACAGTATCACACTACCTGACTTCAAAATATACTACAAAGTCATTGTGACCAAATCAGCATGATTCTGGCATAAAACCGGACACATAGACCAATATAACAGAATAGAAAACCCAGATATAAATTTACATATTTACAGCCAATCAATTTTTGACAAAAGCACCAAAAGCACACACTGGGAAAAGGACAGATGAGTGGTGCTAGGCAAACTGAATATTCATATGCAGAAGAATGAAACTACACCCCTATCTCTCACCATACAAAAATCAAATCAAAATGAATTAAAGACCTAAATGTAAGACCTGAAACTATGAAACTATTAGAAGGAAATATTGAGGGACTGCTTCAAACCATTGGTCTGGGCAAAGACTTTTGAGTAAGACCTCAAAAGCACAGACAGAAAAAGCAAAAATAGACAAACAGGATTAAATCAATATAAAAAGCTTCTGCACAGCAAAGAAACCAGTCAATGAAGTGAAGAGACAACCTTCAGAATGGGGACACTATTTGCAAACCATTTAACAAAGGATTAATGACTGGGATATATAAGGAACTCAAACAATAGCAAAAAATAATATTTACTTAAAATGCGCAAATGATCCTAATAGACATTTGTCAAAAGATGATATTCAGTTGGCCACCAAGTATATGAAAAAATGCTGAAGATCACACTAATAATCAGGGAAATAACAAATCACAACCACAAGGACATACCATCGCATCTCAGTTAAAATGGCTATTATTTAAAGGACAAAAACTCTGGTGAGAATGCAAAGGAAGAGAAATGTTAGTACATGGGTGGTGGAAATGTAAATTAATACAGTCACTATGGAAAACACATGGGAGGTTCCTCAAAAAACTAAAAATAGTTCTACCATATGAGGTTCCTCAAAAACCTAAAAATAGATCTACCATATGATCCAGCAATCCCTTTGCTGGGTATATATCCAGAAGAAAGGAAATTGTCTGTTGAAATTTGTGTGATAGAAAAAAAAAAACAGAAGAAAGATATCAGCATATCGAAGAGATATCTGTACTTTGCATGTTTATTTCAGCACTATTCACAGCAGCTAGCATATAGAATCAACCTAAGTGTCCATCAACAGATAAATGGAGAAAGAATGTGATATATATATATGCTCAATGGAATATTACTCAGCCACAAAAACAATAAAATTCTGTCATTTTCTGCAACATGGATGGAACTGGAGGACATATGTTAAGTGAAACAAGCCAGGTATAGAAAGACAGATATCGCATGTTCTCACTCACATGTAGGAGTTAAGAAGTTGATTTCATGGAGGTAGGAAGTAGACTGATGGTTACCAGAGGCTGGAATGGGTAGAGGTGAACAGAGGAGGAAGAGAGGTTGATTGGTGAATACAAAAATACAGTTAGATAGAAAGAATAAGTTCTAGTTTTGATAGCACAGTAGCATGACTATAGTTAACAATAATAAATAGTTTCAAATAGCTACAAGAAGGATACTGAATGTTCTTAACACAAAAAAAAAGATCAGTGTTTGAGATGTTGAATGTGCTATTTACCCTGGTCTGATCACTATACATCTACCAAAACATTACTATGTACCCCATATATGTGTACAATTATTGTGTCAATTATAAAATAGATTTTTAAAAACTATTAAAAAACTGTACTTGATTTTACATTTCAAAATAGCTAAAAGAGATTTGGAATGTTTCCAACTCAAAGAAATGATAAGTGTTTGAAGAGGTGATGTCCTAAATACTGTGCATGTATCAAAATATCATGTACACCATAAGTATGTACCATTATTATATAGCAATAAAAATTTGAAAAAAATATAAAAACAAAAAGGAGAGACACATACATATAAAGAAAGCTCTGATTTGATCATTACACATTGTGTGCATGTATCAAAATAATATCACATGTACACCATAAGAATGTACAATTATATATTGAGAAAAAAATCGAACAAATATAAACACAAAAAGAAGAGGCACATAACACATATAAAGAAATCTCGGCCGGGTGTGGTGGCTCATGCCTGTTATCCCAGCACTTTGAGAGGCCAAGGCAGGTGGATCCCGAGATCAGGAGATCGAGACCATCGTAGCCAACATGGTGAAACCTCGTCTCTACTAAAATACAAAAAATTAGCCAAGCATGGTGGTGCACACCTGTAGTCCCAGCTACTTGGGAGGCTGAGGCAGGGGAATCGCTTGAACCCGGGAGGCGGAGATTGCAGTGAGCCAAGATCGCGCCACTGCACTTGAGCCTGGCGACAGAGCCAGACTCCCTCTCAAAAAAAAAAAGAAAAAAAGAATAAGAAATCCTTTGCTGTTTTGTGGGCACTGTCCTGGCTGTGATATCTGGAACCATGGCATCGTCTTGTGGTCCCATGAAAGGGGACCTAGCCTGCAAGTTTAGGTCAAACCTGTCAAGGAAGGTAGAACAAAAAAATGAAAAGAAAATCGGTTCCCGACTTTGTTGTCCTACTGAATTAAGCAACCCTGAGGCAAGCTTACCTTTGGACTTCCTGTTGTATGAGATAATACATTTCCCTTATCATTTAAGTCAGTTGAATTGAAGTTTTCTGTTACATGAATCAAAAGCACCATAAAGAACATATAATTCAATGCTAATTCAGTTTATGCTTCTAAAACATTACTTAACTGATTCTATTATATCTCATAGCAAGAATCAACTATACAACAGATTCTGCACAGAAGAGACTATTCAAAGAGAAAAATGAAATTATATACACATGTTTGCAATATTTAACTACCTGAAAAGTCTCTGAATTTCTTTAACGCATTTCTGATTCATCCTGGCATGCATACTCTGCCTGGCTACAGGCAAGAACGTTTTCCGCGGGTCTGCTACCTCACTTCTGCTTTCATCTTTTAGTGATGGCTTGTTGCTGCAATCCAGAGAAACAGCACTTACTCACAAAATAGTAGCTTCCCAATTTCACCTGGGAAAGCGAATACACCCATGTGCTCTGTAAATTGTTGCTTTGAGGGTCAGACCGCTGATTAAAAACCATGGGAAGTCAGAGCTGGCAACATGATGACGCTGTTTGCTGGGGTTGCAGGGCCTTCCACACATGCTCCACAGCTCCTGCCTTGCTCCAGCTCTGCTTGGCTACTGACTGACATGTCATTGACAGACTGTGCCTTATCCAAGGGAGTTAGTCAGAACTCTGATCAGATCCTGCAACTCTTTGCTGGGATTATGTGAGCAACCGCAAAAAAGGTTCTGATAAACAATTGCAACATTCGTTGAATCCTCACCAGACTTAATGTATGAGGTTTAGAAAGACTGGTGAGGGAATAGAAGGAAGCAAGAAGGAATGATTTGTAAATTAGCTGTATAAAGGAATGATTTGTTTACTGTATAAAGGGTATTAGAGGAAGTGTACATTTGTATAAAGTGATTCTATGAGAGCATCCTCAATTAAACTCAAACTGAGACTCTATTATCTCTTTTTTGTGTAGAAAGCACAAGAAATTCTGTGAAATATTAAATTGGTCCTCAGATAGGATTGAACAAAGTAGGGGAAGGAGCCTGCCCAATGGATAAGAGAGGAAGGAGCATTATGGCATTATAGAATGCTCACTGGAGAGGGATTCAGATGTTGAATACAACCCTATTTTTTTTTGGCTGTGTGATTCTGGGGTAAGTGTGTATATTATCCGTAATATGAACATAATTATACCTGCTATGCCCATCTCACTCGGCCCATGCACTGTAGATGGCATATTTGGCTATGTAGAGTATAATAACCCAAACCCAATTTACCAACAAATTCAAGAGCTGGAGTTTATGAAGTTGTCATTTGTTGGGATTCGTTTTAAAATTTGAAGGTATAGCATTAAAACGTAATTCAATAAAGACTAATTTCCAGGCTCAAATGTAATATACTTCAAGAGTGTAGCTTTTTATATTTTAACATCTTACCCCTAAATGGAATTAAGAATATGTGCAGAGGAAATAGATAGCATTTCTTTATGGTAATATCCTCAAAGATAAATTTGCTCACCTGGGCCTCTTTGGTGTGCATTGTAGAACCAAGTTTTGAGTGTCTACTCTTTGGTGAAGGCTTGATATATAGATAACTTTAATCTGACTTTAATTTGCTGACTAAAGTCCGTTGCTTAACTTTAGTTCCGGGGAACAGGTGACAAGGTTAGTATTTTGTTATGAAAATTAAGGAGTCCCGCCAAAAGACCCCTAGAACTGATAAACAACTTCAGTAAAGTTAAGGAGTACAAAATCAATGTACAAAATCAGTACAAAAGTCGGCAGCATTGCTATACATCAGTAACTTTATAGCTGAGAGCCAAATCAAGAATATAACCTCATTTATAATAGCCACAAGAAAAATGAAATGCCTAGGAATACATCTAACCAAAAAGATGAAAGACCTCTACAAAGAGAACTTCAAAACACTGCAGAAAGAAATCAGAGATGTCACAGACAAATGGAAAAATATTCCATGATCATGGACTGGAAGAACCAATATCATTAAAATGATATTGCTCAAAGCAATTTACAGATTCAATGCTACTCCTATCAAATACCAACATCATTTTACACAGAAATAAACTATTCTAAAACCCATATAAACCAAAAAAGATCATCAATAGCCAAAGCAATTCTAAGCAAAAAGAATAGAGCAGGGGGTATCACATTACCCATTTTCGAACTATACTATACAGCTCCACTAATCAAAACAGCATGGAACTAGTACAAAAACAGACACATAGACCAATGCAACAGAATAGAGAACCTAGAAATCGGCACACCTACAACCATCTGATGTTCATTAAGGTCAAGAAAAATAAGCAATGGGGAAAGGACTCCCTATTCAATAAGTGCTGCTGAGATAACTGGCTAGCCATATGCAGAAGAATGAAACTGGGCCCCTACCTTTCACTGTATATAAAAATTAACTCAAGATGGACTAAAGATTTAACTACAAGAACTCAGACTATAAATATCCTAAAGAAAACCTAGGAAATATCCTTCTAGATATTGGCGTTGGCAAAGAACTCATGGCTAAGCCCCCAAAAGCAATGGCAACAAAACCAAAAATTGACAAGTGGGACCTAATTAAACTAAAGGATGTCTGCACAGCAAAAGAAATTACTAAACAGACAACCTACAGAAAGAGAGAAAATATTCCCAAACTACCCATCTGACAAAGGTCTAATATCCAGAATCTATAGAGAACTTAACAAGCAAAAAATAAATAATCCAGTGTAGAAATTGACAAACGACATGAACAGGCACCTCTCAAAAGAAGACATACAAGCAGCCAACACAGATGAAAAACTGCTCATCATCACTAATCATCAGAGAAATGCAAATCAAAACCGCAGTGAGATACCATCTCCCATAAGTCAGAATGGCAATTATTAAAGAGTCAAAAAATGACAGATGCTAGTGAGATTGCAGAGAAAATAGAAAGCTCATATAGTGTTGGTGGGAATGCAAATTAGTTCAGCCACTCTGGAAAGCACTTGGAGATTTCTTAAAGAACTTAGGACTACCATTCGTTCTAGCAATCCTATTACTGGGTATATATCCGAAGGAAAATAAATCGTTCTACCAAAAAGATGTGCACACTCATATGCTTGTCACAGCACTCTTCACAATAGCAAAGACATGGAATTAACCTAGTTGCAACCTAGTTGTCCATCAGTGGTGGACTGGATAAAGAATATGTGTTACTTATACACCATGGAATACTATGCAGCCATACAAAGAATGAAATCGTGTCCTTTGAGCAACATGGACACAGCTGGGGGCTTTTATTCTGTGAATTAAAGCAGGAATAGTAAAGCAAACACTGCATGTTCTCACTTGTAAGTAGGAACTAAGCACCGAGTGTACATGAACATAAAGATGGGAACAGTAGATACTGGGGAATAGTAGAGTGGCAAGGGAGTGGGGAGTGTGGGCTGAAAAACTACCTATTGGGTAACATACTCACTTCTGGGTGATGGGATCATCCATACCCCAAACTTTAGCATCATGCAATATACCCATGTAACAAACCTGCACATGTACCCCCAAATTGAATATCAAAAATAAAACGATTTCTACAAAAACACCCCCCCACACACACACACACACGCACAAAAATTAAGGAGTCTAACCAGTATTCCTTGAGGGGGTCTGTGTTTGAATCCAGGATTTTCAGAGAAAACAGCTTGAAGCCCACTCTATCCTTGGAGCCTGTGCTCTGTTGAGATCTCCAGATCTTCAGTTGAAAAAAGAACTTGGCATCACATTTTGGGGCAATATCCAGCAAACCAATGGCATTATAATTTGAACGACGTAGGCTGTGTCTCTTAAAAAGAGGTGGGAGTAGACTACTCTTTAAACATATCAATGGGGCATCATATTAATAGTGTCAAATTGAAGTTAATAATTTGGTGAAAATTGAGATTTACCAGAGAGAGAATTTTACTTGAAAATTCTGGTGGCAAGAGGGCTTTAGTTTAGCTTTATGTAACTTAAGGTGACTAATCAAGATAGTTGTGGATAGAGATCCTACCAAGTTCTAGCTGAGGTAAGCTCCAGGTTGTTCAAAATTAGAAGTAGGGGATCTAGGACTACAGATCGTAGAAAATCCGCCCTCATGTACATCAATAGCAATCTGTGCCACAGTCACATTTCAAGTCAGAATCATGCTGAGAGCAGCTTGTTCCCAAACTGCTGTCGTTAATAATCTCAACAGCCAAGTCCATGGTTTCCCACTGGGTTTTATTGTACTTTCGGTTTTTAAAAAAATAATATAACATTTCTACCAGTAAATTGAATCAGTCCTTGGGTGGCTTTGTTTGTATTCTACCTCTGTATTTCCTGGCTAACTTCACCAGTAGCTTTCTCTTGTTGTTGCTCCTGGAGATCCTTATCAAGCCAAGAACACTGAGGCACAAGTCACATGTTTCTCAACATTCGACAAACAAGGTTGGCTTAAGACTGTTAGTAATTTGATAATAAGAAAGAGGAGAAAGAGTTTTTGGCAGTTGGTTCAGATGAAGTTTTTTTCTGTTTGGAAAATGTTACACATCAATTTGGAGTTCTTCACTTTTCCTTGTGTTCAGTTTCAGCTCTATCGAGATTGAGAGATACGCTGAAGGTGAAATGACCTTTTAGATGCAACCAAAAATTATATATGGTTATGTGCAAAGAGGAGCTATTTTATGATTCATACAACTGGTCTATAAATCAGAAAGATGGCTACAGTTTCTCCTGGATTTATCTCATCATGTGACATCCAGTGATAGTGAATTATGTCTTCGGATGAATTTTGCTAGACATTTTGTCAGATAGTGAAAAACAATTATGCACTGAGATATAGTCTCCGGGAGAATAATTCTCTAATCTGTGATAAACTATTGGTAAAGTTTAGAGGGAAATGGAATCAACTAAAATTATGTAGTATACAAAAGACATTGAAAATGTCCTGCCCCGCAAAAAAGAAAATGTTCTCCTTTAAAAGACTTGTGGGATGATTGCAGAGAATCACGTAACTTGAAAGACAATCGAACAAATAAATCAAACAATATTCTAGGATTTATATCAACACTGGGGATGGTGGAAAGATGTGAGAGAGCAGGAGATGATTGCATTCAGACTCGAAAGTTTAGTCATTTATGAGGCAATGAGCCTTGACCCAGTCCTAAAAGAAATGCTGGAGCAGCATTGATGAAAGTGTATAGCAACAACATGTATTGGCTGCTGGTGGAAATTGAATTCTACGAAATTTCTGGATAATCATTTGTCAGTGTGGTTGAAAAATCTTTGAACACATTTCTTTCTCATAATCTAGTAATTTTGTTTCTCAGAATTTAATTTCATGACCTAATTAGAGACTTTTTCAAGGATATTTACTGTAGCACTTTTTATCACAATAAAATGCTTGCAACAAATTAAACATCCTGATTTAGAGGGCAGTTAAATAAATTAAGATACATTCATGGAATCATACTGTGGAGAAAACAAAATGACTTGGGAAAATTCCCAAGTTATCTTAACTTTTAAATCAAGTTAGAGAATGTTTGTAAAGTTTACAGTCTAAAGTTTGCTAATGAAAAGTGTGGGAGAAATGGAAAAATGATTAGATGGTCATACACTAAAATGTTAGCGGAAAGTGGTGACAGGTTATTTTAATTTTCTTCTTTAGACTTTACTTTCTGGATTTTCTCAATAAATATATTTTACCTTTATAATTAATGTTTAAGAATAATATAAATGTATGAGGAAGTGGGGAAAAAAAAAGGTGTGATTGGAAGAGGTGGCAGGAGATTCTTCCTGAGAAGGGGTTATTCCTGAAGCAGGACAGTGTCGCAAAACAAAGACCAGCTTCCCTGAAACCACAGGGTAATGTTGAGGCTAGATGGATATGGAGTGTAGTGGATTGAATGCCTGGAATACTAGACTCAAGAAATTAAGTTAGGAAACTGCCCTAGACTCTTGCACAGAACAACATGGTACTAGAACCATAGTTTGTCTGGGAATGTTGTCTCTGCAGCTATATTTGTGATGACCATGTAAGTAAAAATGCATTCAGATCAAACAGATACTGATCATGGATCAATTCACTGTGTAAGTGGGACCCATAACTGGAAAAAATAGTTTATCATTGTTTGGTAATTGGTATGATTTGGCTGTGTCCCCACCCAAATCTCATCTTGAATAGTGGCTCCCATAATCTCCACATGTCATGGGGGGGATGCTGTGGGAAGTAATTGAATCATGAGGGTGGGTTTTTCCCATCCTGTTCTTGTGATAAGTTTCACCAGAGCTGATAGTTTTACAAAGGGCAGTTTCCCTACACACGCTCTCTTGCCTGCTGCCATGTAAGATGTGCCTTTGCCCCTCCTTCACCTTCTGCCATGATTGTGAGGTTCCACATGGCTGGCCATGTGGAACTGTGAGTCCATTAAAGCTCTTTTTCTTTGTAAATTACCCAGTCTCAGTTATGTCTTTATTAGCAATGTGGAACAGACTAATACAGTAATTTAGAAAACAGAACTAATATAATGCTATCTATACACTTCTGTATTATTAGGATGTTTTAAAAAACAAAATAGAACATTGAAGTTTCATTCTGCCCTGATTTGCCTCTTTCCTCCCTCCTTCCTTCTTTCTTTACACAGAATGAATAGCACTATGCATGTTATTCTGCAACATGCTTTTTTTCACATAGCACAACACATCTTTCCAGGTTCAATACATAGAACCTACAGAGGTCATTTCAAGTTAAATCTTGATGCATTTTCTTCTGCATGATAATGTGTCGTCTGAACTGAATCAGATCAAAGCTTAAAACTGTATCCCAAATGACCCAGCTTGCAAGTGCACAGTTGGTTTAGACGTAGGCCTCCTGACCCAAGCAAACACTTTTTCATCTCCACTAGCTGCTTACTTGCCCCTCTGTGAAAATTACTGTAAGATTAATGTACTAGGTCCTTTCTTGGTACTAAGTTTTCTAAGGCAAGTATGTCTGAGCAACCTGGATTCCTTTATGAGTTAATATTGTCCTCACCAAAGGAAGAAAATAGGAAGGCTCCACACTGTAAAGACAGCTTTGCCAATTTCTCTGTATTCCCAAGGGTTGACCAGATCCCATGTAATGAATAATAAAGGAGAGAAGCCATCCCGTAGCTATTAAGACATTACAGTGTTGTCTGTTTGATGACACTCAAACACCAAGAAGGAGAATGGATTCTGTGGACCAGGGCACAATGAAAAAATAAAGCAAAAATAATCACTTCCCTGGCCAAGTTCTCAGAGGAACTGTGCACAAGTTTCTTGCTCTGAGCCAATTCATCATGCTGTTCCTGGGAGATCTTAATTCCATCACTAGCCCAAAATAAGACAGTAAATCAATTCACAATTTCAATGTGATAAATTTTCCATGGCTCTGTCAAGAATTTGGAATTTATACCTTCACAGTCCTTTCTTTTTCAGAGATAGGGTCTTGCTCTGTCACTCGGGCTAAAGTGCAGTGGCATGATCATAGCTCCCTGTAACCTCAAACTCCGGGGCTCAAGCAACCCTCTTGCCTCAGCTTCCTGAGTACCTGGGACTACAGGCGCCCACCATACCTGGCTCATTTTTTTTTATTTTTTACTTTTATAGAGATGGGGGTCTCACTATGTTGCCCAGAGTAGTCTCCAACTTCTGGGCTCAAGTGATCCTCCTTCCTTGGCCTCCCAAAGAGCCGGGATTATAGGTGTGAACCACTGTGCCTGGCCCAAAGTCCTTCCTGAGCTCTGCCTCCCAGCTTCCTGATGAGGCAGGTTAGTATTATGTGATTTGGATACCACAAGGCAAATCTGAGGGTTTGGGAAGTTAAAGCCATGTACCCCAGACTTCACAGATACTCTGCATGGCAAAAACCCAGATGTTTTGGAAAGCTGTTAAATGTGTCTTTATGCTACACAGACATTTCTTACTCAGGTCTGTCTCAGAAAATCCAAATATCTGCTGTGCACCACTGGTTTTGTTCCTGTGGAGAGGCAGGCATTTCCCTTGCCAAAACCTTCTGTTTTACTGTATCACAGAGTGTACTTGGTCCCAGCCTGCCTTCATGCTCTCTTTATGTAGTCAAGTTTTCCCAGGGACTCTCTGCTGTATTAGTGGAGACACCCAGGAAAGTGATGCCGCCCTTGACCTTGAGTTGCTCACAAATGACTTGAGAGAAAAGTATACACTTTTGTAGAACAATGTACTCAAAAGCATGAATTATTGTAGAGCAACCCACATCTTTATTCCCTTCTAAGACTTCGGGGAAATTTAAATAAGTGGACACTGAGAGTGCTGATAAATAGTCTTGATATTACCTTTCATGATTTATAAAGAATGTTTTAAAAGTGTATTTCAAGAAGTGGCTTCAGTGCCCATTAAGGCCTTTCTTCATCATAGGCAGTCACAGCAACTACAACATCATATTCTCCTCTCTGCATAAGCTTTGGCATCAGCCTTAGAAGGGTTACCAAGAGTTTGAAACACTGAGTAACTTAGCCATGAGTTCCCCCGACTGCTAAATCGTTGCAGAAAGCCTCTGAGAAATGTGCTCAGTACTGGTTAGCAGCTTGTATAGGAATCTCTGTCTTTTCTTCAACAGCTGGCTTCTTAGCCATTGACAGGAATTTCAACATAAATTTCTGAGAAGTAAGTTATGGTAAGCAAAAAATCCAGTAAATTGGCAACATTATACATTGGTCAAAAATCGTAAGAGGTAAAGATTTTTTTTTGAAAGGCTGAGCAAATGAAAACCATCACATTTAACAGCCTGCCAAAGAAAACAAGAAAAATTCCTCACAAACCAACCTTCTCGGTGAGTGAGCACTCATTGAGTGTTCTACTCCAGATCAAACAGGAGGCACTGACTATTCTGAACGGGAACTTTCAGTTCTGATTCAATTGGATTGCCCAATTAGGACCAAGTTTCTACTTTGTACATATTGAAAAGCAATTTTCCTTTAAAAAGCAAGTAAAATGAAGAATATATATGAATATTTGTATGAAATTCAGTACACTAACAGATTTCTGTTCTTCCCGAACTTTGTGTGTGTGTATATATATATATATATATATATATATACACACTCTCAATAATGATATACGTATGTGTATATATAATATGTGTATATACGTATGTGCATATATTATATACACTTGTATGTATTATATATACATATATATGTGTATATATTATATATACATGTATATATTATGTACACATATACATATATTTATATTAACTTTTATATTTGTATAACGTATATATTATATATACATATATGTATGTGTATATGCTATATATACACATGTGTATATATTATGTATGCACATACATATACATATATTACTAGTTAATATATTAACTAGTCCTCTGAACAACCAGTGGATCATCATTCCTAAAATAATGCTATGACAATTTCTATCTTTAAACTTGGTTTATAATTATCATCACCAACTCCACCATTTCTTAAGCGTTAGACACTATACAATGCAATGTGAGGGAGTTAGAAACAGTGTGACAGTGCAACAAGCATTTACAATGCAGGTGCACCAAACGGGGTAGACAATACATTTATTTATTGATTTTCTTACTTATTTTTGAGACAGAGTCTCGCTTCATTGCCCTGGCTGGAGTGCAGTGGCACCATCTCTGCTGACTGTCTCCTGGGTTCAAGCAATTCTCGTGCCTCAGCCTCCCGAGTAGCTGAGATTACAGGCATACACCACCATGCCCGGCCAAGTTTTGTATTTTTTGTAGAGACAGGGTTTCACCATGCTGACTAGGCTGGTCTCAAACTCCTGGCCTCAAGTGATTCACCAGCCTTCGCCTCCCAGAGCACTGGGATTACAGGTGTGAGCCACCGCACCTGACGAATACATTTATTTTTCAACTTTTCATTTCCTCCATAAGTGATGTCAATGAATTATCTGAGTGAAACAATATGGCCTCAAGGAGTGGAGGAAGCCGACTGTGGGAGTCAGACCAGGTAAGTTGGGAGCTCTGCCAATTTCCATGTGGTTCAGCTTAATTCTCTTAAGTAGGGATAAGATAACTTGTAGGGTTATTGTAAAAATTAGAGATAATATATGTAACTGCCTATCCTAGCTCCTAATAAACAGTAATACCGAATTCCTATTGCAGTTGAAAAGGTAGAGGAATCACCAAGACTTGGAGGGACAAAAAAGGAGATGTGTGTGTGTGTGTGTGTGTGTGTGTGTGTGTGTGTGTAAGGCTGTATTACCTAGATGCAAACTAGATCACCACCATCATGGCATCGTTTTAGGGATCTCTTCGTCTATAACATTTTCATCTTTATCTGTCATTAGATATTCCACCATTATATTTTCATTCCAATATAGTGTAGGAAGCCGTGTGATGGAGCAGAAAACCACAGACGTTAGACCCAGGTTGGATTTTTGTTCTATCATTTATTTAAATATGTAGCCTTAGATAATTTACCTTGTTTCTCTGAATCTTGATTTTTTCCTTTATAAGATTAAGTGATATCAAGTTGGTAAATGCCTAGAACGAAACACTGAATAGAAATTATTAGGGAGCAAGTCCAACTTGACTCTACCTGGGAGAAATGACACAGAAAGAGTGCAATCGATGTGGAAAGGGTTACAGCTTCTAGGAAGACTGTCATCAGTCCAGCTAAGCATAATGGGGCGTGCAAAATACAGATAGGTGGGGATGGTGTATAAAAATGACTGAGGATGTCAAAGGCCTAGAAAAGAGAGTTTTCTCCCTGGGCTTATAGAAGTCTAAAACATATAGGACTCACTCCTACCTTCACCTGTGACATCGTTAGCTACATGACCTTCATTTTTATGCACCATTTCTGAGCTCCTGTTGACTTGTAAAATTAGCATGGCCATATTCAATTATACAAGAATCACAGAAAGTGAAGAAAGAACCCAGGGGAGAAAGATAAGATAACCTAGGAAGCCTAAAACTCCTCCTAGAATGAAAAGTTAAAGGGCTGGAGACAGAAGGCCACCAACACATGTAAAGCATCAGTGATTTGGACTTAATCATGAGAGAAAAGAGGACTTAAGTAGTGGCTTTTTGAAGGCAGATCAGCAAGGAAGAGTTCTGTGAGCCTCTTTGGAAGGATTTTCTAACCAGCCCTCGGCATTCACCAAGAAGGACTCTCTGGATTCAGAGCTCCAACTCTCAGGCTTTATTTTCTGCTGCAAAGGTTGTAGCATGTGTGGCTAACCTCTCATTTCAGGCTCTCTATCCTCTTGTTGTTATTTTTAAAACTCTGACAACTCTTTACCTATGTTTAGACAGTTCTTTACTATATGAATCTCCCTCTTGCTCCAGGATGCTGAAGACCTTAAGCATTTATTTTCCCAGGTCTATGCCATGTGATCTAGGGTCAAGTTGTCAGTTATCCCTGCCTGGGGTGGCTAGGCAAAGAAGCATGGACAATGAAGCCAGCCACCCCTCTCTGCTACTGGTTGGGATTTTAAGAGTGACATCCTTCTTCCAAGGGAAGTAGTAGCAGTGATGCTAGTGTGCCCTGGGTCCAGGGTTGACAGCAGCAGTGTCCTCTTTCTTTAGCCTTGCTTAAGTGATTTGGTACCAAATCTCCTCCTAGGACTTGGAGAGTGAGAGGAGAGACCCTGGCTCAGTGGTTTGCAAACTTCAGTGTGTATAAGAACCATAGGAGTTCTTGTTAAAACCCCAGATATCCAAGCCCCACCCCCTGAAATCCTGATTCCACAGTGTAAGAAAGGGACCCCCAAATCTTCCCTTTTTTAAAAATTTATTTTTTATGTTTTTGAGATAGGATCTTGCTCTATTGCCCAGGCTGGAGTGCAGTGGCGTGAACTCGGCTCACTGCAACCTCTGCCTCCGTGGTTCAAGCGATTCTCCTGCCTCAGCCTCTCAGGCATCTGGGATGACAGGCACGCGACCCCATGCCCAGCTAATTTTTGTACTTTTAGTAGAGATGGGGTTTCACCATGTTGGCCAGGCTGGTCTCGAACTCCTGACCTCAGGTGATCAGCTCACCTCATCATCCCAAAGTGCTGGGATTACAGGCGTGAGCCACCACGCACGGCCAAATCTTCCCCTTTAATCAGCACCCAGGAGACATTGATGCAGGTGGTCTGTGGAGGGTCACTTGGGAAACAATTCCTGGCATGATCAGTGTGAATGATGCCAAAAGCAGTTAATCTGCAAGGGGATATTTAGGAGGCAACACTCTCCCTGTTAACTCTTGAAGGAAATTAAACCACAGAGTTTCATTTGGGAATTATTCTAGGAAACTTGACTCACACGCCAGTGCTTTATAAATCCCAAATTCTCCTTATTTGATTTTACAAATCTTGTTGGACTGCATTTTCTTGTGGAATGTGGCAGCCCAAGATTGGCCAGCAGCGGGTCCAGTCATCTTGTCTTATCTGGATTATGAGTGCCTCTGACTCTCCGAAGCAGTAAATGGTTGCTGTAATTCTATTCTTTTCTGTGGAATCCTGGAGCACAGCACTGAACACAGGTTGCTATGTAAGTTTCGCTCTTGCAAAAGCAAATGAAACGTGGAACATTTAATTTCTTCCACTTGAGCTGCAGTCAGCCAACGTGCTCATTAAAACTCTGCCTCCTTTCATAGAAGCAGATGGGAAAGAGACCTAAGGTCCTTTTCTTTTTAAGGATGAAAAAGGAATTTCATAATAAAAGAAGCTTAGCCAATACCAAATGCAACAAAATATCCTGAACAGTTGTTTCTGTGACTTGAAAGGCTGCAAACTGTCTCACAACATCTTTACCAAATAATAATGACAATAAAAAAAAAAAAATCCTAAACTGGAGGGGAGAAACTCTACCTTTCAAGTAATGAAATAGGCTCGGCACGGTGGCTCACCCCTCTAATCCCAGCATTTTGGGAGGCTGAGGTGGATGGATCACCTGAGGTCAGGAGCTCGAGACCAGCCTAGCCAACATGGTGAAACCCCGTCTCTACTAAAAATAAAAAAATTATCTGAGCATGGTGGCACGCACCTGTAATCCTAGCTGCTCTGGAGGCTGAGGCAGGAGAATCAATTAAACCTGGGAGGCGGAGGTTGCAGTGAGCCGAGGTCATGCCACTGAACTCCAGCCTGGGTGACAGACTGAGACTCCATCTCAAGAATAAATAAATAAAATTTAAAAATAAAGTAATGAAATAAAAACTACTTGAACATCCTCCATCCTTCAGGGCTCTAGTATTTATAAATCTTGGGAGAAAATCAAGTAATTTCTGAAAATTCTTTCCTGATCACCATACTTCCTAAAGCATGCTTACAAGATTATTTTTGGTAGGACATATTTGATAGGGTTCAATCTACTTTTCTATCATATAAAAATAAGATGCATAAGGTCTTTTGGGATTTTGCCCATGTCCCTCTTAATTATAAGCCTCTCCTCAGTCTTTTTCTATGTGATAACTGGCCATTAGCTAGATATCATCTCAAATGTAGTGCCAGTTAAATGTGGGCATATCAGTACTCAATGTATATTCAATCAAGACAGCATGAAAAAGTCTGGCTTCCTCACCCTCCATCCTTATTCTATGACTGAGGCCACTGTTCGTGTAACACTTGGGGGAAGATAATAACAGTGAGCAGCTATTGAGGCTTCGGGCATCTGGAATCTTACTATGAACTCCCCAGTTCACCCCTGGCAATCTACGCTGCTGCAAACATGCAGTCCAGTTAAAGTAAACGACAGGCCATTAAAACTGGTGGTAGTGTCCAGAAAGAACAGGGTTGAGCTTCCCTACAGGTGAAAGAAGCCAAAGCTCTTGACAGTGGTCAACTTCTACCAAGGATATTTTTAGGCTAATGTGGCTAGAGGTGTTGAGATTTCTCGCTGCTTCAAGTCTTTAGGATCAGTTCTTAGCTTTGCCCAGTATTGTCTAACCAGTATTTTAAACCAACTGGTCTCTGTTCTACACCAGCTTCCTAAAAACCCTGAGAGATATAACACACATGAGATATCACACACACACACACACACACACACACACACACAATCTACATTCAGAAAGGTTTTAGACTCTGTTATGGGTTAAAGCATGCTCTCTTGCCCCATTCATATGTTGAAGTCCTAATCCCCAACACTTCAGAATGTGACTTTACTTGAAAACAAAATCTTTACAGAGGTAATTAAGTTAAAACAAAGTCATTAGGTAGACCCTGATCCAATATTATAAAAAGGGGAAATTTGGAGATAGACATGCCCGCAGGGAGAACGTCATGTAAAGATGAAGGCAGAGATCAGAGTGATGCTTCTACAAGTCCAGGAATGGCAAAGATTGCCACCACGTCACCAGAAGGTAGGGAGAGGCATGGCACAGATGACAGCACTTTAATCTGACTTCTAGCCTCCAAAACTGTGAGAAAATAAGTTTCTGTGGTTTAAGCCACTCAGCATGTGGTACATTGTTTGGGGATTCTTAGAAAATTACTGCAGACTCTATCCCATATTTATTTTATCAAGCTATGAGGTTGTGTTATCTGTTGGTTGTTTAGGTTGAACAAAATATGATTGAATGGCTTAGATCTTGGAAGGAAGAGGCTGTTCATTATGCTCTTGATGTCAGAAATCTGGAACATGTGGCATATTCCTTTGTCCACTGACAGAGGGATGACAAGAACAAAGTCAGAATAAAGTCATTAGGAAGATGTCAGTTTCACTAGTGTTTATGAGACTTCCTTGTTAGTATCAGTAAAAATTATATCAAACCCTCCCAAGTGCAGAGAATCATGGTGGGTTGTTCAGACATGCAGTGTCATAGCTAGTTCAGTTAAAACAGCACCTCCCTGGAAAAGATAATCAAAAAAGCAAGGGGGCACTGATCAGTGCCTCCCAAATGCAGATGTGTGTATAAATCACCTGTATTTTGTTAGAATTCAGCTTGATTGACTAACAATTCAGATTGATTTACTAACGAGCTCCCAGGTGATGCTGATGTGCCTGCTCCAGCTGGCCACACTTTAAGTTGCAAAGACATGTGCTAAGTGAGGGCTCTGGCACCTCACAGCTGCCAACAATCTTTGAGGCCTGAGTCAACCAAGCATGATTTCATGGGCGGTATTTCAAATAAGAGTTGCAATGAGAGAGCCTTGAAGGACTTGATGTTCCATGCGGGAAAGGTGGGAGCTGTGGCAGGTGCATGTAGCAGTGCTTAGGAAGAAAACAGAGCAGAAAAAGTAGTGGTAGAGCAAAGGAACCAGGCTGACTGGCGTGGTGAGTGGTTGGAAGAAAGCCATGGATAACAAAGATAGAAAGGTATGTAAGTTCAGGTGGGGTAGCTGGCTGGGCTCTGCAATCAGGCAGAGCTGACAGATGGACACTGCAATTGCTTCTGACCAGGGTGCGCAACAGGATGTAGTCCCTGGCCAGGGGGTAACGTTGTTTGGGTTCCACAGTTGAACAGGATCACAGTAGTCGCCCTGAGGTTAAGACAAGTGGCTGCTTGGGATGGATGAGATTGCCTCTTAAGCTTAGTAAAAATGCAGAGTTGGAGTTCTCTCTGCCTAGGTAGGGCCTTGTCGTAGGCTTTGAGGCTGAGTTGAGTGCTTTTTAAACTTCCAGGTGTCATAGAATTAGCCTCTGCTCTGTGCTGAGATGTGCTATGGTGATCATCTGCCTCCCTGAGTGGGGAGGTTTAGGGTGGGCTTTGAGGCCATATTGAATACTGTTTATACTTCTGAGTGTGGCAAAACTATCCTCTGCGTTTTGTCAAAATGCACAGTGGTGAGTGTCTCTTTCCCTGGATGTGGATTTGGGTAGGGTCTGAGGCAAGCGAGGTAGGACTTACCCCCACTTCTGGGTGAGAGAGCTCAGTTTGACTTTGCAGGTGAGCTGTGCTGTTTGCTGATGCCTCTGACTTGGCACCATGGCTGGCAGGGTGATAGAGCTACCACCAATATCCGCATTTTGGTTGCTGCAGGGTCTGCCTCCTTGCTTTGTTTCTACTTTACCTCAGGTGGAATAGCCATGCCATTACCCCCTGAATTCCCCATGAGCTGAGCCCAAAGTGGGCTTCCTGGGAAATGTCTCAGAATGTGAGGGAAGCTGATGTCCATCTGCAGTTCTCTGTTTCCACTACAGAAACCAAGGGCCCTGCGGAATCATCTCTGTGTAGCGTTATGCTGACTTAGGGCGTGGGGAGGGGTTAGGTGGTTTCAATGCTACCTTTACTCAGGTTTTGTCATCTACATAGGTGTCTCAAGCCTATTCCCATACTTTGGGATTTTCACTAACGTGTTCTTGTCTGTGGTTAGTTGCTAGTTGAACTTTCTGTGGAGGGTAGTTGACATGGTTTACCTCTGTGTCCCCACCCAAATCCCATGTTTAATTGTAATCCCCAGTGTTGGAGGAGGGGCCTGGTGGGAAGTGATTGAATCATGGGTGTCGACTTCCCCCTTGCTGTTCTCATGATTGAGTTCTCACTAGATCTGGTTGTTTGAAGATGTGTAGCACCTCCCCCTTTGCACTCTCTCTTTCCTGTCAGCCATGTGACGATGTCCCCGCTTCCTCTTTACCTTCCGCCACAATCGTAAGTGTCCTGAGGCCTCCCCGGAAGCAGAAGCCTGTATAGCCTGCAGAACTATGAGCCAATTAAATCTCTTTTCCTTATAAGTGACCCAGTCTCAGGTAGTTCTTTATAGCAGTGTGAGAATGGACTAATAAAGTAGTAAAGCCTAGGACCTCCTATCCCGCTGTGTTGTTGAACACATTTTAGGTGCTCTTAACACACACAAAGAAACTGTGGAAGGTGCTGGATATACAAGTTTCCTTTTTCCAGCCTGCCTGTTGGAAATAGGCTTTACTCTCAGCCTGTGTGAGGTATTAGTATTGTTTCTCCTAATCCTTTTGGGTTGTGTTTTCCTCAGCCTTAGATATTTTCCTCACATATGTCCACTGATAAGTACTCAGCTGAATAGTTGAAGGCAACCCTCTTGCAGATCTCTCTAGTACGTTGCCCTGAAAACTTGGGCCACTCTGATCTCCCCACACTCTCCACCTTGTATTCTAAACTCACAGAGTCCGCTGGTTTTCATATGGGATTCCCATTCCTGCATTTCACACTGGAATCTCTTTCAAGGCATTAAGCAAGGCAATAGTAGATACCACCTAATTTTTAAAATGCCTCTCATGGATCTCTCATCTTTGTTGTCTGATAGCCAATGTCCTAAAAACTATGCTTCATTTTTTTGGTCAATTTTGTATCTTTTCGGGTGGGAAGGCAAATCCTATTACTGCACCTTGGACAGAAGTAGAAGTTACTTAACGCAATTTTAAATTGTATAAAGTCTACTCTGGACTGGCTCTTGAGGGAAGTCGTGCTTCATAAGATGGCTTAGAATTGTATGCTGCTTTGATCTTAGGTCATCTCCCTCTAAACCTGTGTTCCCAAGATCCCCCTTCACTATTGGCTGGGAATGCCAAGCTCTACCTACTGCACCGACACACTACATAGTGGACTCAAACACATGTATAAATACACTTTAAAATTATTAAAACAAGGAGTTCATGAATGTTAGAGATAAGAAACAGTAGTTCAAGGGAAAAATGATGTATTTTCAAGTGACACAATGAAAAGTTATTATTTACTTTCCATATATCCTGACAAAAGCAGTTACTTTCCTCAAGTGACTCAACTATATACTCCCAAAAGGAACTATCTTTCATAGTTTTGTGAATTTCAAAAAATAATGTAGACAATGATAAACACACAAACATTATTAGCTTCTGGAGAAGGTGAAATTTCTAATAGGTGCTTTTGAAAATATTTTATTGTAATTTTTATAAGGTATTGTGATTCTGGTTAATAACACATCCAAGGCCATAGCTGTTTCTTATCCTTTTTTATTCTTATCTGAAAATTTTTTAGACATTTACCTGCTCTGAGATCAGTTACCAAACTTAGAATAATGTTAAAGTGTCTTTTATACAAATGTTTTCCAGATGACTTTTGGATAGGACCAAAGGTTTATAGTGTCACCTTGTAAGTCTTGATGGTTTGGTACTTAAAATCTAGGAGAGATGCCACAAATAAATAGGTGTGTCTATTATGTTCCATGTTTTTAATAAGCTCTGACAGTAGTGTTTAAATTACCTGGATATCAAGCCTGTAGAGTGGGAATGCATTTAATCCAACAGAAAAACTCAACCTATTCTTGGATAATATTACATACCTAAATATTGTTAATAAGGATATAATTCAGCTCTTTTAACCTTTTAGAACAGTAGATGCATCATCATTTTTTGTGGGGAAATACAGAATGACTGCCAAAAAGTTGCTTTCCAAGAATATTAGTTTCCAGATTTCAAATACCTTTGTCACCTAGGGGCAATCATAACAAATACTTTACAGATAAATTAGAGCAAGCTTGTTCATCCTGAGGCCCATGAGCTGCATGTGACCCAGGATTGCTTTGAATGTGGCCCAACACAAATTCGTAAAGCTTCTTAAAACATTGAGTTGTTTCTTTTTTTTGTTTGTTTGTTTTTTGTCATTGGCTATCGCTAGTGTTTCATGTATTTTATGTGTGGCCCAAGAGAATCCTTCTTTTTCCACGTGGCCCAGGGAAGCCAAAAGATAGGATATCCCTGGATTAGAGCATTCCAGGAATTTGTCAATGCCCTCACTAATCCAAGTAAGTTATTGCCCTCAGGGTAATATTGGATCAAATTCTTATGAAATAGTTACGTCAAAGGATTAGAACCGTGATGACGAGAGGTCTCCAGTTACCCTCCCCTTTGATGTTTACCTCCTTTACCTCTTTATTGCTCCCCGTTTCTTTCTTCCACCTTGAATCTTGATTTACTAAGTGCATTAGTTCTCTATTACTCCATAACAAATTACTACAAATTCAACATCTTAAAATAGCACCCACTTATTATCTCACAGTCCCTGGGCCAGGAGGGAAGATACAGCTTCAGTGAGTCATCTGCTTAGCGTTTCACGAGGCTACAGTTAAAATGCCAGAGAGGCTGCAGTGCCAGATGAAGGCTTGGCTGGGAGATTGTACTTGCAAGCTCATGATGGTTATTGGCAGAATTCAGTTGCTTGAGGCCATGTCTTTGAGGTCCCCATTTTCTGGCTAGCTGCCATCTGAGTTCTGCTCACAACTCATAGAAGCCATGCTCAGATCCTTGCCACATGGCTACCTCCATTGTTCCTTCACAACACATCAGCTTGCTTTTTAAGTCCCCAGGACAATCACCCCTGCTTTGAGTCTCTTTTGAAGGGCTTATGTGATTAGGCCAGCCCACCCAGAATGATTTCCTTTTGATTAAATTAAAGGGAGTAGATGAAGAGCTTTCATTACATTTTCAAAATCCCTTCACCTTTGCCACATCACATAACCTAGTCACAGGAGTGACATCTACCATATTCATCATCTCACCCACCCTCAAAGAGGACTGTGCACCCCTATGGGTGGGATTCTCATGGACCATTTTAGAATTCTGCCTGCAACATCAACAAGCCACAAGACTTTGAAAAAACAGCTCTTGAAAAATGCTGTTCTAATAGCTATTGGGATGAGACTCTGCCAATATAACAGGCATGAAAAACTAGAACATTCTCCAGCTATTCCAACTACAAGTTTCATAGCAATTAGAGACAAAAACCTGAACCAAACTACAAGGACACTTAACTTCTCCTTTCTCTTCACCCTATAAAATTCCAATCCTGTTTGACTCTGGGAGTTACGTGGCCTTCAGGGGCTTTGTGATGTGCATTAGCTGAAAAGAAAGCTTTAGCCTCTATTTGAGTCACTTAAACTACTTTCTTGTGAAAACGATAACCTATTAGAGTAGCCTACTTTCTTCTGTTTGATGTTGTTGGTTAGTCGTCTAATAAAAGTCATAACTAAAACCAGTTTCAGTCTTGTCAAGAACAGATTTCTAATCTTCCCTCACACCTACTCAAAGGTGTCAGCTATAAGCTATGTGATAGAAATGGAAACTTCTAGAAGAAAGCAAAAGAAGAATAATCTCAGATGCTTAATGAAAGGACTGGAGCAGATATTCTTGAGTTTTGACACTGTAGGAAATAGACTTATGGGCACAGCCTTTCAAGTGTTAGCTAAAATGATTGACACCGTGAATGGACACTTGGCAAACTGCATTAAAGTACATGTGGGACAAGATACTCAGAACTGCTTTAGTCTCCCAAGGCAGTTGAATAAGCAAAGTCGACTGCGTTCTAAGGTCAGTGGAACAAGAGTACAAGAATTGTAGTTATTTATTTTAAAAACATAATTCTGTTTCCTGATAGGCAAAGAAACCCTTCGCCTTTCTTCTTAATGATCCCAACCTTCAATTTAGCAAGCTATACTTATGCAAACTGGAATGGAACTATTTGGTATCTTATTTCAACTGAATGCTCAGAATTCAGAGAAAATATTCTATAATAAATCTAATATAGGTTATAAGGAAATCATTGAACAATGATGACTCTAGTAATGAAATTCAGAACAATGATTTTAAAATGGATAAGGCTTTGAAAAATTACTACTACTTCTTGTTGACTGCCATGAAGCTAAATTTTACTTATTCAGCTACTATTCATAGGTAAACAAGCCTTTTGGTGATAGTACCACTGGTGTAAAATAGGATGATTTTGTGGTATATATGATTTATTTGGATTGTCCATATCTGCAAAACTGCTTATAATAAAACATTGTACAAGATGCCTTTACAAAATCTCTTGAATTCAATGGCATGTAAGTATTTGCAAAGATTGAATAGGAATCTTTATTCATCACTAGGACATACAGTCATGTGCTGTATGTGGTGGACCATATATGTGACAGTGGTCCCGTAAGATTATAATTCTGTATTATTACTGTACTTTTTCTCTGTTTAGATGTATACTTACCATTGTGTTACAATAGCCTACAGTATTCAGTACAGTAATGTGCTGTACAGGTTTGTAGCCTAGGAGCAATAGGCTGTCTCATCTAGCCTAGGTGTGTAGTAGCCTATATCATCTAGGTTTGTGTAAGTAGACTACGATGTTTGCACAGTGACAAAATTGCCTTATGATACACTTCTCAGAATGTATCCCCATCATTAAGTGACACATGACTGTAATTTGATAAACCAAATTTATAATCAAGACCATGACAGAAATGTCACATTAAAGGTTGCTCTTAATGAAGAATTGCCCACTTTTAAAGAACAGGAATTATGCTTCATATATGGACGTTCTGCCTCAAAGTTCTCCTAGAAATTTGGCCTAGTATGTGAACTAGGGCTTATCAGGCTAGCCTGATAGGCCAGGAACACTGTCAAACTCTGGAGATCTTGAAGAAGGAGGGATTTCTGGACAGTTAGATATTGAAGTTTAAACTTGTTAGAGGTGAATTGGATGTTCATGGACTCACACAAGCTGAGAGGAGCAATGAAAATATTTATGGAAGATTGATGATATAAAAAAATGACCTTAGGGGTATTACTAGATCCCAAGACAGAAATTAATTTTGTAGCCTTAGTATTGTGTTATTTTTGTTAGCCATACGGCAACAATGTTATTATGTATTAGTCAACATTAAAATAATACCATGCAAGAAAATTGCTGAACAAACTTGATTGGTTAAATCCTTCCCTTAGGCTACTAAGTAGAGAGTCTCCGAAAAAAAAACTGTTGTCCTGCCATTGGGTAAGCAAACACAGCTGGGAAAACTCTTATATTCCCAAAAGCTTTTCATTCTGTGAAATCCATGAGGACAGGAAGCTCATAAAAGCCGTCGATAACAGGGGCTTTCTCAATGTCATGCTGCCTGAGATCTAATTTTTAAAAAATCAAAATGGATTGAAGGCTGCACACAGTCACTCACGCCTGTGTTCCAAGCACTTTGGGATGCCAAGGCAGGTGGATCGCCTGAGGTCAGGAGTTCGAGACCAGCTTGGCCAACGTGGTGAAACCCCGTCTCTACTAAAAATACAAAAATTAGCCAGGTGTGGTGGTATGCGCCTGTAGTCCCAGTTACTTGGGAAGCTGAGGCAGGAGAACTGCTTGAACCCGAGGGGCAGAGGTTGCAGTGAGCTGAGATCACACCACTGTACTCCAACCTGGGCAACAGAGCAAGACTCCGTGTCAAAAAACAAAACAAAAAGGCTAATTCAAACATGATCCTTTCTAAATTGTCAACTGCCAAGTAATTAATTGAACTACAAAAAGTATCAGTAAACCACATGTATTCTTTATTTTTGAGGTTCATCCTAAGAAAGAGGTAGGCCTGCTGTTTAACAATGGGGCAGGCAGGGATATATGTGGCACCCAAATCCTCCAACTGCGTCTTTCTTCATATTCCCGTGCCCAGCTGTGATGGTCAGTAGACAAGTAGATTCAGGGAATTCTGAAAAGGGCGTGGTGATAAGGGCTTAGATCGCTTTGGGATGATAAACTGGATCATGCTATTAAGTAAGACACTCTGACCAGCAGAGGAGATCGCTATAGAGGAAGGGACTATAGAATGCATAGTGAAGAGGGGAAAGGATCAGCATCACCAGGAGGTGACCTAGCCCCAAGATCAGCTGCAGTGGGGGCTGGAGTTTGTGCTGGTAGCCTTTATTTTCTTTGTTTTCTTCTTTCTTTTTTTTTTTTTTTTTGTTTGAGACAGAGTCTCACTCTGTCACCCGGGCTGGAATGCAGTGGCGTGATCACTGCAACCTCTGCCTCCTGGGTTCAAGTGATTCTCCTGCCTCAGCCTCCCAAGTAGCTGGGATTACAGGCACCCGCCACTGTGGGTGCGAAGAGTCTCATCATTCAAGAGCACTTCTTGGGCCAGTGACCCACTATAGCAGGTGTAGAAAAGTCCAGACATTTAGTTTCACAGCAAGACAATTCTGATGGGTCACATATGCCCCTCTGCAACTGTCCAAGGCTTTTTAAGACCAGCAGCAAAGCTTTACATTCCTTCTCTTCAATCCTACTTCTGCCTCATCCCTTCTACAGGTGTGAATGCTTAAAAATATCCTACACACTAAACTCTTTCTCAGCATCTGCTTCCAGAGAGCCAAATCTGCAATGTACATTCAAATTAGGCTCATTCGAGGAGGATTTAATAAAGGGACTCTGTACAAAGTGTAGGCAACATGAAAGGCAGCCACAAGGGATAGTGCATTAGCCCAGGGATATTAACAGGAACTGTTACTACTCCTTGGCTCATAGGGAGTAAAGGAAGAAGAGGATACAGGAACCCAGAAGAAGAGAGTTGTCATGGAACAAAGGCTGAGAGGAGTGGGCTTCCAGGTGGAGGGATTCAGCCAGAGTTGAATAGCTCTGCAAAGAGTATTAGGGAAACAGTATTGAAAACAAAATTTTCTTCCAACATAGAAAACCTCTCTGGAGGGTAACAGAAAAAGAAAACAGTTTTATTGTTGAATAAGCATTGAGCCAGAACACAGTATACATCTCAGATAATAAATTACAAAGGTAGAAATCTCATCCTTTTATAAGTCCAAGAACATGCAACCTATTACATGTTTTCAAGAGAAACAACTGGTCCTTCAGTAACAGGGCTTGAGAGCACCATTTATCATGCATAGTTCATCTTAGATTCACCTGATAACCAAGGTGACCATCTTGTTCACTAATTGGATTTATCCAGAGGAACAACAGATTCTTCATATCTTTATGAGAAAAGATAGATCTTTTGCAACTTGGAACAAAGCAATCACTGAAGTTCAGCTCCTCCCTGTCACTGAAAGCGGAAAATAGGGGTGATATTTTTCTTGATGTTTACTTTTCAAAGAGATGGCTCCCAGGTCCTTGAAAAAGATGTTCCTGAGTCATAAAGCCGGCAAGCAGCTTATTTAGCTTCTAAAAAGATGTGCACACATTTCAAAGAGACACATAAAGAACATGTTTTCTAAAGTAAATACTCCAAGGAAAGGGAAGAAGAGGTCTCTTCCCTTATATTCATCAGGAAGAAATAAGCCCCTTTTTAGTTTTTATTTGTCTTTACAAGAGTCAGCAGAACACATACAACCTTGCTCTCCTTCCTTCTAATCTTTTGCTATACTCCTCATTGACTGAATCTAACTGGAAGCAGAAGGCAAGGAAACTTGTTAATGAGGTCCATACAGCATGCCTTCCTGAGCCAACAGCAGGGTAGAGATGGGTGGAGAGTGGATCCAGGGGAGCTAGCTGACCTCTGACATTCAGAGGAGCATAGAAGAGGGAGAGGGTTTCAAGATGTGTGAATAAAGATGTCAAATGCTCTAAAGCAATCAAGTGAGATAAGAACTGAAAACATACCCACTGGATTTAAAGACAGATTTATCCATCTTTGACTTAAACTATTTCAGTGGAGTAGTAAGAGTAGAAAGCATATTGGGCTAGTTTGAGCAGTTAACAGAATGTCGGGAAGTAGAGATGAATGGAAAGGACTCTTACAACATGATTGTCTTTGGTGATACGGACGGAAGTGGTAAAGATGATATTTAGTCTACTTTCTAGAATGTAAGACACTTTAGGATGGGAGACACGAGCATGTTTGAATACTACTAAAAAACATTGTCTTACTGACTGAATATTTTACTGGAATGGGGTCGCGATTCAGACCCCAAGAGAGGGTTCTTGGATCTCACGCAAGAAAGAATTTGGGGCAAGTTCACAGTGCAAAGCAAAAGCAAGTTTATTATGAAAGTAAAGGAATAAAAGAAGGGCTACGCCATAGACAGAGCAGTCCTAAGGACTGCTGGTTCCTCATTTTTATGGTTATTTCTTGATGATATGCTAAACAAGGGGTGGATTATTCATGCCCCCCCTTTTTAGACCAAATAGGGTAACTTCCTGACATTGCCATGGCATTTGTAAACTGTCATGGTGCTGGTGGTGAGACACAGGACTAGCTGGATTGCCTAGGCTAAGAATTCCTAAGCCTAGCTGGGAAAGGTGACTACACCTACCTTTAAACACAGGACTTGTAACTCAGCTCACACCCGACCAATCAAGCAGTAAAGAGGGCTCACAAAAATACAAATTAGGCTAAAAGCAGGAGGTAATGAAATAGTCAAATCATAGATGCCTGAGAGCACAGGAGGAAGGACAATAATCAGGATATAAACCCAAGGTGCTCAGGCTGGTGGGGGCAACCCCCTTCGGGTCCCATCCCATTGTATGGGAGCTCTGTTTTCACTCTATTAAATCTTGCGACTGCACGCTCTTCTGGTCCGTGTTTGTTACGACTCGACCTGAGTTTTTGCTCACAGTCCACCGCTGCTGTTGGCTGCTGTCCCAGCCCACCGTTGACTTCCACCCCTCAGGATCCAGCAGGGTGTCCACTGCACTGCTGATCCATTGAGGCGCCCATTGCCACTCCTGATCGGGCTAAAGCCTCGCCATTGTTCCTGCACGGCTAAGTGCCCAGGTTCGTCCTAATCGAGCTGAACACTAGTCGCTGGGTTCCACGGTTCTCTTCCGTGACCCACAGCTTCTAATAGAGCTATAACACTCACAGCATGGCCCGAGGTTCCATGCCTTAGAATCCATGAGGCCAAGAACCCCAGGTCAGAGAACAAAAGGTTTGCCGCCATCTTGGGAGCTGCCTGCCCCATCTTGGGAGCTCTAAGAACAAAGACCCGCCCATAACAGTGGGAGTGTAGCAAGTAAGGACAACCAGAGATCACTCCCGTGGCCATCTTGGTTTTGGTGGGTTTTGGCTGGCTTCTTGACTGCAACCTGTTTTATCAGCAAGGTCTTTATGACTTGTGTCTTGTGCCGACGTCCTATCTCATCCTGTGACTTAGAATGCCTTAACTTTCTGGGCATGCAGCCTAGTAGGTCTCAGCCTCTTTTTACCCAGCTCCTATTCAAGATGGAGTTGTGCTGGTTCACACGCCTCTGACAATGGCTGGGAATTCAGTTTTTCAGGTTTCTCTGGGGTTCCCTTGGCCCAGAGGGAATATATTCAGTTGGTTGGGGGTGGGGGGCTTAGGATTTTAATTTTGGCTTATGGCAAGCAGGTAGATGATGTTGAGCTAAGCAGATTGAAGAAATTGATTCAAGTTTTATGAACTGGGGAGAGCAAATTAGGGAAATAGTTGGGTTGCCAGGCAATGCGGAAGTCTCGTGGAGCTTGGAGTGGCACCAATCTATGATCTTTCTCAGCACAATATGAAATGAGTCATTTTAGAAAATATGCACTGAAGTTAGCTCTCATTGCCCTGATAGGTAAGACAAAAATTAAATGAATTACATAGTTTTCATCTTTTGAAATAAAATAATTTTATTGATAGACAGTTATTTTTGTAATTGAATGCAGGGATGAATCTAGAATGAATAGCTATCTATAAAGGCCATTGAGTAACGTATCAGGTAATGTTCTCAGGTCCAGTTTGTGGAAGATAGAGAAGCATTAACATGGGATTAATTATAATGAAGAAACTAAAGGCTGGGGAAAAAGAAAATGCAGCTGAAGTGGATGTTATCCTTAGGAAAAAAAAAACTTTTATTGCCATGAGCCTTAGAGGGACAAAGGGAATAAGAGAGTAAGAGAAAAGTATTAAACTTTAACACATTAAAGACATTTCTGCAGGAGTTTGAAAAAATGTGGTCCAGTGTATTGCTTTGTGATATTTTGACAACAAATGAAAAGGTTAGCATTTAGAAATAGGTGGTCAACAGATCTGCTGATGCCTCTCTCAAATATCAGATGTCTCCAGTGAGCTTTAGCAAGAGCTGGCTAAACATTAATGCATGCATGGCTGAGTTCTCTGAAGGGTGTCTGCTTGAAAAGTTGACATTCCATGCTATTGATTTGTGTGTGTGTGTGGGAGTAAAAATTTTTGTTTTTGTTTTTTATCATCTCAGCATTATGAAAGCATAATTGATGAATGAAAATTGAATTTATTTACGGCACACAATGTGATGATTTGATATATTTATACACTGTGAAACGATTAAACCAAGCCAGTTAACATATCCATCACCTCAACTTACCTTTTTTTTGTGGTGACCATTTAATATCTATTCTCTGAGCAATTTTCCAGTTTACAATATCTTACTATTAGCCATAGTCACAGTGATATACAATAGATTGCCAGAAATTATTCCTCTAGTCTAATGAATACTTTTTATCCTTTGACCAACATCTCTCCTTCGGCTAAATGAATGACTATTATTTTATGGTAACCTGTAATCCTATTTTGGTCAAGTGTTTTAAACCTTTGACATATTTGATAGGCATCCCAAAATCAAAATTTTGCTTCAAAATAAAGTACTTTTTGGCTTTTAACTGTGGGATGCTACAGAGGGTGCCTGAAGCATACAAAAGAGAGATAAACAGGATTATTTGGTATGTTAAATTATATAGGAAGCATTGTCAAATAAGAAATGATGTCTAACCTTCGAGTTATATTTTAATGAATATGTTATTAATATAGGTTCCAAAATTGTATGGGATTTCTAACATTCTAATATGTCTGGGTATTTTGTCAGTCATAATTACGACTGATATAGCAACCAACATAATAACATAATGGCTACTATGGTAAATTGTAGGCTGCAGAAATAACCAAATTTCCTTAACAATTGTGTCTTTAACTATGACTTTTTTAAGTCATTTCCACAGTAAATTCCTTAATTCTGATGCAGTTTCTGAAAACTTCACAAGCATGCAAAATCCTAGAATATTGAGTCTTTAAGGAGGTTCATGAAACAGATGGAAAAGACCCTCACAAGCACTCTTAGATACAGATTTCTGATAACTTCAGGATAATATCATTTGGACTGGGTAAGAATTCCTGGAACTGTAATGAAGAGACTGGTTGGTTTATAATACTGCTAACCCAAGCAGAACAAAAATTAGTTGAATAGCGAGAAAATACTTTACCAGATTTTCACACTTAATCAGCCAGTATTGAAATTGTTCAGATATGCAGTTGAATAAACTCCATGGTCCAAGTCAAATTACCTGTGATAACCCATCAGTTATCAGTTCTATGCACCTAAATTGGAGAAACAAAAATTTTAAGAGATGTTTAAGAGGACGTAAGCTCAGTGGTGAGCCTGGACTCATGGAGAACCTGGCTGGCCGCCTTATTCTTCCTGAGTCCTTAAAGCTCTTGTTATTAAAAGCTCTGCATTCTACAGCTCATCATGGAAGAGTAAAGTGACCCAAATTAAAAATACATATTGGTATGGTAACTCTTCTAAATTGCTAAAATGGCTTATGACCAATGTTTGATTTGCCAAATCCATATTCCTGGGAAGACAATAAAAACTTAAGGCACATTTTTTGCCACCTGTTAGGCCATTTAAACATTTATGGTGGGATTTCATTCATCATTCTCAATGCATGTTTTCTGTTTGCATAAAAGCTTTCCCATGCAAGAGGGCTGATAAAACAGTAGCTAAAGAATTATAAGGAAACATGTTTTTCTCATGGGACATTCCTGGAGAAATATCCAGTGATAGAAGTACCTGTTTCACTGGGCAAGTTTAAAACAGTTAAATAAGGTGTTACACATTCTATAGCATTTGGCAACTCTAACTGAATTGACTGGATTGCTTTGGTCAAATGTATTGAAAATTAATGACGATCAGATTCACTTCCAGTGTAAAACATAAATTGACATCTTATAAAGTAGTCACTGAAGGGCATGTGCCCCTAACAATAGGGCCTCATGTATTTTCCAATACTAAATTCTGATATAACTCAATGCTGCAAAGTTTTAATGCTTGATTTTTTAATGCTACTGATTTTTATATGTTGATCTTCTATTCTGCAACTTTATGGAATTCATTTATTAGTTTGAACAGTTTTTGGTGGTGTCTTTAGGATTTTCTATGTGTAATATCACATCATGTGCAAACAAAGATAATTTTAGTTCTTCCTCTCCAATTTGGATGCCTTTTATTTCTGTTCCTTGCCTAATTGTTCTGTCTGGAGCAGTACTGCATAGAATAGGATTACTGAAAATGGTCATGCTTGTTTTGTTCCTGATCTTAGAGGAAGGCTTTTGGCCCTTTAGTACTGACTATGAAGACAGCTGTAGAGATGTCATGTATAGCCTTCTTTGTTAAAATATATTACTTCTAACCTATTTTGTTGAAAGTTCTTATGCTCAGGCCTGAGGGAGGGGTGACATGTTTAATGTGAAACTGTTCTTCATGTCCTCTTCAATGTATGTTTCCTTATTCCTGGGTTACATCCAGGTGCTGCGATCTCTACCCTAGATTTCTTATCTTCTATGAAGGTGGTTTCACATGTGGACAGCACTCAGAAGTCCTATTCTACCAACTTGCTGATGTCACCTTGTTACTGTTGATTGAAGAGAAATCCAAATGCTTCACTAAACAGATGTGTTGGAGGCAAATAGGTCTTTCAGTTGTTAAAGTTTAAAAGGCTGATGCATTCTCCAGCCCACTTACCTGAGGACAGATACTGTTTGTTGAATTCCATGATGGTCTCATCTTTACCAAAAGTGCTGGAAAAAAAAAAAAAAAAAAAACGACACACACACGTTTATGTTTAAATTAGTAAATTTAAACTGAATTTTTGGATTTTACTGCAGTACTTGAGATCAATGGAGAAGTTTCAGGACAGGTTGAGGCATACGTGTTTGGGCAGGTTAATAATTTGGAATTTCTTCAGATATTTATTCAATATTGAAGATAAATAGGGGAAGGGTGAGAAAAGCTCAGTTTCTGCTCTAAGCAGCTGCTGTGCACAGAAGTAGTGCAACTCTCGCTCCTAGCTCGTATCCTACACAGCATAACAAAAAGCCTTTAAATTGCCCATACCTTACTCTTGGAAAAGGTTTGCCCTTCGGGGATTTCATTATTTACCCTCTACCAGCTTCTAGATTATCAAGTTATCCCTTCTAATCACATATTACCCTCCCTGAGAGGAGTTTGGGAAAATGTAGTTTTCTTCCTTTCTAATACATTTCTTGTGATTTAAAAATGTTTACCTTATAGATTAGATTGGGACTTTATGGGACTGGCTTTTTGGTCTGATTCTTAATCCAACTCAATTTGGGAACCCATGACAAATAATCAAAATAAAAGCAAATACGTTCCAGTGTCAATTTATTAGGAAAGACTGGTCTGCACCGTACCACATCCCGAAATTCTTGTAAAAAATCAATAGCAGGATGGCTCTATGGCAGTCCAGGCTGTGATTCTCAAAGGAAGAGGTAGATCCAGCTGAAAGAAAACACACACACACACACACACACACACACACACACACACACACACACACCTCATGGTTGAAACTGTGTTTAGTGAAGCATAATTAAGAAACGTGGCCATTTAAAGGGACAATGTTAAAGTAAGCTGTTGGTTCCTTGACTTAAAAATTTCATCATAGCCAATGTCACTATGCCAAATTTTGTGTAATGGGTGGTTGGGTTTCTTTTTTTTTTTTTTTTCTTTTGTCTAATTCTTGATTAACACCTGCACCAAGTCAGGAGAGTGTAGTAAATTTGGGGCTATTGGAATTGTGCCTGTTTTGGTAGAAGGTGTTTGAGAAGGGAAGTGGGTATGTTTGCCTTTTTAGTTTTTCTTTCAGAACAGAGCTGCCCACTCACTCCCAAATAAGAGATACGTGGGGAGAAGAGGCGTATTTTTACTTGGGAAGATTGTGTTCTCTTTAATGTGCAGGCTATTTCAATGGAAATGATGCCTTGGAAAGGACAATTGTTATTTATAAAGGAAACTCTCTTTAGAGGCAACATTTGCTTGAAATTCCTAAAATGTTATTTATGCTTTAGAACATTTCTCTGAGTTTGCAGCAATCTCTTTTCCTGTTCACCTACTATAAAGGGACCCTGATTTCTTGGTGACTTTTTGAGGATAGTCACAGTCCTGGACAGGGAAATACTACATTTTAAAATTCCCATTGAATCCTGTATTCTGACTTCCTCTTCTTCACCTTAACTCCACCTGCCATTCAATGCCTTCAGAGCTCAGAACATCACACTGTGTTAGCTAATGGAGGTCATGGCTCTCCCACCTGCCAGGCCTATATCTGTCTGTGTTTTTCTCAACTCCCTTCTTAGTGAAAAACTTCCTTTATGATTGGTAAGATTCGTGCGATTTTGCTGGTAAATGGGAGTCTCTTTGTATTAAAATGTGCAAGCTGTGACTCAAGTGCTCTCCTCTAACAGCAGCTAGAATTTAACAAGCATTTACTCAATTACTGCGTTAAGAATTGTACATATATTAACTCATTTAAGCCTCACAACATTCCTAATGACACTCTATTATTTGCTCCATTTTCAGATTAGGGAAAGGAGGTTCAGAGGGGTTGGGTAATTTGCCTGAAATCAATTAAGTGGCAGAGCTGGGAGTTGAACCAAAGCAGTCAGCTTTGGGGCCTTAAAAGGCCATCATTGTGCTGTGCCCCGCTACTTAATTCCACTCTCTCCTGACTGCCCACCAGCTTGCTCCCACAGTACACCCAAGCCACACCTACTTCCTTGAGCAAGTGGACCATTTCTTCATCTTCACTCTAAGAAGTTTGGTAAAAAACTCAGATTATTTGGGGGCCTGGCCACTTATCCTTCTCCCTTTCTTCTTCCTTTCCAACAATTTACTATAAGTTCATTCCATGATTCATATATTCTGGGGAAGAATATCTCTATTAGACCTTCAGCCTAAACTATGTGTTTTCATTCAACTTGTGCTAGAAAACTGTTGTGATATCAAACCTTTGTCTAACTATTAATATATTTGGTTCCCATTTGGCTGTTATTCTTTACATAGAGTTTCCTCAGGGCTTTACTAGAGAAGCTAGGGGTGAGTGGCAAGAAAGAATTTCTTGGACCATTTAGGAATATTCCTTGATCCTAAACCAGGATCTTTTCAATAACAAAATACTTTATCCTCAATCCCTAACACCGTGAGCCTACATTGGGTCTGAATTCTAGATACTCAAGTCACTAGTTTTATGTGCATTTTAATGGGGATTTAAATTTATTTATTTACTATTTGCACATCTTAATGAAGATTTAAATTATCAAAGAAGTAGGAGAATTGTTGTATGTGGGCAGCCATCTATACTGATCAGGGTTCTACAAGTCACAAACAACAGAGACTGAGTAAAGCAAGCTTAGAAGTGAGATTATGAATGACAGGAACTACTGTAGAGCCAGTCTTATGGATAGCCATCAGGAACCAAGAGAGTTTATCAGTTTATTTCATCTCTCTTTCTCTCTCTTGGACCATATGCTTGTTTTTGCTTATCAGCTGCATTCTTTTCTCTCTACGTATACCAGCTGGTTTCTTTTGCTTACATTTATATTTCATTGTCTCCTCATTAGAAAGGACATGGATGTTTGACAGCCTCTCTCTCTCTTTCTCTCTCTCTCTTTTCTCTGTCTCACACACACTACACCACACATGTATACATATACATACATCATGATCTCTTCACATTACTTTCTACAGATAATTGACCCTGTTTTTTTCTTTTACCAATCCCAAATTTCTAGTCTAAAAGCATAATAAATCAAAATTATCTTTTCAAGTCAAACCATAGGCACCGTTCGTCATCCTGCAAATGGACTTCCCTCACACTATTTAATCGGGGAGTTCAGGGAGGGAGCTGTGGTCCTTCCTGCGGTGCAGTTCAGAAGGGGTTCTGGAAAACGTCCTCAAAATGTGTCTAAATCATGTATTTTACTTGTAAGACTATTTAAGATTAAAGTGAAATTATTAGGTTATGGCAAAATAGAGGCTTCTTATTGAATTCCTGCGCATGAAAAGAAAGGTTCCTTCATGGGTATATTAGATATATTCTGCAGCATAGCAAATTACTCCAAAGCTCAATGGCTTAAAATAACACTTATTACCTTGCAATTTCTGTAAGTCAGGAATTCAGGTGTGGCTTAGCTGGAGCTTCTGCATCATAGCCTCTCACAAGTTGTAGTCAAAGGGCCAGCTGGGGCTCTAGTTATCTCATGGCTCAACTGGGGAAGGATCCACTCCCAGTCTCACATATGTGGTCATTGGCAGAACTGAATTCCTCACAGGTTGTTGGACAGAGGGAATCAGTTTCCAGCCTTTGGTGAGAAGCTTCCCTCAGTTCCTTGCCATGTAGGCCTCTGCATAGGGAAACTTAAAACATGACAGCTGACTTCATCAACCTGAGCAAGTGAGAGAGCAGAAGAGTCACAGTCTTTTATAATCTAACCTTGGAACTGACTTTACTTTTGCTAGTATTCTATTCATTACAAGAAGTAGACCAGGTCCATCCCACATTCAAGAGGAGGCGATTATACAAGGGCATTGATACCAGGAGGTGGGGATCACTGGAAGACATTTTAAAAGTCTGCTTACTCTAGTCCAGCCTCTGGTGCCTAATTCTCAGCATCCCTCCCAAACGCAGAATTTATTCTTAAATCTCCCCAGAGTCTAATCCTATTATGAGGAGAAGCCCTGATTTTGGCCCCTTTCCCCTAGAATTGGATAGGTTTGTTTTAAAAGAGAAATGCCTCATCTTCCTAGAATAAATTGAGAAGTTACTATGTAATATTACTTACAAGCAGAAAAATTAACATTCATAAACTAAGAATGTTGACCAGAGAAGACTACAGTAAGACTAATATTTCCAGCCTCACTTTACAGCTTTCCTTCATTTGATGACTGAAAAACCCCAACTTTTATATTTTTAGCCCTCATTTTAGGAACTAAGACACCCACCAATAGAAGATTAGCTGGAAAATGAAAGAAACACTACTTCTTGCTACTCACTGGAGTATCAAAATTGCCTAGCCAGAGTTTCTGCTTTTTCAGTATTGCATTTTTGGGTTATCCCTGGACAATATCCATCATTCTGTGGGTACTGTGATAGCACTGAGTGATGCTGGTAAGATGTAAGATGAAGGAAAAGTTGGGCAAACTGTAAGGCAGTGTGTTTTACATGCCAGAGAAATTATGCAGACAGTGAGCTTTAAATGGAGTAAGGAATTGGAAGCAAAGTGATGGCTGGGATGGGCTGGGAAGGCTTTGGAGAGATGAGAATGGAAGCAAGGCTTGAAGAATGAGTGAAAATTAGTGAAGAATATGGAGTGACATTACAGGCAGCTGGACTTCCAGCTGGGACAGAGAAGAAGACTTAAATTTTGGAGAAAAGATTTCACAAGGCACTCAGTCCATGCGCTATGTAATTAGACAGTAAATAGCACTTATTGATAGTGATTCTGCAATGAACAGGTACCACAGGGGATACCAAGAAGTAAATACAAACTCTGATTCTTGCCCTTACGCAATGGTCCATCTAGTTGGAAAGATAAGGCATGAGCATATAATAATAAAAGGCTGAAAATAAAAATCCCCTGATCAGTAATATATATAACAAAGGTTACAAGTGTTCAAAAGTGGGAGGAATTATTTCTATGATGAGATTTATGGTGGCTTTAAAGAATTGTATCTTCCTAGACTCCACTTGAACCCAGACATGGAATGCTAGGGTGTTTGGACACGTGAAGTGAGATAGTGGTGGCGGTAATGAGTATTTTATATACAGAGAATAGTGCAAGCAAAAGCGACAAGTCAAAAAGAGGCAAGATTTTTGGAGAACAATTTTATCTACAACATAAGAATTACTTGATTTTGCACAAGGAAATATGACTAAGCACAGTGGGGGTGTCATGTTGAAAAAAAGAAAAAGGACCAATTCAGCCAAAACCAGGGAACACAACCTGGAGCTTCAGTTCTTAATGAACTATGGAACAGAAAGCATTTCCATTTGTTCTCTTGTAGGTGGTAGGGTGACCAGAGTATTTTCCATTTTAGCACTCTCTGCATCTAATTCAGAACCAGACAGGAGCAATGGCTGAAGTGCTATGTTCATAAATTGTTGTCTTGGGCAGCTGGGAATGGTATTAGATGATGCTGTTTGGAACTGACTTATTCTGGAACACAATCAATCAGCTCATCTTCTCCATTTTACTGCTATTTTTGTCATGTAGAAGAATGGGGGTGACTCTCATTTTCCTGTTGTATTCCAGTGATCTTGCAAAGGCAAATTATCCTGACCAAATACATAAAAATTGTAATGAAATAAAGCTATTGATGCAAAGCTGTGTTGGTGGTCCCTTGGGCCTCTGTTGCGTTTATTTTGAATTTTTAGTAGTCTTTATGTTATGTCTGACTTTAGCAGTTCCCTTTTGGTTCTTTTAATTTGCTGTTTTCATTTGCCTTGCACCACATATGCCCTAATGTCTTGTGTTTAAGTGTGTCATCTGTGGACCAGAAGCATTGACTTTCAGGCCTCATCTAAGATCTAAGGAATCAGAATCTGCATTTTAACAAGTTCTACAGCTAATCTGTATGCACATCTGAGCTTGTAAATACTGGTATAATATATCCGAAGTTACTGCCTGGAGGAAGTACAGATGCAGTGCTTCCCTTGGCCTCCAAGTGCTGCATTAATGATGGGCACTAGTTCCCGCCCTTGAGAATCTCTTGTCTAGAATCATTCATAAGGGGTTTTGGTGTGCTAGAGAAAGATTAAAAAGTGGATGCTAAGGTAACATGAAATCTTGGTAATTCACCATGAGATTCTATAAGGAGATTAATTTTATTTACATAGGTAGCTTCCAATTTACTCTTCATTTTTCAACTGGACCACTAATCTTAGGGTGGAGTTCATCAGGGAATAGGGCCAGCAAAACACTTGCATTTTTCTGGAACTAATACTTACATATGTGAAAAGCAGGTGCAGCTGGAAGGCAGAGCACCTAGATCTCCAGAAATTAAGGATCAATTTTTACAATGACTCCTATGTACAGACTGAAGAGTGTACACTGACTATGTACACTGACTCCTTTGTCCAGGGCTGAGGCAAAAGCCCAAGAGGGATATGTAATGGGGCGGGGCGATGGAGGACTTCCACAGTGCACCTTGCTGCAAGGTCAATGCAACCTTAATCAGCCCACTCTGTGATCAACCCATCCCCCATGGGAGTCTAATCTCTTAATACCAAGTGTTCCCACAGCCTCCAAGTATCCAAACAGCACCTTTTAAATCTAGACATACAAAGAAACCAGTAGCCCCCCTGCAGTAATTACCATTACTGTAACTGCTGTCAGCTGCCTCCAAAACCACAGCACTTGCCGGTGATTTGTCAGCCATTGCACATCCAAAGGAGAGTGCTGTCTCACAGCACAAAGTAATTCCTGGTACCTTCAAAAGCCCAAGAGATCAGGGAACTCAATGCAAAAGAGAATAGAGGTTTGAGACCTGAGAGAAACCACTCATGACCCTTGGGTGTCCATGAGAAAAACACGAGACCCAAAAGTGGTCGTTGGTACCTTGACTGTGTTCCTCAAGAGGAATCAGAGTCTCTAGAGGTCCCTTTTCGATTCCTCCATGTGATATCAAAGATGGCAAAAAGAAAGGAGGAGGAGAAGTGGAAGGAAATGGAAGAATAGGTCTTAGGCGGAACCAGTTTGGAGAGATTTTAAGTTTTCCAAAAGGCCAATGAAATCTTACCTTTTTTTTCTCAGCACAAATCATGCCAACAGGAAAGGATGTGAACAGAAGGACCAAACGTATAATTAAAAGAGGGTTTCATTCACCTGAAAAAAAATTCCCAGAGGAGTAACAGGATCCAAAAGAGAAAAAGCAGAAAGACCTTTTGTACAAAAAAAAAATTACAGCCTGAATATCAGCTTTTAATTAAGCTGATTTCTGATTGTGGAGCTCTTAAAAAAGCTTTTTATACAAATCTCTTATTACCAGGCTTTCACTAGGACAAACAGACAGTATCCCTGACTTTTGAACCTTCAGAATGACTCAGAACCAACTAAATTAAGAACATGTAAGATATCTCCAAAGAGATGCAAGGCATTTCCCTCAAGATCCAGAGCCATCCCAAAGGCAGCTCAGAGAAAGGAAAGTTTCACTCACCACCAGTGGGCACAACCCACATTTTTGTCTGGCCATATTTTCCAGGCCACATTCTTCCCAGCTGACTGCACACAGAAGCTGACCTTCTAGTGTGCCCTATCTGTAGAAGATTAAAAGAGACAGTCAGTGAGACAGGAAATCAAAAGCTGTCCGTGGAAGGTGAAAGGATCAATAACAAATGGGTACTCCAAAAAGTCAAGAGCCACACAAATATCAAAGCAATTCTTCTTTTGAGTTAAAGGAGTTACACCTCCAAGGGATTGATTCCCTGACTGGGTATTGAACCCAGGTCATGGTAGTAAAAGCAAAGAATCCTAATCACTGGGCTATAGGATCAAGTGCCTTTGTAGTAAATCCCACAGAGGATCCAAAGCCAGCATTTGAGCATTTAAAGGATTTTAACTTTGCTTCAGGTCAGATTTTTTGCTCTTTAATTTAGTCAGTAGGCTAATTTCTAAGGCTAGCCATGACATCAACATGTGTCTTTCTTTTAATTTGCTCCTTCCATAAATATAAATGAGGTAATTGTTGAGAGAGCTCTCTACACATCTTTGATTTTTTAATTTAGAGATCTTTCTAATTTAAAGGATTCATCTCTTGGCCCCTGATAATTAGAATTTCCAAGGGTGCCCTTGTTCCAATAGTGACTCAATCCAATAAGCCTCTTCATGGAAAGCCCAGGAGGTAATTTTCCAGGTTTAGAGTAAGTTTTACCATACAAGCAAGAAGTGTTTTGGAGAGGGCATAGAAGAGGCAGTCCCAGTGATGCCAAAAAAATTTTCCTGCCGGGAATAGGCTAAGAAAGCAAAAGACTCTTGCTGCCTCAGACAGTTAAGGATGGGTGTCTGTGCATCCTCCAGTATCCCACAAATTTGTAGAGTACTGCCAGTATGAGACCTGTTAATCTGTGACACTGGGAAGACCCTCTTGTGATTGGATTTTTCTAGGACTAACCAGGCAACAAGAGTTGAAATGATAAAAGCCCTTTATAGATAGGACTTATTAAGACAACCGCCCCTCAGAGCTTGCCATGTTCAGAACAGAGTGTGCTGCTTAAAATTTGGCATGTCTTGGGTTCCCAGGCTTTTTTCAGGTGGACCACTGGATGTGACCTGATCATTTTCTCCCCTGTTTCCTCACGTGGTGAACGAGAGGCTGCTCCTACTTCATCATAAGTTAAGCTCTCAAGGACATAAGGCGAGAGGAAAACCTCATTCAGTTTCTTATTTCGGGGACCCATTGCAAAGTTTTCCTAAATAGACAATTGTTTGCTGAAAACTGCAAAACTCACCAGTCTGCAGAGCTAGTTTGAATAATGGGTTTATCAGGGTTTTAGACCCATGTTCTACCCTATTATACCCCTCTTATGAAAAAAAATGATACAGGAAGACAAAGAAAAAGGAAAGAACTGTTTTTGGAAGGAAAAGGATCGAACAATATAAATATATCAAAAGTACACGAGAGTCACTACACCTAGGACTAGTAATATAAATGTTTTCCTGCCATAAATCAACAGTTTGGAGAGGAAAAGGTGACAAGTTGAGGTTTTTACTGTCTACCCAATGGAATTCCACAGAAACCGGAAGCCTGCCTGGTAAGAAATGCTTGCCATTTTGCCAGACTTTCCGGCATCGGGCTCCCTTGACTGCAGCTTCCAGAAGAGCAGAGAGGCTTTGGCAGCCTGCTCTCGGCATCAAAACTGAAGGGGCAAAGGGAAAACTTTTCCTTCACCCTCTGAATATTTGCTGAAAATTAACTGACAAAAGGGAGGTTAATAGGAAAAAAGACATACATGTCAGAGAGATTAACCCTCAACGCAATGGAGTAGAGATTCTTCTATACTCTTAGGGGAAAGGAAAAAGGGGAGGTGTACATAATTTTAGGAGGATAATAAATGTTTTCTAGAGAATTCAGTGGGCTTAGAGAACATACAATGGCCTGGGAGAAAGTCGGGGCCCACAGATCAGACAATGGTTTGTGACGAAAGTCTATCCAAGTGTGTGGACAGACTTCAGTCTTCCTGTGATAGGAGTTCAGTCAGTGAAAACTTAGGTAAGGGACCAGAAGTAATTGTTTTCTTCTTTGGTGGGTCCAGACTTGAGGCAGATCAAGAACTTTGAGAACAACTTCATCCTGCTCTAGGAGAGAGACAAGGGACTGAGAGAGAGATGGAGAGGCAGGGGGCGGGAGCATTCAGAGAGACCTTGAGGCTTCTTCAGTCCAGCATAGCGAAGCGCCATATTTGGGGTATCAGTTTCTGAGCCCCAGCAGGGGGATACTGAGTATCCATCCTCCATCTCCCAGAATGAAGCACAACAGGAAACATGAAGTTAGGACTGTCTTGAGAAGGAACAAACTGACCTTGTGAGAATTACTGTAAACAAACCTCTCTAGAGCTGAGGATGCAGTTTGGGAGAGAGTCAAAAATGTTGGAGAGGGTGGGTGAGTTCAGAAATTAGAGGATAATAAAATTGTGTGTGACAATCATAGAATAAAAATAGTGTTTGGTAGGAAATAAGGCGTTAAAGTTATTGGGAAGATTGGAAACGGGAGAGATTATAGTCAAAACAGCTCCAAAATGTTCAAAAAGTCAAGGAAGAAGATGGAGAACTGCTTAACTACACAGTGAGGACGAAGAGAGAAAAAAGATATGAGACAGGTGAAAAGAAAACTTGATACATTCCTATGCTTTATCCCCAACATTCATAGACAATGCCAAAGTTTAAGCCTGGCTGTCTAAAAGAGTAATAATGCTATTGTTAAAAAATAGGAAAGTTAGAAATGGGAGCTAATTTTTTCAAGGAAATGATAAGAGCTGCAATGGATAAAGTACATTTTTGTATTTGAGAAGCTGGAGAAGAATTATCTGGAACAGCCGCCCAGAGCTCCTGGAGGCATCCATAGTGCCATTCACAGCCCACCCAGTAAGATGTACATAGGTTTGAGTAAAATTAATAAAAATGGTGTATTAGTTACGTTCTGTTTATATGTATTTTAAGGTATAATAAATTGGCTTGATGGGTAGGTATAGTACTTATAAAGAAATCAAAGGCATACTTAACAGTGAGTAGAAAGACCACTAGAACCATCTCTAATATAAATAGCAAGAAACATTTTTTACCACAACCACTTGATGTAAATAATAGAATAAATAAAAAGTAAATAGAAAGTAGTTCACATTTTCTTTTTACTTATGAAAGTAATTAAATTTAGTTGTGGAAATTTCAAAGATAAGCAAAATAATACTGTGAATGTGTTTGTGTGTGTGTGTGCATACACACAATGCTGTAACTTTTATCTCATGGAATATATTTCAGACATCTTTTTATGTAAATGTTTATTGGTCTAAGAATGCCAAATTTCAAAGTGCAAGATGCTAAGAAACAGAGACGTGCAGAAGGAAGGGAAAATTTAATCATAGAAGTCATGCTACAGAGTTTAGGCTGATAGTATCCTTTTTTTTTTTTTTTTTTTTGCATTGACTGTGAGGAGAAAGAATAAGCAAGATTAAAAAGTAAGAAACTTAATCTCGGCAAAGCTTTTCTTACAGTAAGTTGCAGGTAGTAACTAACCAGATCTTCATCAACACAATGAAAATAAAAAATAAAAAACATAAAAATGAATAAGTCTTTAAGTCTGAAGAGAGAAAATATTTCAAACAAGATCCAGAGTCATGTATGTTCTCTACTGACACTAAGAAATAATTCAAGCATCTGAAACTTATATTCTATTTAAAACTAATATTAGATCAGACAGGATATAACTGCATTGACTAACAAGGCTTTACTGAATTATTAAGAGCTTTGGAGTGAAAGAAACCTGGTTTCATTGGTTCTGCCAGTTTCCATCTATGTGACCTTGGCAAGTTATTCAACCCTGCTAAATTTAATCTGGGAAAAGGATTGATAGTAATCATTACCTTATAAAGATGTAGTGAGAATAATTAAGAGAATTCATGAAAAATATTTAGGAAAGTATATGGAACATAGCATCGGCATTACTATACACAAGCTAAGTAGAATCGAAAATAGGAAGTTAAAAAGATTGGTTGTATCCCCTAAATTCACGGAAAAGCCTCTGGAGGGTAAGACTCTGCAGCATGTTTTGTCTATCTTCCCACCACTCCTCAGCCACCCCACTCCTCTATGGTCTCTGAGGAATAATAAAAACTCAATCATAATAGAATGTATTAAATGGTAGCATCTTGAATTAGTAAGGAAAGTAGGACAAGATATTTAATAAAATCATTTGAGACAATTGAGAAAACTGACTATCCATCTGAAAAAAAAAATTATATCCCATCTCACTATCCTTCTCCCAAATAGAATCTAGATGGATTAAACATCTAAACATCAAAATCTCTATAAAGGATAATTAAAGAAATTGTACAAGAATGTGGTAATGACCATGAGGAAGAGTAGACCTTCTTAACACAAATACACACACACACACACACACACACACACACACACACACACACAGACACACAGGCAGGGAGATTCTCTGATGTCCTAGTCCAGTCTCAGTCTTAGGAAGGCCCTGTTTGCCCGGCCATGGGGTGGGGCTTTCTTGGCTTTTTTGTCCATTGTCTGCTTCTCCCCATAACAGATTAACTCTGCCTTATATTTGCAGTTGGCCTTGAGTGGAAGTTTTTCTGCCCTTCCCCAGATGGGAACAGACCTGTAATGGTATTGGTAGGGTGTAAAAAAAATAATGGTTTTATAGTTTACATGGCTTCTTCTCATTTTAGTGTGTGAGCAACACTCTTTCCATCTGTATGCATTCTAAATTCAGTATGGTTTCTTGTTCCTTCCCTGGGGGACTAATGAGTTTCTCTTCCACCCTTTCCCAAGCTGCAATAAATTTTCCTTTAACTTTATTCTGAGGATAATGCTTTCTGCCTTCTTCCAAGGGTTTAGTACTTTTTCTCCGTGGGAGAGAAGGTCTTAGGCAGAAGTTACATGTTTGTGCATTTCCTGTTGGAACCACCTATCCACTCCTGTGCGTTTACCCTACTGAGGAGGGCTATTTCCAGTCTTCCACCCTAATCATAATCTTTTTGATGAGCACCTGTTGAAAACCTGTGGAAAAGAGCATACAATGAGGATGGACTACCCTGCGTATGGGGGCACCAGCCGTTAAAGATTGATAAGCCAGCCCACACCTGGCTTCCAACAATTAGTTAAATGTGTAACTAATTTCCTCTTACCCACTTGCCCTCCATGTTCTGCCACAGGTGAACCAGTCTGCAGATATAATCTCTGCTTAAGATTCCTTTTCCTCCTGGTCATTTAGCTATTTGGTTTACCAACAAACTCGGCTCTCTCATTGGCTCAATAAAAGTTACGATTTTGTAGTTCATCTGACTTTTTCTCAGTTTTGGTGTGGAAGTGACACTCTTCCCAGCTTTTTACATTTCAGGCAGAAATAGAAATTCAAAGATTAATTTAAAAAAATTAGTGAATGAGTAAAATGGTACAGAAAGAATACGAATATAATGTAACCGATTGCTCAGCTAAAGATTTGATTTGTGGCATTTTTTTTGTTCTGCTTCAGAAAAAGTTATTTTGATAATCCCAAAAAATATTGACGAATTCTAGTTTAGAAGAGAACAAGACAAATAGTCCATTTTGTAAAGAAAGGGTTTAATAAAATACTTCATATTTAGAATTTTGAGAAGGAAATGCTGGTTAATTTCCACACTCATGAATAAACTAAATAGCCAGGGTGGGTGGAGGGAAGAACAGTGACTTTAGGGTCTTTGGAAAGCTGGGCAGCAAACTGGGTTCTACGTTTACTCCTGGGCTTGCTTGGTGTCCAGAGCAATGAGAATATGGGGATAAGGCTTGGTCACTGCAGCCTGGAGAGACTAGAAATGACACACTGTTAGTGCACCTTAGCGAGGAGAGAGATTGACCACCATCAAAGGACACTGATACTTTCATGTGTTTGGCTGTAGCCCAGAAAGACATTGTTACAAAGTGGACCAGTTTTATCAATCCAAGCATGAAGAAAAACTTCTATCCTTTGGCATTAAGTGGGAGAAATGACAGTAAAGTTGACTGATGTGGCCGCTGTGCTGAAAAAAATTGAGAGAGGGTATCGAATTTATCCTTTCACAAGAGGTTCTTCATTTTCCAAACCTTAAGTCATGCTGTGTAACAAATATTTAGATAACAGATATGAAACCCTAGAAACTCAGAGTCAAGGGAATATTAGTCCTCTCTTTTCATTCTTACCTGATATAGCCATTTGAAATAACTAATGGGAATTTTACTCAAAGAATTATGCAACTGTTAAAAAGAAATTCATTCTCTGCTTTCATCTCTCAAAGGGATCCAATTCATAACTCAGAGCTGCAATTAAAAATTCACGTCTTCCATTTTCTGACTTGTTCTCATTCTCTGACTGTTTCAGAGTCTCCCCACACATCACATGAACCCAAATCACATTCTCAAATTCTGGGCCTAAATGACCTTTGATCTAGTCTGTGCCCATTCCCACATCCCACGGCTCTTTACTATGCAACACTCATGGGCAACTTCTCTCCATTTATCCCACCTCTTCCATGCTATCTTGTTTGACTCACTCTCTTAATTCTGCAATGTTAAAATAGAGAAACGAGCCTCACAGGCTTTCTCGGGATCGGATTTGGAAGAGACGAAAGAAGTTGGGGAACGTTCTCTAACAAATGTCATGCCGGATACACAGGACTTCCTCAATAAATAACTGACACCACCAGAAACATGTTGGTTGGCGGGAAAGCTAGTGCTTCTTAAGGCACTCCCTTCTATTCTTTCTTTTTGCCAAAATTATTGGAAAAAGTACTAAATTTTTTTTAGATATTAACCAAGTCTGAATGCTTTAATAGTGGTAAGAATCAAAGAGTAGTGAGACTTTAGGCAAGAGGATAGAAGGAAAACAAATAATAAAATAATGGATGTGACAGAAGGTGGTTAGGGTTAAAGATGTCCAATAAAGTCCAATTTATTCATCAGATTTATGTTACAAGGTTCAATTTTTTGTCAGGTATATGAAACACTCAGAATATTATATACTGTGCTCTATGTTGCCTGCCTTAGCTTCATATAACTTGTTTTCTGATTAAGCTATTATTTGTGTATGTAATCTAAAGAAAAACGATTTTAGACATTTAAAAACATAAGGAAATGTTTTTCTAATTTTATTTTTATTTGACAAATAATCATATATTTATGGGGAAAATATGGCATTTTGATGCACATTTACATAGTGGAATGATTATATCAAGCTAATGAACACATTTATGAACTCAAATATTTATCATTTTGTGGCAAAACACTTAAAACCTACTTCTTAGCAATTTTTAAGTACATAATGTATAATATCTAAATGTAACTTTGTTTACTTTGATCAACATTTCTCTTTCCCTATCCACTCGCTTCCCCAAGCCTCTGGTAAACACCATTCTACCCTCTACTTCTATGATTTCAACTTTTGTAGATTCTCCACGTAACTGAGATCATGTAGTCTTTTTGTCTTTCTGTGTCCGGCTTATTTCATTTAACATAATGTCTTCCAAATTCATCTATGTCATCACAAATCACAGAATTTCCTTCTTTTAAAAAGACAAATCATATTCCATTGTGTATATATACCACATTCTATTTATCTATTTATCTTTTGATGGACACAGGTTGATTCTACATTTTGGCTATTGTGTATAATATGTAATATACCCAGTTGTGGAATTGCTAGATTATATCATAGTTCTACTTTTATTTTTTTGAGGAATCTCCATACTATTTTTCATAATGGCTACACTAATTAAATTTCCCACCAGCAAGGTACACAGGTTCCCTTTTCTCCATATCCTTGTCAACACTTGATATCGTTCATCTTTTTGAAAATAGCCATTCTCACAGGTATGAGGTGATATCTCATCATGCAAATGTCTCATTTATTTGTGTTTTCCTGACGATTAGTGATGTTGAGCATTTCTCTATATACCTATTGGCCATTTGTGTGCCTTCTGTTGAGAAATGTCTATTCAGATGCTTTGCCCATTTTACAATTGTTTATTTTCTTACTATTAAGTTGTTTGGGCTTCTTATATATTTTGGAGATTAATCCCTTATCAGATGTATGGCTTGCAAATATTTTCTCTGAATGTAGATTGTCTCTTAGCTCTGTTGATTGTTTCCTTGGCTGAATAGAAGCTTTTTAGTTTGATGCCATCCCATTTGTCTGTTTTTGCTTTTGTGTCTGTGCTTTTAGGGTCATTTCCAAAACATCATTGCCCAAACCAGGGTCATAGAGCTTTTTCCTGATCTTTTCTTCTAGTAGTTTTACATTTTCAGGTTTTACATTTAAATCTCTAATCCTTTTGAGATAATTTGTATATACGGTTTCAGATACAAATGGATACAAGTGGATACCAGTTGTCTCAACAGCATTTATTGAAGAGAGCACCTTTTCCAAAGATTTTTTGTTCTCTCTCCTGTTCCATTGGTCTATGTGTATGTTTTTATGCCAGTACCATGCTATTTTGATTACAATTACATTATAACATGTTTTAAAATTAGGGCTTGTGATTACTGTTCTTTTTGCTCAAGATTTGTACTTTTTTTGCTCAAGATTGTTTTGGCTATTGGGATTTTATTTTATGGTTCCCTGTGAACTTTAGGGTTAATTTATTATTTCTGTGAGAAATGTCATTGAAATTTTGATGGAGACTTCTTTGAATCTGTAGATTACTTTGGTTAGTATGAACATTTTAATAGTAGTGTTTTTTCCAGTCCATGAGCGCAAGATACCTTTTAATTTATTTATGTCTCTTGCATTTCCTTTCATTAATGTTTTACAGTTTTCAGTGTTCAGGTCATTTACCTCCTTTGTTAAATTTATTCCTAACTATTTCATTTTTTGTAGCTATTGTAAGTAAGATTGTTTCTGTAATTTGGTGGGTGGGGGGTAGTTTAGCATTATTGTATAGAAGTGCTACTGATTTTTGCACATTTATTTTGTATCCTAAAACTTTGCTTAACTAATTTATTAGTTCCAACACCTTTTTGGTGGAGTCTTCAGGGCATTCCATATATAGGATCATATAGTTTGCAAATAGGATCAGTTTAACTTCTTCCTTTCTGATTTGGATGCCTTTTATTTCTTTTTCTTGCCTAATTGCTCTGACCGGGACTTCCAGTGCTATGTTGAACAGTAGTGGTGAAAGTGATCATCCTGTATTGTATTCAATCTTAAAGAAAAAGCTTTCTGCTTTTTATGATTGAGCATAATGTGAGCTATAGGCATTTCATGTATGGCTTTTATTGTGTTGAGGTAATGCAAAAAAATTATTTTTAAATAACATAATATTTTTGACAAATCGTAATTGTATACATTTAGGAGGTACAGTATGCTGTTTTGATATATGTATGCAATGTGGCATGAATAAATCAAGTTAATTAACATATCCATTACCTCAGTTACCTATCTTTTTTATGGTAAAACATTTTAAAATTAATCTATTGTTTATTTTGAAATATATAATACATTATTATTTACTGTAGTCACCCTGCTATACAACAGATCTCAAAACGTATTCCTCCTATCTATCAGAAACTTTTTACCCATTGATCAACAAGTCTTCATTCCTTCCATCCCCACTCCCATCCCCCTAGCTGGTAACCATCATTCTACTCTCTACTTCTATGAGTTCAACTCTGTTAGATTCTGCATGTAAGTCAGGTTTTGTAATATTTGTCTTTCTGTGTATGGCTTATTTAACTTAGCATTACCTCCTCCAGATTCACTATCCTATTTCAGTGATGGGATTTCCCCGCCTTTTAAGACTGATAGTATTCCATTGTGTATATATACCACATATTCTTTATTCATCCATTGATGGGCACTTAGATTGAAGGGAATAGCAGCATATCTTCGCTATTGTGAATAGTGTTGCAATGAAAATGAAAGTGCAGATATCCCTTCAACATATTACATTCAGTTCCTTTGAATATATACCCAGAAGCAGAACTACTGGGTCTTATAGTAGCTCTATTTTTAGTTTTTTTAAGAATGTTCACACTGTTAGAAATAGAAACCACCGTCCTTTTAAAACCTAAACCTTGGGAGTGACACACTATCTCTTCAATTAGTGGCCTTTTATCTCAGCTTAAGAATGCCCTTTAGCAATCCCTGTAAAGCATGCCTAGTAGTGAACTCTCTCAACTTTTGATTGTCTGAAAAAGTTTTTATTTCTCCTTTATTTTTTAAAGACTGCTTTGCTAAGTAAAGTATTTTTGTTTGGCAAGTTTTCTTTTTTTACTTTGGCACTTTGACTATGTTATCCCATTCTCTCCTGGCCTACAGGGTTTCTGCTGAGAAATACACTGAAAACCATATTAGGGCTCTTTTGAGTGTGATATGTTTCTTATCTCTGCTGCTTTCAGTAGTCTTTTTTGTCTTTGTTTTTTACTAATTTGATTATGATGTGTCTTGGTTAACTTTTCTCTGGGTTAAATTAGATTGGCAACCTCTGAGCTTTCTGGATGTTGTCATCTTTCCCAAGATTTGGGAAATTTTAAGCCATTATTTGCTTAAATATGCTTCCCAAGCCTTTTACTCTATCTTCAAGAACTTTTACTATGTGAAGTTTAGTTCACTTGATGGCATTCCATAATTCCTTGAGAACTTCTTTATTCTTTTTTATTCTTTTTGCTCCTCTGATAGGATAATGTCAAACGTCTTGTTTTTGAGCTCACCAGTTCTTTTTTCTGCTTGGTCAATTTGCTATTGATATTTTCTATTAAATTTGCTAGTTCACTTATTCTTTATGTCTAGGATTTCCATTTTGCTTTTTATTGTTTCTATTTCCTTGTAAAAAAAAAACCCTCTCATTTTGTTCATGAATTATTTTTCAGATTTTATTTAATTTTCTATCTGTGTGTTCTTGTAGTTCCCAGAACTTCTCTAAGAGGATTAATCTGAATTCTTTGTCAGTCATTTCATAAATCTCCATTTCTTCCGAGTTCATTACTGGAGCTTTATTAATTTCTTTTGTTGGTATCATATTTCCCTAATATTTTATAATCCTTATGTTTTTACACTGATGGCTGCACATTTGGGGAGACCGCCATTTCTTCTGGACTTTGCAGTTGTTCTTTGGTGGAGATAGATATTTACTATTTAGTGTAGCTTGAGATTCTGAGTGGGCTGGCTGACAGCAACACTGGACAGGCATATCTTGGTGTAAGGTTTTGTAATTGGGCTGGGTCACATCCTATTCTCTGAGGTGAAGTGGTATTGTTGGCTGAGCTCCGAGGTCCGGTGAGACCACTGACTGGACTCTGATGCAAGGTGGGATTGCTGGCTTGGTTTTGCAATTGTCCCTGATGGGGGAGAATTGTAGATTGTCTTTCCTGGGTAAGCAGTGCTGTTGTCTGGAATCTGTAGCTATGCGTGGCTGTGTGATGGATTCTGAGGCTAGGTGAGGTCTCTAATGTTTTTGCTTAGCTACATAGGGTGGTAAGGGCCAGAGCCTATGCTCCATGGATATGTATGGACTTGGGCTTGCCTCCTGGTCTAGGGTATATTCAAACAGAGCACTGAGGCTTGGTGGAATCATCACTCTGCAGCTGGGGTTGGGCAAGACCAGATTCTTTCCCGTGTGGGTAATTGCTAACCTACCATTGCCTCCTGGCTTAGGGAAGACTTAAGGAGAGCACTAGGGCTTAGTTAGATCACCTCTCTACTGCTAGGTTTGGGCAAAACCAGATGCTGCCTCTGCAAATCACTGATCTCCAGTTACTTCTCAGCCTGGGGAAGATTTAATGCAAGTACCAGAACTTTGTTGGATCACTTCTTCATGACTAGGGTTGGATAGGGCCAGATCCTCCCTCTGCAGGTAGTCACTCACCTAAAGTTGCCTCTTAACCTGGGGAAGACAATGAAATCACACAGGCTGTATGAGGAAAGCTGGGTAGAGATTTGAGTCTGGAAGACTCATAAACTGTGTTTACTGCGGCTTGATGCTATTGGGTAGTTTCTCTGGTATGGTGCCTCCACTGGCTAGAATGCAGAACAAGCAGCGAGATTCCTGTGCTGGTCCCTATGAGCCCCATCCTCATTCTTTGTTTCTAACTGACTCCGGGTGGTCTAGCTTTACCAGTACTCCTAATGTGTCTTATGGGACGAGACAGTAGTGGGCCTCCTGCAAAGGGTCCCACAGTGATGGGGAAGCTAAATATCTACCTCCAAGTCAGGTTTACTGCTGTAGAAACTGTGGTCCCAGGGGAATTCTCTATGGGTGACTCTTCCAGCTTGGGGGAGGAGGGCAGCACAGTCAAAGAGAACCATTTTTCTTAATGTTTGATCATGGCTTTTCTTGGTTCTGTGTTCCAAGGGGTATTCTGAACCTCACTACTGAGTTCTGGGATATTGAGGATGGTATTCCTGCCTTTGGATAGTTGCTGGCTGGATTTCTGTGGGGTGGGGTGGGGTGGGCTGCAAAGCCAGAGAACTCTTATTCCACCATTGTGCTGCCATCAGTTGGAATATCTTTATTCAAGCATCTGAGCTAAGAATATTCTTAAAATTTTTAGAAGTTCCTTAAAAGGAAACTTTCTAAAAATAAACATTGAGGAACAAAGTTTATTATTTTAACATATTTGTTCGAACATGGTAGAAATAATGAAAATCTGAAGCTGAGCCTCTCCACACATTGGGATACCACCATGGTAGAAATTTTCTATGGAGAAAAAACTGTTGGAGAAGTTGTAATTGATATACTGTGGGATGGATTGAATGCAAGAGATGAAGTGCTCAGCAGCTGCCAATACTGTGCACCTTTTCCACCAGACGGGCTCCCCACTTTGTGCTGCTTGGTTGCTGGCTGCTCACCATGAGGGTCATGCATTCTCTGCATATTTTGAACATTTTTTAGATCTTATTTTAGGAACAGTCTGGAATTGCACTGTGGTGGAGGCATAAAATGACGAGTGTCCCAAGCAAGCCCTAAATGGGTAACCTAACCCAGCAGAAGTATGGAAGGCCTTCCAGGTACTTGAGGGTAATCAGTAGAACTCAGGGTGTTCCTCCAGTGGCACTCCAAGGTCATTCTTTGTTCTGCTAAAGATGACATATAATGGGGTCTCTCTTCTGTAGACCCTGCCCATGAGATCGTAGACCTTTTCCTTCCATTCTTGTCATGTCCTCATCAGAACAGCACACACTCAGGTAGCCATTTGAGATACAAAGAAGAATTTCAATATGTACATTCCAAACAACTTTACTGTAAAGTTTGGAATCCCATACCAGGTTATTCCATCCACATTTCTCATTCTTGTACTCTTCCTCCAACCCCTCTGCTCATCAATTCTCAGCCTCTTTTTCTGATTCTTCCCTTCTTTCTGCTTTATAAAAACTGATTTGTAGTGTCCTGACCTTCTTGCCTTATACCAGTTGTCAAATAAAAACAAATCCAGTGTTAGATAAGAAGAAACTCTACTTAAAAAGACTATTGCAATAGGGAGAATGCTCTCATCTCAGAAATCTGCAAACAACTCAAAATTAAACAGAAAAAAAAAATGGCTTTTCTTCTGTATGGTGGTGGGGAAGGTCAGCAGCAAAGTTAGGTTGAGTAGATGAGGCATAGTAAGCAGAATGCATGACCTGGTTTGGCTGGAAGTGTCTTGCTGCGGTTAGACAATTCTTGAGATAAGCTGATAAGGGTGCATACTTGAATTGAGAGTAAGGTAAAGTTCAATGTCCTTTGGGGAGGAGAAAAGCCTCTCTGAAGTTTGGTTAAGGCCAAGCAGAGGGTAAGAAATGGGCAATTGTGAATGGTAGTTCTCAGCTTTGGCTCAACATTACAATCACCTGGGGCACTTAAAGAATCTCAGTGTTCAGGCAACATCCCAACTCAATTACAACGTAATATCTAGGGGATTAAGACCCTGGCCTTATTATTTTTTAAAGCATCCTGGGTGACTCCAGGTGCAGCTTCACTACACTGCATTAGCTCTACATGAGCTCCCTCAACAGTTTCACCAATCTGATGTCTTTAACATCATACCATGTATGATACTGATATCAAAGTCTTTATCTTGAGCTGGACTTTCTATCCTGCATTCCAGATCCATATATTCAAATGCCAAATAGATATTAAACTTGGATTTTTCTGTATGCTTCACTTTAACATTTTCTAAACTGAACCCATTATTTAGGCTGACTCCTCACCTTCTCTCTCCTGCTTAACAATACAACCATTTACCCACTCAGTCACCAAGTCTGAATCCCGAGAGTGTCCCTCAATGCCTCCTTCTCTGGCCTTCTCCACATATGGTTAGATACCAAATTCTTTTGATCCTGCCTCTTAGATATTGCTCTAATCCTCTTGTTTTTCTCTAGTCCCACCAACTCAACCTTGGTTCAGGTTCCCATCGCTTATCTCTTGGACTATTGCAAAAGTGTCCTAAATCATCTCAGCATGAACTCATTTCCACCATGCCCATCCTTCTTTCTTGCACCAGACTTATTTTTTCTGTCTAGTTTTCAACAAAAAAAAAATGCACACCATATAGAAAAATAGGAGAGTATAAACCATACACTGGAAAAAAGCAGGTAACAGAAATGGACTGTGAGAGTGACCAGATGTCAAGTTTGCCAGAAAAAGCCTTCAAAATAGCCATTATTAGCATTATAGCTTGCAAATATTTTCCACCATTCTGTAGTTTGTTTCTTCACTTTCTTTATTGTTTCCTTTGGTGCGTAGAAGCTTCTTAGCTTGATGCAATCCCATTTGTCTGTTTTTGCTTTTGTTGCCTGTGTTTTTGAGGTCTTTCCCCTAAAACGTTATTGCCCAAACGAATGCCCTGAAGCATTTCCCCAATGTTTCCTCCTAGTAATTTCATAGTTTCAGGCCTTAAACTTAGGTGTTTAATCCATTTCGAGTTGATTTTTGTATATAGTGACAGATAAACCTCTAGTTTCATTCTTCCACATATGGTTATCAAGCTTTCTTAGCACCATTTACTGAAGAGACTTTCCTTTCTCCAAAGTATATTGTTGGTGCCTTGTTGAAAATCGAGTTGGCTATAAATGTGTGGATTTAATTCTAGGTCATCAGTTCTGTTCCATTGGTCCGTGTGTCTGTTTTTATGCCAGTGCCATGTTGTCTTGGTTATTATAGCTTTGTAGTATAATTTGAAGTCAGGTAGTACGATGCTTCTTGCTTTGTTCTTTTTTGCTCAGGATTGCATTGGCTATTTTTTGTGGTTCCTTATAAACTTTAATATTGCTTGTTCTACTTCTGTGAAGAATGTCATTGGAATTTTGATTGCATTGAATTCGTAGATCACTCTGTGTAGTACGGACATTTTAACAATAATTTTTTCAATCCATGAGCATGTGATATTCCATTTTTGTATCCTCTTTGATTTATTTCCTTGCTTTTTTATCGTTTTCATTGTAGAAATCTTTCACTTTTCTGGTTAAATTTATTATTATGTATTTTATTTTCTTGTAACTATTTTAAATGAAATTTCTTCCTTGATTTCTTTTTCAAATTGTTTACTGTTTTCATATAGAATTACAATTTTTATATGTTAACTTGGTATCCTGCCACTTTAGTGAATTTGTTTAACCGTTCTAATGGTTTTTTGGTAGAGTCTTTTTTTTTTTAACGTAAGATCATGTTGTCAGTTCTAATAGTTTTTTGGTACAGTATTTATATTTTTTTAACATAAGATCATGTTGTCTGAAAACGAGGATAATTTGACCTCTTCCTGTCCAGTGTGGATGCCCTTGATTTCCTTCTCCAGCTTAATTTATCTGGCTAGAATACAAGCACCACGTTGGAATAAAAAAGGGGAAAGTGAGCATCTTTGCCTTGTTTCATATCTTAACAGAAAGGCTTTCCATTTTTCCTATCCAGTATATTGTTAGCTGTAAGCTTGTCATATAGAGCCTTTATTGTTTTGAAGTATGTTCCTCCTATACCCAGTTAGTTGTGTTTTTATCATGAAGGGATATGAATTTTATTAAATGCTTTTCAGCGTCGTTGAAGTGATTATGTTTTTCTTCCTTTGATTCTGTTGATAGAATGTATCACTTTTTATGTATACATTAAGGTATGTTTGCATCCCTTGGGTGAATCCCACATAATCATAATCACTGTGAATATTCTTTTTAATGTGTTGTTGAATTCAGTTTGTTAGTATTTGGTTGAGGATTTTCTCATCTACATTCATCATGGATATTGGCCTGATGTTTTCTTTTTTGTTGTTGTATCCTTGTCTAGTTTTGGTATCAGGGTAATATTGGCCTTGTAGAATGAGTTTAGAAGTATTTCCTTCACTTCCATTCACTTCAGTTTTTTTGAATAGTTTGAGAAGAATTAGTGTTAGTTCTTATTTAAATGTAAGGTAGGATTCAGCAGTGAAGCCATCGAGTCCTGAGCTGGTTTTTTGTTTGTTTGTTCATTTGTTTGTTTGTTTTTTATGGGAGATTTCTAATGACAGCTTCGACCTGATTCCTCATTATTGTTCTGTTTAGATTTTCTATGTCCTCATGCTTCAATCTTGATAGGTCTTATGTGTCCAGGAATTTTTTCGTTACTTCCAGGTTTCTCAGTTTGTTGGTATATAGTTGTTTCAAATAGTCTCTAATGATTCTTTGTGTTTCTGTGGGATCAGTTGTTATGTCTTTTTCAAATATGATTTTGTGTTTATTTGGGTCTTCTGTTTTTGTGTAGTTAGTCTAGGTAAAAGTTTGTCAATTTCATTTTTTTTTCCAAAAACCGACTTTTATTTTGTTGATCCTTTGTATTATTATTTTAGTCTCAATTTCATTTACTTCTGCTCTGGTATTATTTCTTTCCTTCTACTAATTTTTGAATTTGGTTTGTTCATGCTTTTCTAGTTCCCTGAGGTGCATTTTCAGGTTGTTTATTTGAAGTCTGTTTTTTTCATGTAGGCATTTATTGCTATAAACTTTCATCTTAGTACTGTTTTTGCTGTATTTCATAGGGTTTTGTGTATTGTATTTCCATTTTTGTTTCTTTTAAGAAATTTTAAAAATTGCTTCTCAACTTCTTCTTTGATCCATTGGTTGTTTAGGGGTGTGTAGCTTAATTTTTATATACTTGTATAGTTTTCAAAGTTCTTCTACTTATTGATTTCTAGTTTTATTTCATTGTGATCAGAAAAGATACTTGATGTGATCTTTGACTTTCTAAAATTTGTTAAAACTTGTTTTGCCACCGAATATATGATGTATCCTGGACAGTGTTCCATGTGCTGATGAGAAGAATGTGTATTCTGCAGATGTTTGATGAAATGTTCTGCAAATGTCACTTAGGTCAATTTGGTCCAGGGTACAGTTTGACTGTAATGTTTCTTTGTTGTCTTTCTTACAGGATGATCTTTCCATTGCTGAAAGTGGGGTGTTGGAAGTCCCCTACTGTTACTGTACTGCAGTGTATCTGTCCCGTTAGATGTATTAATATTTGCTTTATATATTAGGGTGCTCTTTTGGTGGGAGCATACATATTTACTATGTTATATCCTCTTGCTGAATTGATTCCTTTGTCATTACATAATGATCCTTCTGTCTCTTTGTACTTCTTTTGTATTAAAGTCTATTTTATCTGATAGGAGTATAGCCTCTCCTACTCTTTTTTAATCTTCATTGCATGGAATATCTTTTCCATTTCTTCCTTGTCAGTCTATTTGTGTCCTTTTAGGTAAATTCAGTTTCTTATAGGCAGCATAAAGTAGTTTTTTTAAAAAACCCATCCAGCCATTCTGAGTTTTTTTGTTTTGTTTTGTTTTTTGAGATGGAGTCTCCCTCTGTCACCCCGGCTGGAGTGCAGTGGCACGATCTCAGCTCACTGCAACCTCTGCCTCCTGGGTTCCAGTGCTTCTCCTGCCTCAGCTTCCCTAGGACCTGGGACTACAGTCCCATGCCACCACACCTGGCTAATTTTTGTATTTTTAGTAGAGACAAGGTTCCACCATGTTGACCAGGCTGGTCTTGAACTCCTGACCTCAGGTGATCCACCCACCTTGGCCTCCCAAAGTGCTGAGATTACAAGCCTGAGCCACCACACCCAGCCCACTCTAGGTCTTTTAGTTGGAAAACTTAACTCATTTACATCTAACATAATTATTGATAGGTAAGGACTTACTCCTGCCATTTTTTACTTTTTCTATTTTTTTCATAACTCCTCTCTTTTCTTCTTTCTTTCTTACTATTTTCCTTTGTGGTTAAGCAATTTTCTTTGGTAGTATGTTTTAATTCCTTGATTTTTATTTTTAGTTGATATACTATAGGTGTTTGACCATAGCTTTTTAATGGCTGAGACAGTTGGTACTGAGAGCAGTTCTCACATGGATCACATTCTGGCCAGGGGGCAACAAGGACTTAATTCCTGGTGGTTAAGTGTGAAGAAAGAGAGCGATGGTCTCAGTTCTGCCAAGAATAAATTTCTTGTGCAGCATGAAACAGAAGATCTTCACAGCAGTGCTCAATGAATCTTCTCAAGCTTAAACTTAAACTATGCTAAAAATCAGGTCTGAGATCTGACTGTGAGAGTAGCAGAGACTGAGCATGAGGTTGTCAGGATGACTTGTCAGGTGGAGGTTTGCCATACTCTGCCAGTCTGGTGGGATACTGGTATAGCTAAGGCCCCAGCTTGAAAACGACACATCAAGAGATTGGGGTACACCGTTAATTACCTACTGCTGAGTAGCAGGTGGCTTAAAACAGGAACAATTTATTACTTTGTTTCATTGATTTTGGGGGTATAAGGAACTGGTCTCCAGCCAACAGCTAGAGAGCAACTGAAGCCAGTCAACAGCCATATGAGGGAGTTTGGAAGAAAATCCTCCCCAAATTGAGCTTTCAGATGAACTGCAGCACCCACCCAACATCTTGATTACAACCTCAGGAGAGACATTGAGCCAGAGCTCTTCATGTAAACTATTCCTGACCTGTGGGAACGATGAGGTAATAAATATTGGTTGTTTTAAGCTCTCGAGTTCGGGGATAATTTATTTTGTAGTGATAGTAGACTATGAACTAAGAAACTGTTAAATCTAGATTTATGTTTTGTGCAAGGAGCCATGTTTGCTTTTTAGGCCAGGTTAGATATCTAATCATGAGGACCAAGAGCTTTAGGCAAAGAGTGGGCTGGTACGCGGGGAAAGTTTCCTTTTCTGAGTCTTACGATTAGGGTGAGAATTGGTCCAACTCATCCTGTAACCTCATTATGTAAAAGAAGAAAAACATGTGTAAATCATGTTATTCTCGAGAGTAAGTGTAAAAAGTCATATTTCATCTGCAATGGCAGCTCTGAGCCTGAAGCCAATTACCTGCAGAACAAGGTGAACTTCCTGAATGTAGAGAAGATGCTTCTTGAAGCACAGAGACACTTCCAATGCAAAGCTAGATAGTTGAAGGGATGCGGAAAAGTTGTTCTCTCTACTTGAAAAAGTCTTTCGGTTACATTCCCACCCAGACTTATCTGTGTGCATGGAGAACACTTGGACAATCACATGTGTCCTTCTGAAAGAAAAAAAACAGGGTTTAAAGGCCCCATTATTGAGGGGTCATGCACTGGCATCAAGAGCATATTCCAAAACCTTCAGAGTGCTTCTTAAAAGTTTTATTTCAATGCCCTTAAAGGCGATGAGGCCCTGTTGCCCATGACTCCACATAGCCCTGTTGCCTCACACATGGCCTGCCTGGGCATTTGCATCGTGTCCTGACAGCCTTGGAAGCTTTTCCGTTGAAGAGCCCTAATACTGTACACAGTAATTTAGTCCCCATGACTGTACTTACTACTCACAGTGAAATTAAAAAACAAATGATCAAACAAAAACAGAAGAAACAGATATTACAGGCATACACATGTGACCCTTTTACGATATTGGAGGACCAGAAGTTCAGGCATCCAGAATCAGTAGGTTAAACAGAAAGAAGCAAAAGAACAGCAGCCAATATTCCAGTTTGCAAATTAGACACAGCCTTGGCATCATGAAGTAGTAAATAGTAATAAAGAGGTAAAGTGTCCATCAAATAGGACCATAGGTCTAATTTATCATTAAAACAAAATGGAGCCAGTCTAATATCACCAGTGGCAGGACTTTCTCATGCAGCCCTGAAAGAGCAAAACGGCAAAGAACAAATCTAAAAACTTAGAAGTAGACGTTTCTTACACTGGCAAGAAAATAATTTTCTTGGTTTTGCCAGGAGAAAAAAATGAGTAATATTCAAGTACTTCATTACATCTGGCAATTACAGGGACAGTGAACAGACTGTACTGAGAACATGCTTATCCCGTGGCCAATCACACTCCTGTTTCGTTCCTCGCATTAATCTCAATTCATCTTAATCACTTCGAAGTGGGAGAGAGTGGATGATATAATCGGTAGATATTTTTGGAGGGGGCAGTTATAAATGAAGTTTTAAGTATACCTAAGGAACAATGATGCGGTTTTTCACAACCAGTACCTGTCTATTTTAATGCTTATACTTGACTTCTCCAGTAAGAAACAGTTGCTCATAATTTGGGTAAAGTCAAAGACCAGCTCCCGTCTCAACACCAGGTTAAAAAAAAAAAGCCATGGTTAGATTCCCATTTCCAGCAGGACACTAGACCAGACTTTTTTAACAACCATTGCACCAAAAGGAATTTTAAGGGCTGGATTAAAACATTCTTTAAAAATAAATTTAAAACAATTTCTGAGCAGAAAAGAAAATAGGAAATATACACCAGTGGAAAACAAAGTGAAAGCAAGAGTCAAGGACAGTCAGTGAGCACTGATGGCCTGAGCCAAACTTTGGGAACTTTGGGCTTCTGTTATTGTCCTGGCTGAGGAATGAGGGGAGCAGAAGATAAGCTTAGAGCACATCCAAGGTGCAGATAGTAATAGAAAACCCTCTCATAAGGCTGGGTTTCCAAATGCTACATCTCTGGTGTAGAAGCAAATTGGAAATACTCTCCTGAGAAGAGTACAGCAATGAGACTTACCTTCCTCTACTTTGGCAGAGAAAAAGAAATTAATTGTGCAGAGAGGCTGGGCACAGTGGCTCACACCTGGAATCCTAGTAAGCCAAGAAGGGAGAAGCCAAGGAGAGAGGACTGCATGAACCCAAGAGTTTGAGACCAGATTGAGCAATATAGTGAAACCCTATCTCTACAAAAAACTAAAAAACGTAGCTGAGTATGGTGGTGCAAACCTGTGGTCCCAGCTACTTGGGAGGACAAGGCAGAAGGCATGACATAATGAACTTCAGAGGCAAAAGTGTAAAATCTCAAAAGTATACTTACAATAATCTAAAACAAGAGACAATTAGATTGAGAGCTGATATCTTCACAGAAACACTTGAATCTAGGAGTTGAGCCATATCTATAACTTCCTGAAATAAAATTTCATTGTAAAAACATCCATACTTCCCAAAGCAATCTACAGATTCAGTGCAATCCCATTACAATTTCAATATTATTTTTAGCAGAAATAGGGAAAACATCAGACATTCATATGGAAACACAAAAGTCCACAAATAGCCAAAACAATCTTGAACAGAAAGAACAAAGCTGCAGGCAGCACACTCCTCAATTTCAAAATATAAAGCAATTGAGATCAAAGCAGCATGGTCCTAGCATAGACACAAGACACGTCTACCAACAGAACAGGATAGAAAGCCTAGAAATCACCTCACACATATGTGGTCAATTGATTTTTGGCAAAGGTTCAAAGAACACACACTAGAGAAAAAACAGTCTCTTCAATAAATTATGCTGGGAAAACTGGTTATATACACATGGAAAAAAAATTTTTTGATCCTTGTCTCACACCATATACAAAAATGGATTAAAGACTTAAATATAAGACCTGAAACTGGCTGAGGTAACTCAAGCCTGTAATCCCACCATTTTGGGAGGCCGAGGCGGGTGGATCGCCTGAGGTCAGGAGTTTGAGACCAGCCTGGCCAACATGGTAAAACCCTGTCTCTACTAAAAAAGAAAATACAAAGTGGGTGCCTATAATCCCAGCTACTAGGGAGGCTGAGGCATGAGAATTGCTTGAACCGGGAGGCAGAGGTTGCAGTGAACCGAGATCGCACCACTGCACTCCTGCCTGGGCGACAGAGCAAGACTCTGTCTCAAAAAAAAAAAAAAGACCTGAAACTGTAAAACTAATGGAAGAAAATAGTGGGGAAAGCTCTACAATATTGGTCTGGGCAACAAGTTTTTAAAATAAACCTCAAAAGCACAGGCAACAAAAGCAAAAATACACAAATGAGATGGCATCAAACTAAAAATCTTCTGCACGGCAAAGGAAACAAAGTGAAGAGACAGCTTATAGAATGAGAGAAAATGTCTGTAAACCATACACTTGATACGGGATTAATATCCAAAATATTTGAGGTACTCAAAAAACTCAATAGCATGAAAACAAATAAGCCAATTTAAAAATGGGCTATAATCTCAGCTACTCCGGAGGCTGAGGCAGGAGAATCACTTGAACCTGGGAGGCAGAGGTTGCAATGAGCCGAGATCACACCACTGCACTCCAGCCTGGGTGACAGAGTGAGACTCCATCTCAAAAAAAAAAAAAAGAGCATATATGAATGTGTCTAAATCAACAAATAAAAAAATCTAACCCAATAAAAACAGTCAAAGAACTTGAGTCAGCATCTCACAAATGAAATAGCAGTGTTCATAAATATATGGAAAGATATTCCATCAGTTCAGTACTCATTAAAATGTAAATTCAAGTAAAATACTCACCATATTAATAACACCAGACTAATAGCCATACTTTTTACTTCTGTAAATTAATGTTTTAACATCCATCTAAAAGCCTATTCGCTACCTCTAAGCAAATTATGACTTATCCACACATATTTGGAGCCCTTAGATGGCTTTAAGCTGTATATGTCATAGTGAACATGAACTTCACAGGCAGACCACTTTCCAACATAGTCAATCTTAAATCTACTTGCCCTGCCTCATCCTACCCTTTCCAGAGAGATCACAATAAAGCTATGTGCTGTATTCTCTCCAGGAAAATACAAATGTAATAAAACCTTAAAATATTCCCCATGTCTCTCTTGATATGCATTGGGTCTTATCATACCTTACTCAAGAGAATATGACTACTACAAATGAAAAGGTGAAAAACATCTGAGAATTTGGAGCAGAGGGACCCTTGTACAGAGTTGGTGGAGAGTATGAATGTGAACAACTACTTTGGAAAATAATTTGACAATATCTAGTAATGCCAGAGAGGTGTACCCCTTTAACCCAGCAGTTCCAATTCTAAATGGAAAGTTGAAACATACCACAATGGTATTTTTCAATTTTTTAAACTTTTTATTTTATGGCTATGTTTTATACACATGCAATCATATGATGTGTCTTGTATCTATTTAAAATGTAATAAAACTGTCACTTCTGGAAATTACATTCTGAATATTAAGACCTCTTCCCTCACCTAACAGATTAAACCAGGAAAAATCAAGAAAATTGTATTTATGTTAGAAGAGCCCTATATTCTTTCAACTTTATTCGATGTTTTTTACCTATTCACTTTCGTAAAATCAGTCACTTTGGCCATTTTTTCCTATGAAAATGAAAGACTTGTACCACCTTAGACATTGTAATTTAGTGACAATGTGAGTCATTCTTGTTTTTAAACTGACAAGTAAAAAATGCATATATGGTATTTACGGTGTACAACATGTTTTGTTGTGTGTATGCATTGTGGAATGGCTAAATCAAGCTATTTAACATATACATTACCTTACATTCCAGACTTCTGTGGTGAGAGCACTTAAAATCTACTTTCTTAGCAATTTTCAAGTGTCGAATATATTATCATTAACTGGGGTCACTCTGATACACAATAAATCTCTTGAATTTATTCCTCCTGTGTAACTGAAATTCTGTGTTCTTTGACCAACATCTCCCCATTCCCTAAAGTCTCTGGTTATCACCATTCTACTCTTTGTTTCTGAGAGTTAAACCTTTCTAGGCTCCACATGTAAGTATCCATATATAAATAGCCACAGGCTGGGATTGACATGGCCATTAAATTATATCATATATATTTAGTTCTAAATAATCCTACTGGCAGCAATTCATACTCAAATTAGTGCCAGTGTGAGTAGGTGTGGCTAACTACTTTGTCAAACATTAAGATATGGTAGAGAATAGAACTGATGAGGTCACTGTGTTCATGGATATTAAACAAACTTTTACAAGTAATTAATGAAATGATTCAAGGAGGGCAAAGTGCCATGAAAAAGTACAGAGAGTAATAAGAAAGGCTTCTAACGCAGTGGGAGGAGGGTAGCAATCAGCTCAGGGATGATTTCCAGGCAGAAAGATCAGCCTTGTGAGGCTTTGGGGGCAGAGGAAAATGCTGCTGTAATTCAGGAAAACATTTCTATGCAAGCCATTAAAGACGTTTTTTATTTTTTTCTTTAGGCACCTCAATTTTTGAATTATCACTTACTTTTTATAAATCCCATATCTCTGACTTACATGGATTCTTCCCATATGCTTTAAAACAGGGGTCCACAACCCAACCCCTGGACCACTACTGGTCGTGGCCTGTTAGGAACCTATTACGTACGGGCTGCACAGTAGGAGGTGAACTTCAGGGGAGTGAGCATGACCCCTTGAGCTCTGCCTCCTGTCAGATCAGCACCAGCAATTCTCATAGGAGCATGAAACTTACTGTGAACTGCACGTGCAAGGGATCTAGTTTATGAGAATCTAATGCCTGATGATCTGAGGTGGAACAGTTTCATCCCAAAACCATCCCCCCACCTCCGCCCCACCTCCCCTAACCCCATCCATGGAAAAATTGTCTTCTGTGAAACTGGTCCCTACCGTAAAAAATGTTGGGGACTGCTGCTTTAAAATACTTCCTTGAAACAAATTAATACAATAACAAAACAAACATAACAAGTCAAGGTTATGATCATGTCAACAGATACAGAAAAAGCATTTGATAAAATTACCACCCATTCATGATTTTAAAAAAATCTCAGGAAACCTGGAATATAAAGGAATGTTCTCAACATGATAAAAGGCATCTATGAAAAATCTGTTGCTGACATCACACGCAATGGTGAAAGCCTGAGTTCTTTTCCCCTAACATCAGAAACGAGGGAAGGGTGTCCACTTTGACCACTTATATGCAGCCTTGCAGTGGAGTGTCTAGACAGTGCAATGGGGTAAGGAAAAGAAATAAGAGACATACATACTGGAAAGGAAAAAATAACTGTTCACAGACAAATTAGTCATCTTTATAAAAAATTCTGAAGAATATGCAATCTAATAAGTGCATTTATGAAGGTCACAAGATACAAGGTCAATATAAAAAATTAATTTTATTTCTATACACTAGCAACAAACAATTGGACATTGAAACTATAGATAATACAACTTAAAGCATTCGAAGATTAACAAAATATATTAAAGCATACAGTAAAAACTACAAACCATTGCTAGGAGGAAAGAAGAATTAAAGATATGGTGAGATACACTGTGTTCAAAGATTGGAATACTCAACATTGTTAAGATATCATTTTCTTCAAATTTACCTCTAGATTCAGTACAATCTCAAAACCTAGTGGACTATTTTTGTAGAAAATTGGAAATGTGTTCTAAAACTTATGCGAAAATGCAGAGAATCTAGAATAACCAAAATAATTTAGAAAAATAGCAAATTTAGAAGTTTCACATTACCATGTTTCAAGTGTTCCTGTAAACCTACAGGAATCAATACAGTGTAGTGTTGGCATATGTATAGACACATAGATCAATGAAACTAATAGGAACAAATATGCCCACAAATATGCCCACAATTTTCTTTGTAAAATGTCAGTGTAATTCAACAGAGAACAGACATCCTTCTCAACAAAGGGTGCTGGAAAAATTATCCGGCCAGGTGCAGTGGCTCATGCCTGTAATCCTAGCACTTTGGGAGGCTGAGGCGGGCAGATCACTTGAGGTCAGGAGTTCGAAACCAGCCTGGCCAACATGGTGAGACCCCATCTCTACTAAAAATACAAAAAAATTATCTGGGCATAGTGGCAGACACCTATAATCCCAGCTACTTGGGAGGCTGAGGCAGGAGAATCGCTTGAACCTGAGAGGCAGAGGTTGCAGTGAGCCAAGATCACACTACTGCGCTCCAGCCTGGGCAACAGAGTGAGACTCCATCTCAAAAACAAATAAATAAATATAAATAAATAAGTAGCCCATCAACCAAACAACCTTTTTTCTTATATTCTATCCTCAAACTATATACAAAAATTGAGTCAAAACATTGCATAGACCTAAGTATAAGAGCCAACCCATAAACTTCTAGAAGAAAGCGATAGAATAAATTGGATAGATGTATGAATATGTGGATAGATATAAAATAAGATTCAAAAACTGCAAGCCATAAACAAATTGATAGACTATATCAAATATTTTAGTGAAAGTATCTGTTGAACATTAGAGTGTGAGAGAAAGTGAATATACAAACAGAAAATGTCCAGATCATATATAAAAATAGAATTTTGACTCATAACCTACACTAACCTGGCCCGGTAACCAACTACTATTGACAATTAAAATAAGGAACCAACCCAAATGCCCATCAAGAATAGACTGAATAAAGAAAATGTGCTACATATACACCACGGAATATTATGCAGCCATAAAAAGGAATGAGATCATGTCCTTTGCAGGGACATGGATGAAGCTGGAAGCCATCATCCTCAGCAAACTAACACAGGAACGGAAAATCAAATACTGCATGTTCTCAGTCACACTTGGGAGTTGAACAACGAGAACACATGGACACAGGGAGGGGAACATCACACACCAGAGCCTCTCAAGGGCTACGGGGTGAGGGGAGGGAGAGCAGGACAAATGACTAACGCGTGCGGGGCTTAAAACCTAGATGACAGGTAGATAGGAGCGGCAAACCACCATGGCACACATATATCCATGTAACAAAACTGCACGTTCTGTACATGTAACCCAGAACTTAAAAATTAAAAAAAAAAATACAAAGAAGCTAATTTTACAAGTTGGAAAGAAAACAAAACCAGAAGCCAGGCTGCTGTAAGTCAGGCTTACAGAAGACCAAATTGCTATCTCTAGTGACAATCCAGGATGCCAAACTAATAACTAATAATATATTCTGTAACATTTGGCCCAGAATGGCCAGGACTAGATTCATAACTGACAGCCTCCCTAATTTTTGTCCCCACTTCCAGCTTTGGACAAATCAGAGAAAGCCAAACATAATAAATTGCACAGGATGCCCCATTTCTACTTAGCCCACCTGCAGCTTTCCCACACCAACGGGCTTCATACAAGACATACTGGTGCCTTCCCTCTTCCCACTGTAAAGCTTTCCCACTCCTCTGCCTGCCTTTGGCCTCTGACAAAATGCAAGTGACGGTGGCTGACTCCCTTCCAAGCTTGGAATAAAGAGCCTCTGCCCGTTCCAGTTTTGGCGATCTTTCTTTATTTCCACATATATTATTTCCATTTTACAGGGGAAAAAACGCCCAGAAATTGTAAAAATCACCCATGTTTCTGGGAAAGCCTAGGTGTTTTCATCTCTTTGCTTTGTACCTGGTATATATTTGTCTAGAAGTGAAACTCTTAGTACAAAGAGATTCTCTATAAATTTTGTTTGAACGGCTGATCCTAGAACACATAACAGGTGTGCTGTTCTTTTTTCATTACATTGTAGGTCTATTTAATTTTGTATTAGGTTGTTGCCGAAGTTAATCGCAGTTTTGCCAGTTACTTTGACACCAACCGAATATATTAATCAGGTTCTTGCAAAAGCCATTACTCCATGTCTTAGTTTCCTTGTTTCAAGCTCATGTCTGTTTGCTTCAAATTATGTTTCTTCTTGTTCGTTCATTTTTGCTTCTACCTCAGTAAAAGCCACAGCAATATCTCTTTGCTACCTGCATCACTTGGGAAATGTGTTTACCTGTCTAGCTGTAACAAATTAAGAACAAATCGCCTCTGCTTTTGTCATTTGGTTGGTCTTTGTTTAGTTCTACAGGTGTAAGGTAGTGTAGCCTTGGTTCCTCTCTATCCGAGTATAATGACAGAAAAGATGGAAAACATATTCTTCTCACAAAATACCATGAAGCTTTGGCCTCAAAAATTTCCATTGCATCAACAAAATCAGAAGAGTTAGTGGCAACAAGGTGTTTAGATAAATGCATGATTACCTGGGACTGTAGGATTGCTGAGGAATGAAGTGGTAACCAGTGGCAGCACTGCTGAAGAGCAGGGAAAATTCTTGGTAACATTATTAGATACCCCTAGGGATTTCCATAAATACTTGTTAGAGTTCTTTCCAGGCATAGGAATATTAGAGGGTAGAGATAAGAGCTGAGAAATGTTCAGTGTTGTTAAAGTGACCACATTTTCAACTTGGAGACATTTGGGTTCTGATTGTAAAATAAATGTTTGTAAATGGAATTTTCCCTATTAAGCAATAAATACATTCAGAATTGTTTTATTTGATTTTTATATTGTTCTCTCTTTCCCTTTTCCTACAGTAGGCACCTTTCCTCCTATTTCTTCCAATAACCCCATTCCCCATTATCTCTTGGAATGGTGGAACCTGGTAGTTAATTTTTTTAAGTGAACCTCTTGTTCAAGCATAACATACACAAAAGTACTCCAGTCACAGGTATAAAGTTTGATACATTTTAAGAAAATGAGCATGTCATCAGAACTCTGATATCAAGAGAGTACATCACCAACACCCCAGAAACTTTTTCTGTGCCTCTTTCCAGTCAGTAGCCACCATCCTCAGTATAATCATGATTTGTATGGTTTTCACCTATCTGTAAATGGAATTGAGTGATACGTACAGTTTGGTGTCTAGCTTCTTTTTCACAACTTTGTGTTGTGCACAATTGTAATTTGTTCATTCTCTTTGCTATATAATATTCTGTTGAACAAATATGCCACATTTTAATTATCCCCTTGCTGTTAATGTGCATGTGGATTGTTTCCAGTTTGGATCAATTATAAACAGTGCTGCTATGAATATTCTTTTGGGGTTTTTTCTGAGATGGAGTTTCGCTCTTGCTGCCCTGGCTAGAGTGCAATGGCACTATCTCGACTTACCACAACCTCCACCTCCCGAGTTCAAGCAATTCTCCTGCCTCAGCCTCCCAAGTGGCTGGGATTACAGGCATGCACCACCACGCCCCAATAATTTTGTATTTTTAGTAGAAACAGGGTTTCTCCATGTTGGTCAGGTTGGTCTCGAACTCCCGACCTCAGGTGATCCACCCGCCACAGCCTCCCAAAGTGCTTGGATTACAGGTGCGAGCCACCGCGTCAGGCCGAATATTCTTGTATGTGTCTATTGGTTGACACATGCCATGTATCCAAGAGTAGAAATGCTGTGGCATAGAGTGGGAGACAGATATTCAGCTTAGTAGATCCTACCAAGATGTTTTCCAAAGTGATTATACAGTTTTCACCAGCAGTGTATGAAGGTTGCATGGCTCCCCTTTCCCACTAATTCTTTTATTTAAATTTTACTTTTAAATTTATTGAAAATACTTAAGGTATACAACATGTTTTGATAAACATAAACATAGTGAAATGATTCCTATGTTTATGATTACTAGTTCTTTAAACCTCTCTTAGGAAATTTTCAGTGTACAATACAACATTAACTATAATTATTGGTTTTAAATTTTTGTTTATTTTTTCGAGACAAGGTCTCACTCTGTCACCCAGGCAGGAGTGCAGTGACACCATCACAGCTCACTGCAGCCTCAAATTCATGGGCTCAGCCTTTTGAGCAGCTAGGACCACAGGTGAACACCACTACACCCAACTAATTTTTTTAAAGTTTTTATTTTAGAGATGGAGTCTTACTCTGTTGTCCAGGCTGGTCTTGAACTCCTGACCTCAAGTGATTCTCTTGCCTCAGCCTCCCAAAGGGCTGGGATTACATGTGTGAGCCACCGTACCTGGCTGTAATTATCATACTATACATTAGATCTCATCCAATAATAACTGTAGGATTGTACCCTTTGACCTACATGTTGCTATTTTTCTCCCCTCCCTTCCCTTGTTAAACGAAATTTTACCTGTTCCTGTGTATTTGAATATTTTTTAGATTGTGCTTATGAAATCATGTGGTATTTTTCTGTGTCTAGCTTATTTAAATTTAGCATAATGACCTCAAGTTTCATCTATGTGGTTGCAAATGGCAGTATCTGCTTCTTTTTTAAGGCTGACTAATATTCCATTGTATGTGTATATATATGTATATATACACATATATATACATATATATACACATATATACACATATATATACATATATGTATATATGTGTATATATATATATATATATATATATACACCACAATTCCTTTGTCCATTAATCTGTCATTTGATAGGGCTATTGTGAATAATGCTACAATAAACACAAGAGCACAGATATTAGTACAAGGGGCTAAATTCATTTCCTGTGGGTATATAACCAACAGACAGATTGTTGAATCATATGATAGTTCTATTTCTATTTCTTTGACAAACCTCCATACTGTTTCCTATAATGGCTGAAGTAATTTACATTCCTGCCAACATTGTATAAACGTTCCCTTTTCTCTACATCATGAAGAACACTTGTTCTCTCTTGCCTTTTTGAAAATAGTCATTCTAACAGGTGTGAGTGGTTAGCTCACTGTGGTTTTAATTTATATTTCCCTGATGACTAATGATGTGGAGCATTTGTTCATAAGGTTATTAGGCATTTGTGTGTGTTCTTTGGGAAAATGTCCATTCAGGTCATTTTATAATCTTTTTTTTTTTTTTTTGCTATTGAATTGTATGAATTGCTCTTTTACTTTGGATATTAACCCCTTATCAAATGAATGGTTTGCAAATATTCTCTTCCAGTCTACACATTGCCTTTCCATTTTGTTGATTGTTTTCTTTGCTGTGCAGGTGCTTTTTAGTTTGATGTAATTCCATTTATTTATTCTCACTTTTGTTTCCTGAGTTTTTGGAGTGATATCCAAAAAATCATTACTAGGCCAACATCAAGGAGGTTTTCTCTTATGTTTTCTTCTAGAAGTTTTACAATTTCTGGTTTTATGCATGATCTTTTATCCACTGAGAGCTGACTTTGGTGTATCTATGTGAGATAAGCATTCACTTTCATTATTTTGCCTGTGGATATCCAATTTATCTAACAATATTTGTTTAAGTAGCTATGCTTTCCTCATTGTATCTTCTTAGATGCAAGTCAAAAATTAGCTGACCATATATGTTTGGGTTTATTTCTGAGCTCTCTATTCTGTTCCGTTACTGTATGAGTCTGTTTTTATTCCAATACCATACAGTTTTGATTAGTATAATTTTGTAATATAATTTGAAATCTGGAAGTGTGATGCCTACAACTTTGTTCTACTTTCTCAAGATTACTTTGGCTATTTGGGGCATTTTGTGGTTTCAAGTGAATTTTTGAATTTTTAAAAATTTATGTGAAGAATAGAATTAGAATTTTGATAAGGATTGAATTAATATATGCTTTGCCATAGTATGCCTATTTAAAAAATATTAATTCCTCTCCACAAACATGGGACCTATTTCCATTTATTTGTGTCTTCTGTAATTTCATATATCAATGTTTTATACTTTTCAGTGTATATTTCTTTTTTTAGTTAAATTTCTTTATTATTTTATTCTTTTCTGTTGATATGTAACAACTGTACATATGTATAGGGTACATGTGACATTTTGTTACATGCATAGAATGTGTATTAATCAAGTCAGTATAATCTGCACATCCATCCCCTCAAACATTTAGCACTTCTTTGTATTGAGAACATTCTACATCTCGTCTAGCTATTTTGAAATACACAATAAATTATTGTTTACTATAGTCACGCTACTGTGCTATAGAACACTAAAAATTATTTCATCTGTCTAACTGTATTTTTGTACCCATTAGCCACCTTCTCTACATCCCCACCTCCTCCATGCCCTTCCCAGCCCTGGTAAACCACCATTCCACTCTCTACCTCCATGAAGTCCCCTTTTTTGTAACCACATTTGAGAACATGTAATATTTGTCTTTCTGCGCCTGGCTTATTTTACTCAACATGATGTCCTCCTGTTCTATCCATGCTGCTCCAAACAAGAGGATTTCGTTTTTTTCTCATGGTTGTGTAATACTCCATTGTGCATATATACCACCTTTTATTTATCCATTCATCCGTGGATGGACACTTATGTTGAAGCAATATCTTGGCTATTGTGAACAGTGCTGCAGTAAACATGAGAGTACACATACCGCTTCAGTAACTAATTTCGTTTCTTCTAGATATATACCCAGAAGTAGGATTACTGGAGCATGTGGTAGTCCTATTCTTGGTTTTTGAAGGAACCTCCATACTATTTTCCATAGTGGATCTACTAATCTACATTCCCACCACAGTGTATTAGCATTTCCCTTTCTCCACATCCTTAACAGCATTTGTTATTTTTTGTTTTTTTATTTTTCATAATAGTCATTTTAACTGGTGTGAGATAACTCATTGTGGTTTTGATTTGCATTTCCTTGATGATTAGCAATGTTCAGCATTCTTCTTTTGTTCCTTTCTGTTTTTGTTTTTTTTTCTTTTCCTTTTTCTTTTTTCTTTTTAGTAGAGTTTCACTCTGTTACCCAGGCTGGAGTGCAGTGACATGATCATAGCTCATTGCAACCTCAAACTCCTAGGCTCCTCAGCATCCTGAGTAGTTGGGACTACAGGCATGTGCCAAGATGCCTAGCTAATTCTTTAATTTTTTTTTTTTTTTTTTTTTTAGTAGAGATGCAGATCTTGCTAGTTTGCCCAGGCCAGTCTTGAACTCCTGGCCTCAAGTGATCCTCTCACCTTGGCCTTCAAAAGCACTGGGATTGCAGGAGTGAGCCACCATGTTTGGTCAAGCATTTTTTTTACATACCTGTAGGCCATTCATATGTCTTCTTTCGAGAAATGTCTGTTCAGATCATTTGCTCATTTTTAAAATAAGATCATTTGTAGGTTTTTTGCTATTGAGTTGTTTGAGCTCGTTATATATTTTGGCTATTAATCTCTTGTCAAATGTATAGTTTGCAAATATTTTCCCCTATCCTGTGGGTTGTCTCTTCAGTTTGCTGATTGTTTCCTTGATTTGCAGAAGCCATTTAGTGTGATATAATCCCATTTGTTATTTTTGCTTTGGTTGCCTGTATTTTTGAATTTACCCAAAAAAATCTTTGTACAGACCAGTGTACTAAAGCATTTCTCCTATAGTTTCTTCTAGTAGCTTCATAGTGTCAGTTCTTACACTTAAGTCTTTAATCCATTTTGATTTAATTTTGTAATTAAAATTAAATCAAAAAATTAAATTACTCTGGGTTCTTTTCTCAGCATAAAAATGTAGAGATTTTCCCAGCACCATTTATTGAAGAGACTGTTCTTTCCCCAATGTATGTTCTTAATACCTTTGTCAAAAATAAATTGGCTGTAAATGCCTAGGGTTATTTCTGGATTCTGTATTCTATTCCATTGGTCTATGTGTCTGTTTTAATGCCAGTACCATGCTATTATGGTTATTAAAGCTTTATAATACATTTTGAAGTGAGATAGTGTGATGCCTCTAGCTTTGTTCTTTTTGCTCAAAATTGCTTTGGCTGTTCAGGGTCTTTAATAGGTCTCTACAAATTTTAGAATCTATTTCTATTTCTGTGAAGAATGTCATTAGAATTTTGATAGGGATTGCATCTAACCTGCAGCTCACTTTGGATAATACATACATTTTAACAACATTAATTTTTCTAATCAATGAGCATGGAATATCTTTTTATTTCCTGTGTCCTCTTCAATGTATTTCATCAATATTTTATAGTTTTCAATGAGAGATGTTTCATTTTAAGTTAAATTTGTGGCTAGGTTTTTGTTTTTGTGTAATTATTATAAATGGAATAGCTTCCTTGATTTCTTTTTCAGGTTGTTCGCTATTTGCATCTAGAAATGCTAATAATTTTTGTATGTTTATTTTGTATCCTGCAACTTTAGTGAATTCATTTATCAGTTCAAACCATTTTTTCGTAGAGTGTTTGGCTTTTTCTAAATATAAGATCACGTCATTTGCAAAGAAGAATAATTTGAATTCTTTCCAGTTTGGATGCTCTTTATTTCTTTCTCTTGTCTAATTGCTCTGACTGAAACTTCCAGTATTACATTGAATAAAAGTGCTGAAAATGGGCATTCTTGTCTTTTCTAATTGTGGAGGAAAAGCTTTCAATTTTTCCCTGTTCAGTATGATGTTAGCTGTGTATTTGTCATATATATATTTTCTATTGTTTTAAGCTTTGTTCCTTCCATAACCAATTTGCTGAGAGTTTTTATCACTAAGGGATGTTGAATTTTATGCAATGCTTTCCCAGCATCTATTGAAATAATCATATGATTTCTCTTGATTCTGTTAATGTGATGTATCACATTTATTGATTTGCATATATTAACCCATCTTTGCATCTCTAGGAGGAATCCCACTTGATTATGGTGATGATGTTTTACATGTGTTGTTGAATTCAGTTTGCTAGTATCTTGTAGAAAATCTTTTTCGTCTGTGTTCATCAGGAATATTGGCCTGTAGTTTTCTTTTTTCTCTGTGTCCTTTTCTGATTTTGGTTTCAGGGTAATACTGGCCTCATAGAATTAATTTAGATTTCCTTCTCTTCATTTTTTTCTGAAGAGTTAGAGTAAAACTGGTATTAGTTCTTCTTTAAATGTTTGGTAGATTTAGCGTGAAGCCATTAAGTCCTGGGCTTTTCTTTGATGTGGAATTTTTTTATTACGCTTGATCTCATAACTCATTATTAATCTGTTGAGGTCTTCTATTGCTTCATGGTTCAATTTGATAGGTTGTAAGTGTCCAGAAATGTATCCATCTCTTCCAGGTTTTGAAATTTGTTGGCATATACTTGTTCATAATACTTTACAATAATGCATTGTATTTCTGTCGCATCAATTGTAATTTTTTTAATCCATATGAAGGTTTGTTGATTTTATCTTTTCAAAAATCCAACTTTTCATTTAGTTGACCTTTGTACTGTTTTTTTAGTCTCTATTTAATTTTTCTACTCTGGTATTTATTATTCCTTTCCTTCTACTATTTTGGGTTTAGTTTATTCTTGCTTTCCTAGTTTCTTAAAGTACATTATTAGGCTGTTTATAGAAAACCTTTCTACCTTTTTGATAGGCATGTATTACTATAAACTTTGTCTTACTACTGCTTTTGCTGTATCCCACAAGTTTTGATATGATGTGCTTCCATTTTCATTTGATTCACAAAATGTTTAATTTTCATTCTTAATTTATTCATTGACCTATTGGATGTTTAGGAGCATGCTGTTTAATTTTTATGTATTCGTACGCTTTCCGAAATCCCTCTTGTTATTGATTCCCAGTTTTATTTCATGGTGGTTAGAAAAGATACTTGATATGAATTTGACTTCAAAAATTTGTTGACATCATTGTGTGGCCTAACATACAGTATATCCTGGACAGTGTTCCATGTACTAATGAGAAGATTGTGTATTTTGTAGCAATTGGATAAAGTGTTTTAGAAATGTCAGTTATGTCCTTTTGGTCTAGAATGCAGTTTAACTCCATTGTTTCTTTGTTGATTTTCTGTCTGGATGACTTGTCCATTGTAGAAAGTGGGTTGTTAAAGTTCCCTAATATTGTTTATTGCTGTATACTTCTCCCTTTAGATTTATTTATGTTTATATACTTGGGTACTCCAGTGTTGGGTGCATATATATTATTGTTATATCATCTTGCCATCTTGCTGAATTGATCCCTTTATCATTATGTAATAACCTTTTTTGCCTCATTGCACAATTTTGACTAGAAGTCTCTTTTATCTGATATAAATATAGCTATTCCTGCTCATTTTTGGTTTCCATGGCATGTCTTTTTCCATCTCTTTACTTTCACTTTACATGTGCCTTTATAGGTTACATGAGTTTCTTGTAGACAGCATATAATTGAGTATTTTTAAAAAATCTATTCAACTATTCTACATCTTTTAACTTTTTCCATTTACATGCAATGTTATTATTGCTAGATAAAGACACACTAGTGCCATTTTGTTACTTGTTTTTTGGCTGTTTTAATTATTTGCTTACTTATTTTTTGAAACAGAGTCTCACTCTGTTGCCCAGGCTAGAGTGCAGTGGCACAATCTCAGCTCACTGCAACCTCTGCCTCCCAGGTGATTCTCGTGCCTAAGCCTCCCAAGTAGCTGGGATTACAGGAATGCTCCACCATGCCTGGCTAATTTTTGTATTTTAGTAGAGATAGGGTTTCGCCATGGTGCCCAGACTGGTCTTGAACTCCTGGGCTCAAGTGATCTGCCCACCTTGGCCTCCCAAAGTGCCGTGATTGCAAGCATGAGCCACCACGCCTAGATTTTTGTTTGTTTTTATTTTTTATTTTTTTTTTTGGACAAGGTCTCTGTCTGTCAACAAGTTTGGAATGCATTGGTGTGATCATAGCTAACTGAATCCTTTAACTCCTGGGCTCAAGTGATCCTCCTGCCTCAGCCTCCTGAGTATCTGGGACTGTCGGTACATGCCATCATGCCCAGGTTTGGTTGTTTTTAATTCTGTTCTTCTTCCTTCCCATCTTCCTTTGTGGTTAACTGATTTTCTCTGGGAGTATGTTTTAATTACTCTTTTTTTATTTTTAGTATATCTATGACAAACTTTCATTTTGTGGTTACTATGAGGCTTACAAAAAAATCTTAGAGCTATAACAAGTTACTTTAAACTGATGGAAACTTAACATTCAGCACAAAGAAAGGAAGCCAATAAAAAAAAGTTTAAAACTCTGCACTTTTACTCCATGCCTCCCATATTTTGACTTTTTGTTGCCACAATTTACATCATTTTATATTGCCCATCTCCTGACAAATTGTTGTCATTTTTGGTAGCTTTATCTTTTAGTCTTCATACTAAAGATATTGTGGTTTACACACCACAATTACAGTCTTAGAGTATTATAAATTTGTCTGTGTACTTACTCTTACCAGTGAGTTTTATACGTTCACATATTTTCTTGTTGCATGTTAGCGTCCTTTCCTTTCAGATGAGGAAATCCCTTTAGCGTTTCTTGTAAGACAAGTCTGGTGGTGATGGCTTTAGCTTTTGTTTGTCTTGGGGTTTTATCTCCTCTTCATGTTTGAAGAATAGATTTGCTAAGTATAGTATTTTCAATTGGCAGTTATTTTCCTTATGCCCCAACTTTTACAGCTTCCCCATGAAGGACAGCATCGTAAGCCTCCGGGCTCTAACAGTAGAGGAGACTAGGCATACGTGTTTCTCTCGGTCACAGAACAAAGATGTGCGTTTCCAAAGAGTACACTCTCTGGGTGTAGTGCAGAAAAAAAGGCTGGAATGCACAACCCCCATTTTTTTCTCCAGAAGCGGTTTATTGCACTTTTTTTTTTTTTTTTTTTTTTGACAGAGTCTTACTCTTGCTGCTTAGGCTGGAGTGCAATGGTGCGATCTTGGCTCATAGCAACCTCCCCATCCTGGGTTCAAGCAATTTTCTTGCCTTAGCCTCCTAAGTAGCTGGGATTACAGGCACCCACCACCACACCTGGCTACTTTTTGTATTTTTAGTAGAGACGGGGTTTCACCATGTTGACCAGGCTGGTCCCGAACTTCTGACCTCAGGTGATCCACCCGCCTTGGCCTCCGAAAGTGCTGGGATTACAGGCGTGAGTCACCATACCCAGCCTATTGCACATTTTTTTAAGTGGCTACTTGGCAGCTTCCGTTGAACTTGCATTGGTGAGGTAATGGGGTAGACAAACAGTAACCCTCCAAAAGCCTGAGCTGAAGGATGTCACCTCCTGAGCCTTTCCTCTAGCTCACTCCAGTGATTATTCCAAGTCTACCCATATTTTTTGGAGGTAGTTGGTCCACACACCAACAGCCACAACTTGTATAGTTCTCATAGAAAGGACTGTCTCTTTAATGACCTCTCATAAAAGGGACTGTCTCTTTAGTTCTGGGAGTCAATGGGGCTATGCATTTCTGAGTGGCCTTAGACACTGGAAACAAACAGGCAAATACACAATTGGGCCAACTTCTAGCAGCTATCTCCCCCAGAGTACAACCTAAACACCAGTACAGGCATTTGTCACAGATTCTCTCCTTGGCTTAGTGCAGAGAGAATGGGAGATAAAGGTTCACGCTCAGCTTCACCGTAATGATTGAAGAAACTGAAATACACATCCAACACCCCCACTTTTCCAGCTACATATAAAATGTTTGGATTCTACCTTACTTGTCTTGGGGTCTTGACAGGACATGGCACATTCTGATCTCCAAGGGGCCACCAAAAACAGAGACAACAGTTTGGACAAACACAAGTAAGTAGGGGGCTTCTTAAGATCTCTGACCAAATGAATTGGCGAGATTATTCTCCTTCACTCATTTAGATTTCATCTGAGAAAAGTTAACATTGCATAGTTAGGGCAGAAGTCATCAATCTGGATGCTAAATATTATATACGTCTCCTTCAACATATTCCAGTTTTTTTCCCCTATGTGATATATTTTTCTAAAAAATCAATTGCACTGGGTTCCAGGATACTCCTGTGCAATAAGACTTCCTTGATTCATTTGCACAAAATTGTGCCATTCTCCTTGAGACACATTTTGATCTGGTCAGTGTTTCTTGTCAACATCTACTCCACAGGCATGGTCCTGGTCAGAAAGTGAAAAACGTATTTCTTCCCAAGAGTACAAGAAATGACCTGGCATTGCTGCCAGATAGCAGCAGAGCTGGAAAAGGCCAGTACAGTAAGGAAGACAGCAAGCCATCAAATACTGAAATATATCTTTCATCCTTCCTTCCCACTGAGGCCATGTCTCATTTCTACCTCTTCCTAAGATATCCCCCCACACCAGCATCTCCCAACTGTTAAATTGCTGCATAAAATACCGATGTTACAATGTATCTTGTTCTCTTAACTAAAATTTCTTCATTCTAGTCCCTGCCTTTCTCTTAACCTTATTACAATGATCACACGTCGAAGAGGGAGAATAGTGTAAGATCAAGTCTGCAAGTTAAACTATAGTCCTGATACTGGAATCCACAAACAGAAAATCTGAATTATAGATAAGCAAAGATTCAGATTCTGAAGCACAGAGCACACTCTTAGATCTTGGGCATCTAATATCCTATCAATATTTAATCAAGAAAGAAGCAGGCAGATGACAGGGGTGGGGGGGCAAGCAAGATGGAACAATAACTTTTATTAAATAATGACTTTGTACCAAAAACATTACTGACGTTATTACTTGATCCATATAACAAATAATTTTGGGAGTTTAGTTCCGCCACTAAACTGTAAAAGCATTATTCCCATTTTATGCCTGAGGAGTCAGAGCTACAGATCTAAAAAGTAATTCGCCCAGTGTCCACAGGATTTCAACTCAGATCTACACAAGAAAAGCTCATGTTCATTCTTGTATGGCAAAGTGTGCAAGGAAGTAAAGTAATTTAAGAGACAAGAAAGATGAGAGGAAGAGAGCATCGAGGAAAAATTATGTAGCACCATAATATCCTAAGTCTTCCAAAAAACCACTTTTTTTCAAATTATATTAGCCAACAATGTTTTAATATACTTTATAGACAATAAGTTTTTTTACAATATTTTATTTACTCATCTACCAATAAAACTTTTCTAGGAATTCAACAATAAACCAACATTAAAAGCTTTCTAGCATAAATCACCAATTTCCAAGATAACCACAGGCCATCTTTAAAATACATTTTTTATTATTATTATTATTATTATTTGAAAAGGTTTGTGGTTATGTTTCTTTAAAAAGCTGTTTAATTATATATGATGACATTTTTATAGGTGAAATGATTTGATGTCTAGGATTTTCTTCAAAATAAGGTAAGGGTACAGAAGATACATGATAGGTCGTCAGTTGATAACTGGTGAGCTGGATGACAAATAGACAAGATTGTTTTACTCCTTATTCTAAATAGTAAAAAATCTATCACCATGTTTGGGCACAAGCTTTCTCTGCAAGGAAATATTAAATATATTTTTCAGCACTTTTTCTATTTCTTCCTCACTCAGAGTCTTGAACTCTATTAGATCTGTATTGTCCTTATAATTGAATCTCCTATGGGTGAGGGTGAAGCCCACCAAACAGTGAACCCCATCTGGGGTCTGCAAGGAACAAAATGATTTACTAGTAAACACAGATGATGGAGATGTCTGCAGGTATGTATTCATAGACTCAAAATCTTCAATTGTTCGAGGCTTAAGAGTAAAGGAGTAGATTTTTCGGTATTTGCTGTCTTCTAGGAGATCAGAATGAAGAAATTCTTCATTTGGAATGTACTGTTCCCTTCTGATTTGGTCTAGATACCAGAATCCATTCTCTTCCGTCAAACGGAAGACACAAGGCACCTGAGGCTGATCCTTCCCAGAAATTAACTCCAGAGGCTGCCACATCTGGTATGAGCGTCCAAACCCAGCATCGACAATGTAGTTCCTGCCATCAATGGTCACCTGCAGGAGAAGGTGAATCATGCCAGTGCTGTATTTTTTGGCTGGAGTGCTGTAAACATACCCTCCCAACATCGTGGTCTCAAAACCAATAGTGGTCAGAGCCCAGTACAGAAGATGATTGACCTGGAGACACCATCCACCCCGATTTCTTCTCACAACTTGATCAAAAATGGCCTCTAAGCCTAAGTCCATGGCATCCCCACAATGGATGTTAAGGTTCTCAAAGGGAACAGCTCGGATCTGGTGTTGAAGAATGTCAGTTAATGTTTCCAAGTCCAATTTGTTCCTAGACTTCTTATAGCCAATTCTTTCAAGATATGCTTCAATGTCCATGATCCCCTAAGCAAGGAAAACAAAACGAAAGCAAATCATTTTACTTTTACACTTGGATTTGAGTAGGCTAATTATGGCTATATTTTAAACATGTAAAAATACAATGGTTATAAGTATAATAATTATTTCTAGTGCTTTCATTGTATGAATTCCTTTTACACACATAAGTTCAGTTAATAGTCCCAGAATCCTGTGAGAAATGTATTATGTCTTCTTTCAAGTGTGAGAAGCTGGAAATCAAGATTAAATGATGAGTCAAATGATAAACAGCTTGTTCATGGTTCTCTTGGTGATTAATAAAAGAGAGATTCCAACTGGTATCCTTTAAAATAGGCTTATAAACGTCTTCTGATGTAGGCAGGAGAATCATGCAATAGAGTGTATAGTATCCGTGGTACCTGACCCACTCAATTTCCCTTTTAGCTGAGCCTTATACAAAGTTTCCCGCTCAAAGAACTGTATTGATTCACTCATCCATTGATTGATTAACTCAAGAAATAGTTCACTGAATAGCTATAATGTGTTTCCTACTGTTCTAGTGCTTGCTTACTCTCAAAAATCTTATATTTTAGTGGGAGTTGGAGTGACATATATAGGAAATTGAATACATGGATAAAACATGCAATCTGTTAGATTGTAGTAAGTGCCCTGGGAAAACTAAAGTAAAGAAAGGACCCAGTAAGTACAGAGGGAGAGCTCCAATTTTAAATTAGTTGGTTTAAAAAAAAAAAAAAACACACCAAAAAAAAAACACTCGCTAAGATTTGAAGGATGCCAGAGAATAAGGCCTAAGGATATGCGTGAGGAGGATTGTTCCAAGTAGGAAAACAGAAAATAACAAGGCCTTAAGCTGGAAACTGCCTTGAGCGTTCAAAAAACATTCAGGAAGCAAGGGTAATTGGAGCACATGAGTAAGAAGGAGAGTGGACTGAGATGAGATCTGACAGGCAACTGCAGCCTTGGAGCTAAGACTGGCATTTTGGTTTTTACTGTAAGTGAAATGAGAAATGTAAATGAGAGAGGCCTGAGAGAAGGGTTGTAATTGAGCAATGTTTGCCACAATCAAAGTGATGTTTCTGGATACTGTGTAGAGAACAGGCTGCCCATATTGCGCCTTATGGATAGTCACATGGACTAGGTGGGACCAATTTGAACACATATGCTCTAGGACCAGTGCTTGGCTCATGGATAACATATGATCTAAGTAGATCTGAGACTTTACTGAGGAACTTTTGCTGAAACCTAAGCGTGTACATTCTGCTACAAGGTAGAAGCTGGTGGGGTATTCATTCAAAGCTATTGGTGAGTAGAAGCTGGTGGGGTATTCATTCAAAGCTATTGGTGAGAACCTACTGAAGAACAACACTAACAAAGAGTTCACCAAGTTTACCAAGAGATGAAAAACAACAGAAGGTAGAATGAGGAAAGACCTGAATGAAGCCGAAAGCTATCTTTTAACTTTCAGGTAATGTGAACCAAAAAAAAATAAATGCCCCTTATTTTGTTAAATATTTTAGAAAAGGTTTTTTAAACCTGCCATCATAGAGCCTTAACCTTTTGAGACTATGATTGTAACAGTGCTGTACAGACCTCAGGTATAACTCTTTTGTATGTGGTATGGCCTGAGGATGACCTTGTACAAAGGGACCTGCCCCGAGATGAATGGTGATAAGTGGAGCATCTCTTATTTTCCCTTCTCATAACATTTCTTCTATATTCTCCTATTTTTCCTTTCTGACCCAGCTATCCTCCCCATATTGCCAGTTTCCAACTTTCTCTGTTCTTGGTGTCTACAACATCATTTCTCCAAATCTATTAGATTGCATTTCTTCTCATCCTAACTTCCACCAGCACCCTTTCGTAACATTTGGTCAAGCTCTAAAGTTCTACCACTCAGAGAGAGAACAAGATGTATTTAGTCAGACAATGCCAACCCCTCTCTGCCCCCTCACCTAGAATTTGTACTGAGTATGTAAAGAAGAGAGAGAAGCCGATCTAAAAGGACGAAGGCGGTTTATACATACCTGGATATTTGATTCTTGCTTAGAATATCATTCCTTCTTTTAAGAAATTACTTTATATCTCTTTTATTTGGTTTAACTTGTTTACAAGCATTTGTTTTCCTCTTTTTCTTTTTTTGCCTCTTGTACCCTCTCTGTTCCCCTCCCTCCACCCTTCCCCTCCTTTTCTGTTTTTAAGATAAAGTGTTGATTTGGAATTCAGCAACTGCAAGTCCATTTGAAAGAAGTCAGTTTTGTTAGAGGCCTGGATAGAGCAATATGTTGTAACCAAATCACACGTGAACATTCTGTGGCTGAACATAAGAAATTGTGCATTATTAACGTTGTGCTTCAAGGTGGAATGCTGAAAGCACTTGGAAAGTAGTTGCCAGAGAAGAGCTCACTGAAAACATTATTAGCTTTATATATCCACTTGTAGAATCTCTGTGCAGTGATACATCCCTCCCTTTCATCTTGATCATAAATATAAGACTTAAAGGAGGCAGAGTGAACGTGCTTAGGAAGCCCACTGAGAGCTCTCAGAAAGGCGCTTAATACCTTTCTTAGTAAGTTGAAAGTAGGTTGATCTTCAGTTTTAATCCAGAAGACAGATTGCTGCTTCTTCCTGGCTTGAATTCTAGAAATAAGAGAAAAGACAGTCAGAAATATATAACATGACTTCCTTGAAAACAAAATAATAGTTTTGTAGACCGTAAATTATGAAGATTTCCTAAAAATCACAAAACAGAGGGAATGGACTGCACAGTAAAGTGAACATTTGAGTTGTATAAGTGTGTGGAAACTACAACTATGGAGATGGGTGCAACGCTGATGGGGTACAGCCTTCTGGCTTAAAAACCTGGAAGCTGTGGAAGCCACCAGCAGCGGGGCTTCCACAGCCTCCCGAGGCAACCCACCAGCTGATGAACTGTCATGAGATCAGCAAGGAAGGGTGAACCAAGTTCCATGCCCCCAGTCACTACCATGACATATACCAAACACATCAAAGACCAGGATGTAGTGCTAGCACCTGGTCTTCCTCTAGGTACAGCTATAATTCGGCATGTTGAGGCAGATAAACAAGGTAAGGCCCTTAATGTATGATGCTACTCAAAAGAAACAAGGACCATCTATATACAGAAGATCCGCTATCAGAGCATCTCTTGTCATAGCCACCTCCCCTCACCTCCACTAAAGAAAACTGAGGAGTCTGTGAAAGGAAATTAAATTGTGGGACCCCCGAAACTCATTTAGCCAAAGGGAAAAGTCAAGCTAGTAAGTGGGTCATGCAAACCTGCCTCCCCCTTTTTGGTTCCTGAATAAGATGGCTACAAGATGAAAAGCCACATGCCTCCCCCATATTTTGCCCACAAGTTAACTCCTAGTGAGCTGTTAAAACTTCACCATGACAAACAAATTGGGAGACATTAATATAATAATAAATCATGAGCTTACAACTGCCTTAATTGTCACAGACACAACTATATCTCTGATAAATCCCACCTGATTTAGAAAGCCCATTCCTCAGAGTAATGAAAGAATTAACATGGTGGCTGCGTCTAATAAAATGATCTCACGTTTTAAGTCCAAACCTATACCTTACAATTCCATCGGGTTCAGCTCCCCCGCCGCAAGCTCTAATTGTGTGTGACATGCTCCGTAGGTACCATATGTTTCTTATATGCCCTGGGGCCCCTGTCAATCTTTTGAGCTGTGATCTCCTCAACATCCATAATGCCCATATCTTTTTTTCATCAAAACGTGAACTTTTTTTAGAATTGGGGCCAGGAGACCAAGAATACCGAATTACAAAATGTCCTGACAACGTACCACAATTTAGTACTAGTAGTGTTGAAACATCGTCTTGTGGCCGGGAATATGAAATAGAGACACAGAAGGAAATAATAGAGGAGAAGAGAAAACACTGGAATAAAGAGCAGGAAACGGTAAAACTCCTTTTAGCTTCCCCAGTCTTCCTGTTAACACCAGAAGAGGAACGCTTGCTCAAGGATGTCTCCTCCCACTTACGGTCTCAGTCAATACAGATATAGGGAAAATATTCTCAGCCACTCCAATAAAGGTAGAGATAAATCCAAAGAAACCCCTGCCTAGCCTTAAACAATACACTCTATAGCAGGAAGCCGCAAATGGAATTGCCCCTATTATACAAGACTATCTAAAAAGGGGCTCATTATTCCCTGCACCAGCCCCTGCAACAGCCCTATGTTCCCTGTAAAGAAACAAAGCAGGAGAAAATGGAGATTTGTGCAGGACTTGAGGGCAATAAACAATATTGTAATACCCAGGCACCCAGTAGTCCCCAACCCACATGCCGTTTTATCAGCTATACTCACTACCAGCCAGTATTTCTCAGTTGTGAATCTCTGCGGTGCCTTTTTCAGTATTCCTGTAGATCCAGACAGCCATATTTGTTTGCTTTTACTTGGAAAGAATGGCAATATATGTGGGCTGTCATGCCCCAAGGGTATACAGAAAGTCCCACTTACTTTTCCCAAATACTAAAAGCTGATTTAGTGGATTTAATTTTTCCCCAGGGCTCAACACTCGTTCAGTATGTGGATGACCTTCTCCTTTGTCCAGGCACAGCATCTTCCTCCCAGGAAGATAGTCTACATTTACTCAGCCAGCAAGGGACGCAAAGCGTCTGAAGACAAACTTCAGCTGTGCTTACCGGAAGTTAAGTATTTGGGGCATATTATCTTGGTCAAAGGACTGAGTATTAACCCTGATAATGTGAGAGAAATTTTAGCTTTCCCAATGCCCATCACTAAGAAACAACTTAGAGGATTTCGGGGACTGGCAGGCTGTTGTAGAAACTGGATACCAAATTTCTCCTTTGTGGCTCACCCTCCATATGCATACCTAAAAAATGAACAACCTGATCTCATCATGGGGACTCCAGAGGGAAAACCAGTTATATAACAAATAAAGGAAATTCTCACTAATTCCCCAGACTCACAGCACCCAATCTACAAGTTGCCTTTCTCCCTTTTTGTATGCGAAACTGGAGGTACTGCATCCAGGGTACTGACCCAGAAACATGGTGATCATCAGAGACCGGTAGGCTATTATAGCCAACAGCTGGACCCTGTGGCTCGAGGGCTGCCTCCTTGTGTAAGAGTAATAACAGCATGGCCCTTCTGTACACGTCTGTTGAAGAAATAATTATGAGTTCTTATGAGTTCCCCCTTACCATTTTTGTGCCACATCCTATTGAGACCCTTCTAAATTCTCATCATACCCAGTATCTGTCTGTCAACTGCTTAGCCTCTTACGAAATTTTGCTTTTATCTTCTCCCAATATTACTATTTCCTGCTCTATCATCTTAATCCAGCCACTCTCTTGCCAGGCCCTTCCAACAAGACCCCTCATGACTGTGTTCTGATGACTGACCAACTTCTCACCCCCAGGACAGACCTATAAGCGATGCCACTGGATAATGCTGAGATAGAATGGTATACAGATGGGTCTTATTGAAGATGAGAAAATGGACATTTTAGAGCAGGATATGCTGTGGTTTCCTTACTAGAGGTAACTGAAGCCAGTCCTCTTCCCCATGCCAGATTGGTTCAAGCAGCCAAATTGATTGCCCTGACTCGAGCTTGTCAAGTGGCAAAAGACAAGGCTGCAAACATTTACACTGACAGCCGCTAAGCTTTTGGGGTTGCTCATAACTTTGGGATGCTATGGAAAGAGAGAGGATATTTAACCTACTCAGGGCAACCCATAGAAAATGGGCAGCAAGTATCAGCGCTGTTAGAAGCTACTCTAAAACCAAAACGTTTGGCAATTATAAAAATCCCAGGTCACTCAAAATTAGACACCACAGAAAGTCAGGGTAACCAACTGGCTGAAACCACAGCTAAAAGAGTAGCATCTGAGCCACCAGGTATGTTATGTAAAATGCAGAGTCCTTGCATTTTTCCTCTGCCCCTTTTGTTTATGTCATCTTATGCAAAAAAAAGCACATTCACTGAGCCAAAGGCCATGAATCACTATTTTCCCTACCCAGCTCTTACATGAAAACGGTGCTTCTCGATATCCCATCCTTTCCCCTTTAAATTTGCAGTCCTTAAAATCATCTTCAGAGAAAGGCATAGACCTGTCTCCCAGGCCCACATCCTTAACTTTGGCAAATAAATCTCCTAAAATGATTGAGACTCGTCTCGTCATTTTCCTCAATTGACAAGTCTACACCAACCCCAGCTGGACATCTCACCAGCCACACCAGATTCAAGCAGCAAATAAAAGGTGGAAACAGAGCTATACATACATGAAAATGATGAGAACTAACAAAATCAAAATACTGTGAGATTGGGATTAGAAGAAAAGACATAACATGCAAAAGTTATATACAAAAAAACCACAACCAATTCAAGAAGAAAAATAAACTGAAAAAAAAAATTGTACAGGTATCTGGGGCTATGGACCATGTGAAATAAACTCAATAAAAAACAGCTAAAAATAAAGTGATAAAATAATAGTTTTATGAAAAGAAAGATTTCATACCTTAGAATACTAATTAAGGACAGAAATGGAACTAATTAATCAACAGAATACATAATGATGAACAGAAAGGAACCATATAGATACAATATCGTATCACATTGCTTATGTGGCAGAAAAGCTTGATATTCCTACTAAAGGCTAATGAAATGATAAAGCAATTAAGATAGAATAAAATAGAACGCAGTCAAGGACAAGCCAATGCAAAGACAATTGGTGCTTCCGAAGTGGAGAATGCAAAAAGTGCAATAGAAAAATGTATGGCACTATTCACAATAGCAAAGACAGAATCAACCTGAATACCCATCAATGACAGATTGGATAAAGAAAATGTGGCACTTATACACCATGGAATACTATGCAGCCACGAAAAAGAACAAGATCATGTCTTCACAATAGCAAAGACACAGAATCAACCTAAATGCCCATCAGTGACAGACTGGATAAAGAAAATGTGGTACTTATACACTATGGAATACTATGCAGCCACTAAAAAGAACAAGATCATGTCTTTCATGGAAACATGGATGGAGCGGGAAGCTATTATCCTTAGCAAACTAACATAGGAGCAGGAAATGAAATAATGCATGTTCCTACTTATAAGTGGGAGCTAAATCATGAGAATTAATTAATACAAAGAAGCAAACAGCACACACTGGGGCCTTTCACAGGTTGGAGGGTGGGAGGAGGGAGAGGATCAGGAAAAATTACTAACGGGTAGTAGGCTTAATACCTGGGTGATAAAATCTGTACAACAAACCCCCATGACACAAGTTTACCTATATAACGAACCTGTACATGTACCCCTGGATTTAAAAGTTAAGAAAAATGTATGTAAAGATAAATATTTTCCTGAAATGATGAAGAAATTGAAGCTAAAAAACAAAAGAGAAAATTCTGGGAAAGTTCGATACAACATGTTTGCCACTGGAATATATTTTTGTTAAATTATTAAAAGTCAAAATTAAAGACAACTACTCAAGCCTCTGGCAGAGAAAGAAAATATTTCATGAAAGAGAAAACATCAGGACAGCAAGAGAATGTTACACAAAAATATCCACTGGTGAAGTAATAGAAGTGTATCTTCAAAGTATTGAAGGGAAAGAGTTTGCTCCAAATATTCTGGCTAGTATTTCACTTGATCATAAAGGCAACATGAATATAAAGGTAATATCAAACATAAAAGAGCTTGAGAAATGCAATAACTGAGCTATCCTGATAGTTTCGGTTTCATGGCCAGTGAACAAGTAGATGAATATGAAAACCAAAAAGTAGAGAGGTCACACTAAAGGAGTGTTGGTGAACACTGACTCCTTCCAATACAGAACAAAGAGTAGAAAAGTTATGAGAGTTATGGCTTTTGAACAAGCCATTTTGGCTTATATGGAGATAGAAATATGACGTTAGGGCCGGGCACGGTTGCTCATGCCTGTAATCCCAGCACTTTGGGAAGCCGAGGCGGGCGGATCACGAGGTCAGGAGATCGAGACCATCCTGGCTAACACGGTGAAACCCTGTCTCTACTAAAAATACAAAAAGTTAGCCAGGCACAATGGCAGGTGCCTGTAGTCCCAGCTACTCAGGAGGCTGAGGCAGGAGAATGGCGTGAACCCAGGAAGCGGAGCTTGCAGTGAGCCGAGATAGTGCCACCGCACCCCGGCCTGGGCGAGAGTGAGACTCCATCTCAAAAAAAAAAAAAAAGAAATATGACGTTAAAAATTTGATCTGAAGATCAAGAAAGACCAGAGTCTAGGAGAGTCCAATCCAGTACTGTCAACACTGGAATTGTTAAAAGATAATTTTTTAGGTATAACATTTTTTAAAGTTTATTAGAACAGATAGCAATTCATGAGCCAGGCAGCACCAGACTACAGGTGGCTCAATGCTCTGCTGAGGAAAGGAGAGGGCAGGAGAGAAACTTTTATAAAATGTTTGCAGGAGTGAGACAAAGAAAAGCTATTTGGTTGGTTAGAGTGAAAAGTCCCTAGTTAGAGGTTAGTTGACAGTTTCTGATTGGTGAAGTCTCTAGTTTTCTACTGTTTACTGGTAAACAGTAAAATGAGTGAAAATGAAACCACAGGAGTCACCCAGTCTGATGGCCCGCCAATGAAAAGATTTTTAACAGAACATATTCTGGTTAAATTATTGAAATGTTAAGGCAAGATGTATCTAGGTATAATAAAATAAGGAGAGGTAGCAGTTGAAGGTAATTGGAGAGTGCATTCCCTGTCTAAAGTTTTTTAGACAAAAAACATTGAAAAAAAAATTTATATACAATGACTCAAATGAGACCCCTTAGACCTATCGGGTCTTGGTGCAATGGCTCACGCCTGTCATCCCAGCGCTTTGGGAGGCCGAGGCGAGTGGATCACTTGAGGTCAGGAGTTCGAGACCAGCCTGGCCAACACGGTGAAACCCCCATCTCTAATAAAAAATTAAAAAAAAAAAAAAGCGAGGTGTGGTGGCACATGCCTATAGTCCCAGCTATTTGAGAGGCTAATGCAGGAGAATCACTTGAACCCGGGAGGTGGAGGTTGCAGGGAGCTGAGATCGTGCCACTGCACTCCAGCCTGAGCAATAGAGTGAGACTCTGTCTGAAAAAAAAAAAAACCCTATTGGTTTCCACCGTAGGTATGGAAGGGCATAAAATAGAGCCTGCTCAGGGTACCTAAGAGGGAAGACGGGGCTGGCTGGCAAGGATTGAGGACTGGGGTTAGCACAGAAAGAATACTTTCAATAACTTACCTGGATCCCTTCAGATCTCTTTTACCATCTCACAGTGCCCCTGGCCTGCCTTCTGTGTTCTTCTACTTTCGGACCTGTACCCTAGACTCTCTTTGGAGGACTCCCAAGGGCTCCTGAAGCTGCTTTGCCCTCCTTTGCAGAGAGCAAGAGGTGCCAGGGATTTATGTCCTGGCAGGGCAGTGCTGGATCAATGACTTAGTAGGAGGTCTGGAAAGCCTAGTGCCCTTGCCTTGAGTCTGGACACACTTTGGAGTTGCAGTTCACATCCAGGCTGCAGCTGGGGCTCTCCCAGCACTTCCTTCAGTCACACACACATGGATTCTTGTCTTGGTGTCTGGTTTGGGGGAACCTGACTTAAGTCACTTTTGTGGACATTTTGGAGAGCTGTGTAAAAGAAAGGTAAGAAAGGAGAGTAGAATGAGGCAACTTCTAGAGGGTCCTGAATGTTGAGCAAAATGCTGGTGTTTTTCTGCAGAGTTCATGAATATTGTTTAGTTGAAGGATCAAGATTCAACAGTTGACCAACTATTGTGATTTATCCCTATGTGACTTGGCACTTCAATAATCACATTCTTGGATTGGTACCCCTGGAGAGCAGGTTGATATGCAGAACTCATTGTTCAATTCCAGGTCTCTAGAATCGATGTGTGTTAAATATACAGCAGTGGTTTTCTTTTTCTTTATTGCTAAAGAAACCTGTATTCTTTCTCTTAAAAAAGTTATAAACAAGAGCCCAACATAGAAGAATTAAAAGCAGTTTAACCCAGAGGTAGTCTGCCTATGAGATAGGGCTGTAAGGCCTTAAGGCTACAATCAGCACAAGTACAATTGTGGACTGAGATAAAATCATCTACGCCTGCTGCATAGATTTCTGGCATTAATGATTAGAAGAATTACAAGGAGAGCCAATGAGTGGCTTTTCTTTCTGTGTTTTTTCTTTTCTTTTCTTTTCTTTTCTTTTCCTATTCCTTCTCTTTTCTTTTGCCTCTACCACCATGAAAGAAGGGCATGGAATCCCACTAAATTGACACTACAACCTAGCCCCCTCCTAAGCCAGCTCACTGGGCCTCTGGATGAAAAGGGGTTGCTGGACTAGCCGCACCCAAAGACCATCATTCAACAGTTGTTCTTGTCCAGAAGGCCACTCACTGCTCCCATTTAATGCCGACTGGGGCCAGGCAGGTGGTGGGGGTTACTTGCACCAGGCCAGAAAAGCAAATCTAAAGAAAAACAGCTGCTACTGCTGAAGACAGCAAGGGCCAGACAAAATAAGTCTCTGGGCAGCGTGCAGGTAGAAAGTTGACAGTTAAAAAGTTCCTTTTGAGGAGGAAGGTGGTGTCACCTGTTTTGTGTTTCAAGCATTCAAGAGCAAACAGTATGTCTGATTTTTTGTTTGTTTGTTTCTTAATTAGGAAAGAGCAAACAAGTATACCATTGTAGTGGGCCTCATGTCAGGGCATGGGAGCAGCATCCAGGGTAGAAAGCCTGTTGGGCCCTCAGCTCCTGGGGCTGTCTGTCTAGGCCAGTCTCCTCTCTTCTGTGGAATTCTGCAAGTCCATGTTCAGGGGGTGATGCTCTCGGTCTGACGGTGAAGGAGTTAAATTTTTTTGTCATTCATACCTCCTGGAGACCCTCTCCAGTAAGTGTCCTTCGGCCATAATAAAACTTCGTCCCTAGTGTGGTGGCTCACGCCTGTAATCCCAGCACTTTGGGAGGCCGAGGCAGGTGGATCACTTGAGGTCAGGAGTTCGAGATGAGCCTAGCCAAGACGGTGAAACCCCATCGCTACTAAAAATACAAAAATTAACCCCATCTCTACTAAAAATAGAAAAATTAGCCAGGCATGGTGGCGGGTGCCTGTAATCACAGCTACTCAGGAGGCTGAGGCAGGAGAATCACTTGAACTCAGGAGGAGGAGGATGCACTAAGCTGAGATCACGCCACTGCACTCCAGCCTGGGCAATGGGGCAAGGCTCTGCCTCAAAAAAACAAAAACTTCCCTCTGGAATTCCCATAGGCATTGCAAACAACAGAATTCAATCTTCCTGGACATCCAGGATCATTAGGGGCTTTTTATCAGCTAGTGCAAGAGGAGCAGGAATTATTACGAGCTTGCTGCCTGTAGGATTAACTGGGTCCTTTGGGACACACACCACTGGGGACAGAGGAGGGTGAGCGTCACTGTTACAAGTAACCAAGAGGGAAATCCTGTTGAGAAAGTTGCCTTAAACACATTAGTTATCTTTTAATACACGTATGTAATCCTCACAACAAGTCCTTTAAGTAAGCAGTACTCGTAGCTCCATTTTACTGAAAAAGAAACTGAGTTTTAGGGAAACTAAGTGACTAGGCCAAGTTCTCACAGCTATAAAGTGGCTGTGACTGTAAACCCAACAGTTTGAATCAAGGACCTGTAACTGTCACCACTAAGCTGTGGAGTAGTGACAGCATTAGCTTCCAAGTATGTGCCAGCCACACTTTCTGAGCAACCTTATACTTGAAATGTAGACATCGTGTAGAACCTACTCTCCTGTACTCACAGTTGAGATAGGATTAAACCCCAATTTCAAAGCCCCTTACAGAGTTCCACTTACCAGGTTATTTCAGCCGGCAACCAGGAACTAGACTGAATGCAATCCTCCCACATCCAAGGTCTATGAGGAAGTGCTCTCACTTCCAAAGTCTGCAGGGGAAGTGCTCTCATTGGATGTCCAACTGGCCCCGCCCCCAGAGTCACATTAGGGTTACCCCAGGGGCCCCTGGGAAATGTAGTTGCAGGGACTCAGGTTGCTCCTGTGGACCCCTTATTCATATCTTACCATAAAAAAGGGTGGAGAGTTGTATTGTCCGATTATCCCCATGCCACCGGCTGGGAGGACTGTGCTCTTATATTTCACCTGGTTCCTGCTCTCTGGGAGCCTGACACTAGATGTCCCATGTGTGATGTGGAACGTGAGAGCTTGGAACAGGTCCAGGAAAAGCAGAACTGGTAACCTAGAGGAGGCAAAAGAGGAAGATGGAAGGCTTTAATCACACTCCAAGTTTATGGTATACTTTCTTCATCAGTTCCCATTAGACTTCTTTTAAAAATTTTTCTTCCCTTCATCCATCATCCTCATTCCCACTGGCCTCTCTACCTGAAGGCACTGGGCAATGTGTCTGAAAGAGCCCCATGTGTGTGGTATGAGGGTGATATATGTCATATGGCTTTGTTTATGCTGGTGTTTTTTATTTACATTCATGGTATTGATCTACAACTCTTGCTGTTTCTTATGCATTTTTCTCTATACAACATAATTTTTGTTTCTTTATTGACCCAATATACATGTTTACAGGGTACAATGTGGTGTTCTTATACATACATACATTGTGTAATGATCAAATCATGATAATTAGCACATCTATCACTTCAAACATTTATCATTTCTTTGTTTTGAGAACATTCCACCAGTGAGTGTTTCCTTGTGCTGTGCCTTCGGCACCTACTGTTCTAGAACATGCCTCTGGCGTCCTGCCACGTGAACTCGGGACTCTATGCGAAGGCTTTCTCTTGGCATGTCCTCAGGCAGGCTAGATAGACTTGAAAACTATGGGTCTGGGACCACTATTCAGCCCAGGATGTTGGGAGTTGGAGGCCACATATCTTTGTGCTGTACCTGGTCAGGTGGAATTACCCTTAGGCTTGTATAACACTGCCTCCTGGTGTTGTCCAGTGGAATTATGCTCCCTTTGTTCACAGGTAGCTTGCCAATGATGCACCCTTTATTGATTGTCAAACTGCCCTGGTCTCACTGTCCCGCGACAACTCCTGCACTGGTACGTCCTTAAATCATCTTCCAAATAATCTACCTGAATGCAAATCTTTGTTTTAGGGTCTGGCGGAAGGCCACTTTAGTTAGGTGGTTGTGAAGTGGACTGGAACTTGGATTCCTCCTGCTGAGGTAGCAGATTTCCCTCTGACCCGGGGCGGGGGTCTAAATGCTCCCTCTGTGGCCTCCAGCCTAGAATCAAGGGCCTTGGAGGCTCTGCCCAGTGCTGTGTTCCACTGCAGTGGGGTCAGCACTAGCCTCCAATGCAAAATCCCACACTAACATTCCTTTTACTTCCTAAGGAGGTAGACTCTGTCTTCACACTGTGCCGCCTGGGCTCGTGAGGATATTTGTTGAACTTGATGTCCCTGCAGGGGAATGAGTACTGGAAGGTTCTATTTGGCCACCTTGTTCCACCCTCTATTTTATTCTTTTTGATGCTATTATGATGGATTGTGTTTTCCTGATTTCTTTTTCAGATAGATCATTACTGGTGTAAAGAAATGCAACTGATTTTTGTATGTTGATTCTGTATCCTGCTACTTTACTGGATTTAACAATTTTTATGACGTGTTTTGAGTTTTCTCTATGTAGGATCACGTCATCGGCAAATAGAAAAAATTTTACTTTTTCCTTTTAGGCTTATTTTTTACTTCCTTTTTTTTTGTTTCTGTTTCTGTTTATTTTAAGCCCTGGGGTACATGTGTAGGATGTGCAGGTTTATTACGTAGGTCAATGTGTGCCATGGTGGTTTGCTGCACCTATCAACCTATCATCTAAGTATTAAGCCCATCATGCATTAGCTATTTTTCCTGATGCGCTCCCTCCCCATACCCCCACCCTCCTCACCCCAACGGGCCCCAGTGTGTCTTGCTCCCCTCCCTATGTCCATGTCTTCTCATTGTTCAGCTCACACTTATGAGTCAGAACGTGCAGTGTTTGGTTTTCTGCTCCTTTGTCAGTTTACTGAGGATAATGGCTTTCAGCTTCATCCGTGTCCCTGCAAAGGACATGATCTGATTCCTTTTTATGGCTGCATAGTATTCCATGGTCTATATGTACCACAGTTTCTTTGTTTAGTCTGCCAATGACAGGCATTTGGGTTGATTCCATGTCTTTGCTATTGTGAATAGTGCTTCAATGAACATATACGTGCATGTATCTTTATAATAGAATGATTTATATTCCTTTGGGTATATACCCAGGAATGGGATTGATGGGTCAAATGGTATTTCTGATTCTAGGACTTTGAGGAATTGCCACACCATCTTCCACAATGATTGAACTAACTTACATTCCCACCAACAGTGGAAAAGCATTCCTATCTCTCTGCAGCCTCACTGGCATCTGTTTTTCTTGATGTTTTAATAACCGCCATTCTGACTGGCAAGAGATGGTATCTCACTGTGGTTTTGACTTGCATTTCTCTAATGATCAGTGATGGTGAGCTCATGGATAGGAAGAATCAATATCGTGAAAATGGCCATACTGCCCAAAGTAATTTATAATTTCTATGCTATTCTCATCAAGCTACCACTGACATACTGACATTCTTCAAAGAATTAGAAAAAAAAACTATTTTAAAATTCATATGGAACCAAAACAAGAGCCTGGATAGCTAAGACAATGCTAAGCAAAAAGAACAAAGCTGGAGGCATCCCACTACCCACCTTCAAATCATACTACAAGGTTACAATAACCAAAACAGCGTGGTACTGATACAAAAACGGACACATAGACCAATGTAACAGAATAGAGAAACTCAAAAATAAGACCACACATCTACAATCATCTAATCTTCAACAAACCTGACAAAAACAAGCAATGGTGAAATAATTCCCTATTTAATAAATGGTGCTGGGAGAACTGGCTAGCCATACACAGAAAAATGAAACTAGACCCCTTCCTTAAGCCTTATACAAAAATTAAGTCAAGATGGATTAAAGACTTAAATATAAAACCCAAAACTATAAAAACCCTAGAAGAAAATCTAGGCAACACTATTCAGGAAATAGACATGGGCAAAGATTTCATGATGAAAACATCAAAAGCAATGGCAACAAAAGCAAAAACTGACAAATGGGGTCTAATTAAACAAAAGAGCTATCTAATATCATGAAAATGGCCATACTGCCCAAAGTAATTTATAATTTCTATAATTTCTAATTAAAGCAAAAGAAACTGTCATCAGAGTGAACAAATAACCTACAGAATGGGAGAAAATTTTTGCAATCTATCCATCAAAGGTCTAATATCCAGCGTCTATAAGGAACTTAAACAAGTTTACCAGAAAAAAACAAGCAACCCCATTAAAAAGTGGGCAAAGGACATGAACAGACACTTCTCAAAAGAAGATATTTATGCGGCCAACACACATGAAAAAAGGGCTTGTGTACTTTTTATTTTTTTCTCGACTAATTGCTCTTGCTCATACATACAGTCCTGTATTCAATAGAAATGGCAAGAGTGCGCATCTTTGCCTTGTGAAGATCTTAGAGGAATAGCATTCAGTTTTTCCCACATTAACAGTAAGAAGTTTTTGAGCGGGGGCAAGATGGCTGACTAGATGCAGCCACGTAAAACAGCTGCCACCAAGGGACCGAGATGACTGGTATACTCCTAGAAGATCTTCAAAGGGAAGGCACTGAAAGTGAACAGAGGGAACACACAGAAGGTGGACTGAGAGGGGGAAACCTGGGAACCCTACATGGGTCTGCTGCATACCTGGTGTTGTCCCTGTGCCCCAGCAGCTCCAGGGGAACAGGTGAGTTGAACTGGTATGGAGCAACTCACTTTCACCACGAGTCTCTGGAACTCCAGCAGAAGGAGACCCTTCAGCCACCATAGACACAAGTTGGCAGGGAGAGCTGCTTAGAGAAGAAATAGGAGGCAGCAAACCAGCCGATGTGGAGCCCAGAGGGTTTGGTCCTGGAGCATCTGTAGCAGAGCAGGGCCAGGGATGGCCATCACCCTAGGCTCCACTTGCTCCCATAGGAGCCTTTAGCCCTTGGAGAACTGTCAGTCCTGAACTCTGCAGGGTGGTCTTGCCCATCAAATAGGGCCAGTCCAACCTGAGCACCCCTCAGTCTGCCGGCCTCTCCCAGGGCCCCAGCCTGGCCACACCTGCTTGCAGCGCCCTGGGAGCTACATCATAGCTTCTGCACTGGCACACTATACCTAACCTGCGAGGAGCTCTAGCATGGCGGCCCCCATGCCTACGCACCAGCCTGCATGCACCCTCTCCACACTGCAGCTTCCCTAGGGCCCAGTGCAACTCCTCACATTGCTTTGCTGGCATGTGTCTGAATGGGCAGATTTTGCTTTCCTTGATCCACCAGCAGGCGAGTATGTGTGCACCGTGCCCTGCCACTGCTGTGGCGGGAGTACAGTCTGCCACTCCTCCCTCCGCAAACCATCACTGCAGATGGAGACTTGGCAGGCACAGAGCCAGCCAGCCCTGCCCCCGCCAGTGCCCCACTCTTGTGCTAACACTGCTGAGGGAGTGAAACTAGGCACAGAGAACAGTGGATCCTCACCTGCCCCGAACAACCACTCCTGTTACAGGGCACAGAGAAGGCACACAGACCTGTGTTGTCTGCCAGCACCCTACCCCCAAGCCAATACCACCACCAGTATGACCATGCACACAATTGCAATCAGGCTTCTCCACCAAGCTCCCACCCCCACAGCTGCATTGCCTCCACCCCTATGATGAAGGGAGGCAGGCACTCTGGCACCTGCTAGCACTCTGCCTCAGCTGACAAGCGTGCAACCTACCATGCTGCCACTACCACTGCTGCTGGCACGTGTGAGCAAGAATGGATCTTGCTGTAACCGCACTATGAAATGCTTTGGCCGACACCACCCATCGGAGTGTAGTGACCAATGGTCCGGGAGTACCTCGACCCCCCTCAACACAGTGGATACCTAAACTCAAGGAGCCAGAGGACAAAGTCAGGGATCAAGGCAAGTCCCCCATAGTTAGAGCATACAGTCCAGAAGTTGGGAGCTGAGCATTGGCCCACTAGAATCTTCTAGAAATGAGGTCAGTCACTTCATTCCACTTTACACCGCAATCAAAACTTCATGGTCATCAAATAGGATAAAAGGATTTCTAAGAGTTAAAACAACATCCTCATATCTGTCTTATAACATTCTTCACCAAAATTACATCTTACTTTTTTTATACACTTTGTATGTAGAATTGATTCTCTTATGGCTATTAGTTTTAATTATGTATATTGACTACCATTTTAACTCTTAGAAATACTAATTTCCAGTGAAAAACATGGGAAGTAATTTTGAACTGTCTATATCTGTATTCGTAGATAAAAATCAAAATTTTTAGAAAGATGTTTCCTCAATTTTTTGTATATTAACAGATTGAAATATATTTTGTTCTGTATCATATTAAAAATAAAATGCCAAAGTATATAAACTTAAACTTATGTTTAATAAGTAATGTTTCAGTTTTTAAAGTTACTTAAATGGTTCAGATATTTCATGATTATCTATTACTTAGTTTAACATAACATGATTTTAAGATTTTAAGTTACTGAAAAGAATTTTGAAACTATGACACACTCCTTACTGACTTCCCTACTCATCCTGGGTCCCAAGTACCCATGTACACCCAAGTGAAGGCTGTATACTCTCTGGGGTATATACCCTGGCGTTCGTTGTGTGTGGAGAAAGAATTCAGGACACAGATACATGTGGGTGAGTTAAGGAGTGGAAAGTTTAATAGACAGAAAAAGGATATGGGAGAGCAGCTCTTTGCGAGAGAGAGAGAGAGAGAGAGAAAGACATCCAAAAAGTCAAGGAGGCAGCGGACTGCAGCCAATTTTATAGGCAGGCAGGAGAAAGTGGTGTCTGATTTACAAAGGGCTCACAAATTGGTTAGATCAGGTATGACGTCTACATAGTGCGTGCGGAAGGCTGGTTGCCCCACCCTAATTTTCTTATGCAAGTGGACTTTCCAGTTGATTGGCACCATCTTGTCTGCTCCTTTACAGTACAGGTGACTGGCAGAGAAGGGAAGATGGAGCCACCATCTTTAACGTGTCTAGCCCATATTTCCTGCCAGCATTCACCTGTGCAAGCTCCCAGCCTGCAGGCTGTTCTTTGTTAGAAAACGATTTGGGGCTGCTTTTCACTAAAAAGGAAATCCTTACCTAGGACTCCCATACCCTTACTATCTGCCTAAGTAATTTCTTCTTAACTCCTATATCACAAGGACGGCTATAAAGGGTAGGGCCCATTTGGGTCTTAAATGTACACACCAATTATAGAGCTCACAATGGAGGACAGAGCTGTGAGGATAATGTCTGTCCCTTCCCAGCATAGCCAGGAGGCACAACTGGGCCAGTGAGAACTCCACAAATGTCCCCAGGCCTCACTGTGGCCATTTGTTTAGAGCCTGAAATCTAATGGCTCCAAGACATAACATAAGCTCACAGAAAAGTCAAAGAAGTATCAAAAATGTCACAGAAGCAACATTTGTGACCTTAAAAATCTAGGAGAGATAGCCTAAACTTATCTTACCAGTAGATCTAGGTGAAAATGCCTCAGTTATATTTAACTCTGATGATTCTGAACACATTTCTATTTTATTTTACCAACAACGTAAAAACTAGTTTTATTTGCCCAAAATTACTAAAGACACATGACATAAAAGGCATCTGAGGTCATTTCTATTTTCCTGACATATTTTATTTCAGCATTTACTTTTTCTTTAAGCCAATTAATTAGAGCTCTTTCATATATTTGGGTAGTGAAATGTACATACATACAAGCGTATAAACATACAGACATATGACAGAAGCAGATCTTATAGTGAGAGCTGGAGCCAGCTGGACATCCTGGGTGGAGTGAGGACTTGGAGAACTTTTGTGTCTAGCTAAAGGATTGTAAATGCACCAATCAGCACTCTGTAAAAGCACACCAATCTCGCTCTGTGTCTAGCTAAAGGATTGTAAACGCACCAATCAGTACTCTGTAAAATCGACCAATCAGTACTCTATAAAATGGACCAATCAGCGCCTCTAAAATGGACCAATCAGCAGGACGTGTGTGGGACCAAATAAGGGAATAACAGCCGGTCACCCAAGCCAGCAGTGGCAACCTGCTGGGGTCCCCTTCCACGCTGTGGAAGCTTTGTTCTTTCACTCTTCACAATAAATCTTGCTGCTCCTCACTCTTTGGGTCCTCACTACCTTTGTAAGCTGTAACACTCACCGCCAGGGTCTGCCGCTTCATTCCTGAAGTCAGCGAGACCACGAACCCACCAGGAGGGACAAACAACTCCGGACGCACCACCTTTAATAGCTGTAACGCTCACTGCGAAGGTCTACAGCTTCACTCCTGAAGTCAGCGAGACCATGAACCCACTGGAAGGAAGAAACTCCAGAGGCCACATCTGAACATCTGGAGGAACAAACTCCAGACACACCATCTTTAATAGCTGTAACACTCACCGCAAAGGTCCGCAGCTTCATTCTTGAAGTCAGTGAGACCAAGAACCTACCAGAAGGAATAAATTCCGGACACAATAGCTTTATAAGGGTCTTCATTTGACAGTTTTCAAATAGTTTCCCTTCGCGCTTTAGACGATCAATCTCTTGATTGCCCGTTCAGTTCCCCAAAATAATTGTTAGCTAGGTAACCCTAAATTTGTACTTCCATAGACATGACTCGCAGATTAAAGTTTGTATCTCAAAGGCACAGAACTTAGGTTTAAAACCATTATTTGCTGAGGCAAAGAAGGACACAGGTAAAGGCCCAGTCAAGACAAGCTTGCCAGGAAAAATATCTTACACAAAGATAAGGTTTGTTATGTAAATATTAAGTCAATGTCTTCATCCTACAATTTCTAATGGTTTAGGAGCAGAGAGAGAGATGCGCTTACAAATGGGGATTTCTTTTATAGACATAAATTTTATTTACAAAGAGTTTCAAAATGGCCAACTAAATGTCAGAAAGTTGTATTTTGGAAACTGATTGAGCTTGATATGTGGTCTTTTCCACTTAGCTTGTTTATTCATGAGATTACTGACTTCAAGGTGGAGTCCTTTGATGAAAAGGGCAAGGAAAGCATTTGCAGCTTCCAGGGCTTCATATGTGTGTGAAAAACAGCCACGGCTGGAAGGTAGAGCACTTAGATACCCCGAAATCAAGAATCCCATTTTCACACTGAATCCTAGGTCCCCAAAAAGAGGGAAGCACCATGGGACTAGCCAGTGCGATGCTTCCACAGTGTACTCCACTGTCAGAATAGCCCCCTGAGGCTGCTGGCCAACCCAATGCCAGTCAGCCCACGCTGGTCAGCCCATCCCCTCTGGGAGTCTTATCCCTCATTGGCAAGCATTTCTATAGCCTGCAGGTGACCAAACCATGCTTTTCTTCCTTTTCTTTTTTCTTTTTTTTTTGAGAGGGGCCCTGAGAGTCTTGAATACTCAGTTAATATTGCTACCAGCAGAGATTAGGAAGTTAAATGCAGGACCCAGGGAGGAGGAAGAGGTAGTGTGGGACCATATGATCACTGTCCTGGATGCCTGATTGCAGTGAGGGTCTTCTCTTCCCTTCCGAATGAACAGCCTAAAATTAGTACTTATTATAGTACTCATTTTAATTACTGTCTTAGCCCTAGGATTAGCCCATGAATGAATCCAAAATGGACTAGAATGAGTTGAATTGGTAATGAGTTTAAACCAAAACAAATGATTTTGACTCATTAAATTATGATTACTCATAATTACTAAATGCCTTCTATCTATATTAATGTCACCTTGGCCTTCATTACATCTCTAGCAGGAATAATAATTTACCGATCTCATCTAATGTCTCATTTCTATGTCTAGAAGGCATAATGCTGTCAGTATTCATCATGAGCATCCTTATAACCTTGAATTTACATTTCATTTTAGCATCCATATTACCCATTATCCTTCGCAGCCTGCAAAGCCACCATAGGCTTAGCCTTACTAGTTATGGTCTCCAGCACCTATGGCCTAGACTATATATAAAACTTAAACCTTCTTCAGAGCTAAAAATTATATTTACCCTGAAGGGAAGACCCTCACTACAAATGGACTTCCAGGAGATCCAATATCAAGGTCCTGAGTGTTGCTACCTCTGCGGTTCTCCTAGGTGAATGGGGCTGGATCCCATCCTTCCTCCAATATAAACAAATGAAGGGATTGATCACGTATGCCTGATACCTACATATTACTTAATTAATCAATCCCGTACAGTGGTTTAGTTTTTTTATTATTTTTTAACTTTTATGTTTTGGGTGTATGTTCAGGTTTGTTAGATAGGTAAACTACACGTCACAGGGGTTTGGTGTACAGGTTAGTTCATCACCCAGGTAATAAGCATAGTACTTGAGAGGTAGTTTTTCAATCCTTACCATCCTCCCACCCTTTACCCTTAAGTAGATCCCGGTGTCTGTTGTTCCCTTTTATGTGTCCATGTGTACTCAATGTTTAGTGCCAACTTATAAGTGAGAACATGTGGTATTATGTTTTCTGTTCCTGTGTTAGTTTGCTTAGGACAATGGCCTCCAGCTCTAGCCATGTTGCTGCAAAGGACATGATCTTGTTCTTTTTTATGGCTGCATAGTATTCCATTTTGTATATTTTTTTTTAATCCAGTCTATCATTGATGGGCACCTAGGTTGATTCCATATCTTTGCTATTGCGAATAGTGCTGCAATGAACACGTGCATGCATGTGTCTTTATGGTAGAATAATTTATATTCCTTTGGGTATACACCCAATAATAGGATTGCTGGGTCAAATGGTCATTTTGTTTTAAATTGTTTGAGCAATCACCAGGCTGTTTTCTACAGTGACTGAACTAACTTACATTCCCACCAGCAGTGAATCAGTGCTACCTTTTCTCCACAACCTGATAAGTGTTACCTTTTCTCCACAACCTCACCAGCATCTGTTACTTTTTGACATTTTAATATTAGCCATTCTGACTGGTGGGGGATGGTATCTCATTGTGGTTTTAATTTGTACTTCTCTGATTAGTGATGTTGAGCATTTTTTCATATACTTGTTGGCCATGTGTATGTCTTCTTTTGAAAAGTGTCTGTTCATATCCTTTTCCCATCTTTTAATGTGGCTGTTTGTTTTTTGCTTGCAGATCATGCTTTTCTTACCTAAATGCACAAAGAAACGAGTAGCCCCCAGCTGTAATAACCACTCATTGTAAATGCTATGAGCTACTTCCAAAACTGCAGCCGTCACCAGTGACTTATCAGCCATCACACACTCAAAGGTCATGTTCTCTGAGTCCAAAGCAATTCCTGGTACTACTCCCAAAAGCCAAAGAGTTCAGGGAACTCAATTCAAGAGAGAGCAGAACTTTAGACTGAAGGCAAACCTTCCAATGATTCTTGGAACTCCGCAAGGAAGGCAGAAGACTCCTTAAAGGGGACGGATGGCACATTTTTCTCTGTTCCTTAAGGGGTCTCAGGGTCTCTAGACGTCTCCCCTAGATTTTTTTCGTGTGATATCAAAGATGGCAAAAGGAAGGAAGAACAGGCATGGAAGGAAATGGAAGAACAAGTTACAGAGGCAAAAATCACGCCAACAAGAAAGGCGCCAAACAAAAAAATTTTTTTTTTTTTTTTTTTTTGAGACAGAGTCTTTCTTGTTTTGTCGCCCAGGCTGGAGTGCAGTGTTGCAGTCTCGGCTCACTGCAAACTCCACCTCCTGGGTTCAAACGATTCTCCTGTCTCAGCCTCCCAAGTAGCTGAGACTATAGATGTGCGCCACCACACCTGGCTAATGTTTGTATTTTTAGTAGAGACAGGGTTTTACTATGTTGGTCAGGCTGGTTTCGAACTCCTGACCTCAAGTAATCCACCTGCCTTGGCCTCCCAAAGTGCTGGAATTACAGTCGTGAGCCACATCACCAGGCCAAAAAAAAGGTCTTAAAGGAGATTTCAGTTGACTAAAAGCAGAAGGCCCTTTTTTTTCCAAAAAAAAGAGAAAACACTATATCCTGAATATCAGCTTTTTAATTAAGCTGACTTCTGAACATAGAGCTCAGAAAAGTTTTTTTCTCTAATTGCAAGTCCTACTCAAGTTGTTTTACTTTCACATCTGCTGCAAGCTGAGCTTCCATCACCAAAAAGGCAGCCCACAGAAGTGACCATTTCACTGTGTGGTGTTCTCACTACAAAAGGAAATGGTCACCATGTGAGGTGATGGATATGCTACTTAGCTTTATTATGGTAATCATTTCACAATGCATATATGTGTCAAAACATCACATGTTACACCTTAAATATATACAATTTTTGTTTGTCAATTATACTTCAGTACTACTGGGGAAAAATAAAACCTTTATACACTGAGCACAGTTTAAAACTTTGCAATGACACTTAACTGACACAAGTTCGATTTCAGTTTTACTTTTCAGAAATAGTGTTTATTGCTGGAAAGAGTGATTTAACCTCAACACTACTGAGAGCTCTTGATACTCCCTTTAGGAATCCTAATTTACTACAAGAGTTATTCTCTGATAGAAGGGGATTTAAGAATCTTATGTGGTTAGGAAGGACTATTGTAGTTGAACAAACACCATTCATAACTCAGTGACTTACCCTGAGGGACAAGTGTAGGTAATTGGAAGATATTAACTTAATGATCATCCTCTCTCATAATGTTTTTCTCTGATTGCATCAAAATTTATGCTTTCAGTAGAGGGCACCTCACATGAATCTTTCATGTTTCACTTCATTGATTTCTCTGATTCTGGAGGAAGAAAAGCAGATTTTTTTTTGCCTAGATTGGAAAGTCTCTGCTGTTAATTTCAATTCAAGGAAATGGTCCATAAATTTAAAATGTATCAATTCTAGAAGTTCTATAAGGCATGGTATCTCTAAAATTTGTTTTGGGTTTACTTTTTAATTTATTTTTTGCCTTTGCTAGCAATTTTAGTAAGTATATTCTTTCTAAATTGTTTTGGCATCCCTTGTTGTCTCATCATACATATATAAATGATTTTAGTTCTTAGCCTTCCTAAAAATAATTTCAACATCTCAAAAAAAAAAAAAAAGTATAAACATACTTCCCAGAACCCATCCCTCTAGCAGATCCCCCTTCGTGTCTTATTGGTCAGAACCAGGTCACATGCCCATCCCTGATAATCAACTGCTGACAGGAAATGGGATTACCATGATTAATCTAGTCTAACCAATATTTACTCCTAAACTGAGATTAGGGTGCCCTTCCCTGAATAAAATGAGGTTCTGACAGCAAGAACAATGAGAGAAAGGATGCTGTTTAGACAAACCGCCACACCAAGTTTTAAGAGTTTCATCAGGACCCTAATGAAAGTGTAGAACATACCAGTGTTTCTGAATCTCAACACTACTGACACTCCGACTGGATGAGCCTTTGTTGTGACGGGCTGTCGTGTGCATTGTTTAGCAGTATCCCTGGTCTCACCCACTAGATGCCAATAGCACTACCTAGTGGTAACAACCAAAAATGTCTCCAGACACTGCCGATGTCTGCTAGAGGTGGAGAGATCACTCCTGGTTGAGGATCACAGAATTAGACCAAGAAGCCTACTGAGTTATCCCCCGATGGCTGTATGATGTCTTTATGTACTTCAATGAGTTTAGTAAATTATAAAGTGGGGATAATAAAAAAAATCTGTGTCACAAAATTGCTTAAGAATTGATATGGTTTGGGACCGAGTCCCCAACGCAATCTCATCTCAAACTGTAATCTCCACATGTCAGTGGAGGGACCAGGTAGGAGGTGATTGGATCCTGGGGGTGGTTCATGGATCTTGGAGGTGGTTTCCCCATGCTGTTCTCATAATAGTGAGTTAGTTCTCATGAGAGCTGATGGCTTTAAAACCATCGGGTGAAAGGTGCCTGCTTCCCTTTTGCCTTCCGCCGTGGTTTTAAGTTTCCTGAGACCTCTTAGCCATGCTTCCCGTTAACGCCTGCAGAGCTGTGAGTCAACGAAACCTCTTTCCTTCATAATTTCCCACTCTTGGGTAATACTCTTTATAGCAGTGTGAGAACGGACTAATACAAGAATTAAATGGAAATTGATGATAGTGCTTGTGAACTCTAACATCACATACAGATACTAGTTTTTATTATTATTGATTTTTCTGTAGTTCTAAAATATCCTTTAATAACCTTCCTCTTTCTTAAAATAATAAAAAGCTAGGACAGTCAGGTGTTTCTAAATGTAATGATGCACCTTCCCTCCCTGCTGGTTATTTATGCATTTATCATTGTCATCTTTCTAACCTTCCCAGAAGGGAGAGAAAAAATACTAAGAGCTTCAAGAATTTATGACTTTCTCAGATTGAAATGCAGCAGAAATGCAAAGAAGTAACAAAGTCAGATGTATCGGTAATAAGTACAGCATCCTCATGAAAAATATTGAGTGGAGATAGTTTAAGGTCCTATAAAGCATCTCTTTTTGTACTGAAGTGTTAGTCTGTCATCATCTACTTTCATGTTTGTCCTGTGTTTGGTGGGTGGCTTTTATAGAGGCACAACTTATTTTTTTTTTCTTTTTTCCTCATATGTTCATCCCTACTTTTGTCATTGTGCTTCATGCCTTTGAAGGCTCAGGTGAAAGAGACTTCAGGATCTCATTATTCTTGGGGCATTTATTCAGAACTTTAATTACATTTCGTAATTTCTCTCTTTAAAAGTTGTAAAAGTTGGCTGGGTGTGGTGGCTCACGCCTGCAATCCTAGCACTTTGGAGGTCCGAGGCAGGAGGATCACTTGAGATCAGGAGTTTGAGACCAGCCTGGGCAACATAGTGAGACCTTGTCTCTATTAAAAAAAAAAATAAAAGTTGTATAAAGTGTAATGTTTTGAAATTGCTGTATATTTATTAAAAGTTTCCAAAGCTTTTTTTCTGTAAATTAATCCTTGGATCCACCATCTATTTATAAGACAAACTTCACCTCTGTGTACCCCATAAAAGTGCATCGTACATTTTTGTGGTATGTCAATTCTTCAAGCCATCAGGGTCTTTTTTTTTTTAATCTAACATCAAGAACTTCTGAGTGTGTGTATTTATGTGTGTGTGTGTATAACTGGTAGGTCGAAAAGATCTGATCCCCATCAGGTAGAATGCAAGGAGAAGTTCCTGAACACGACTTTGAAAGTGAACCTGGGTTTATGGGCTCTGAGTGCAGCTGATGCTAGCTCATTTACACCTAGAAAAAAGCTCAGGAGGACAGACCACACTATTTTAGACCCTAACTCTTAGTAGTGGGATCGTGTGGTGCTTTAAAATTTCTTTATATCTTTATGTACTTTCCAAATTTTAATAATATACAGGAATGGCATTTTGAATCAGAAAAAAAAGTAAGTCTGCCAGTCAGACCCCATAGGATTACACATATTATTTGAAAGCAGGAAGCGTATACAGTTCTCTGGGGATGGGTCCAAACTTCCACCAAGGGCAGCACGACTTTCTTCCTTTGTCCAGCTATTACAGGTGTTAAGGGAGCCTAGAAATTGATGGGAAAAGTCAGAAGTTACTTCTGAGCATATCTAATTACCAGGTAAATTACAGTCACTTTCTGACTTTAGAATGAGGCTCCTTAGCCCTATTTGAATATTCTGTTTAGGGACTGCAGTTCTGGAAGCAATCTATGCTTTTGACCTCTACCTCCTTCACTCTCACTAACCAGAAGTAGCTATGCCCTTAGGGACTAGCGTGGTGATCTGCGAATTTGAAACAGAAATCTTAGAGAGATTCTGCATACATGGCGAAGCATGATTTGAAGCCATGTGTTGTCCTCCATGTTCACGGGATGCTTGTGTCTCCTGTGCAGAGGCTCCTGGTCTTGAGATGATCCCCTGTAACTCCAAGGGGAAACTCCTTGACCTTACTCATCAAACAGAGATTTGACCATTTTCTGGACCACTGCTGAAACTGCTAGCAATTTGGATGACGTATTAGTGAGAAGAGGGTCTGATCTCTGCTCCATCTGAGAACATGCAGGTATCCATCTAACAGAAACCAGCACAATTACTCCCATGCAGCTCCTTAGCTGGGAGAGAAGACGATGAATCCAACAAGAGAAACATACACATTCCTGCTGCCTCTGCCTGAATATTCTTTTTTTTTTTTTTTTAAGACAGAGTCTCACTCTGTTGCCCAGGCTGGAGTGCAGTGGCGTCTCTCAACTTACTTCAACCTCCACCCCCAGGGTTCAAGCGATTCTCCTGCCTCAGCCTCCCAAGTAGCTGGGATTGCAGGTACCTGCCACCATGCCCGGCTAATTTTTGTATTTTTAGTAGAGACAGAGTTTTACCATGTTGGCCAGGCTGGTCTCAAACCCCTGACCTCAAGTGATCACCTGCCTCAGCCTCCCAAAGTACTGGGATTACAGGTGTGAGCCACCGTGCCCAGCCAACCTTAAGTCTCCTGCTCAAGGGCCATGCTTTATATTGTGTCTACAGGGCCATTAAACTCTCTATATGGAGATAACAGACCTCCACCATCACAAGTGGACTCAACAGATACGACTTGGTCCTGGTGCTAAACATCAGAGTAAGAAGAAAATCTGAGAAATCCTAATTGTCATCATAGGCAGAGATCATATACGTGACTAAAAAGATTTAAATCACTGAGGCTATGCCACCTCACCCTCTCCCCTACAGACACATCACTAAAGTAGTCACTCTTCAAAGAAAATGCCCAGTGCAGCTCCGTGCACTACTGGTTAATAATCACGTTTTGTGATAAGCCTCAGCCTTGCTCTGCTGTGCCACACCAGTGGGTCGGCACTCCCCCACCTCCAGTGAACACAAAGCAGGCTGGCCATCCGGTTGTCCCAATTCCATTCAGCCCTAATCATACCCCAGTAAGGATCTGGCTCCAGGGGGCTACACATCAAGCCAGTAACAGTTAGGATGTCTACTTAAGCCACAGGATCCACAGGTTTGAAAGAGGACGTGATGGAGATGCATGCAACCGTGTATATTTTTGTTTTTAAAAATAGCAGGTTTAGGCCGGGTGTGGTGGCTCATGCCTGTAATCCCAGCACTTTGGGAGGCCGAGGCAGATGGATCACCTGAGGTCAGGAGTTCAAGACCAGCTCGGCCAACATGATGAAACCCTGTCTCTACTAAAAATACAAAAATTAGCTGGGTGTGGTGGCAGGCACCTGTATCCCAGCTACTCAGGAGACTAAGGCAGGAGAATCGCTTGAACCCAGGAGGCGGAGGTTGTAGTGAGCTGAGATCGTACCATTGCACTCCAGCCTGGGTGACCCCAAGAGTGAAAGTCCATCTCGAAAAAAAAAAAAAAAAAAAAAAAGCAGGTTTACAGGTAGCATTATTACAATATCCCGTTTTTCACAGGAATTACATGATAGAAGGACTGTCTCTTTAAGGACCTGGTTCTGTATGTTTTTGAAAAGTATGTGATATATATATATATATTATATATATATATATCAGATTATATACATATATATATAAATTTTTTTTTTTAGACAGAGTCTCACTCTCTCACCCAGGTTGGAGTGCAGTGGTACGATCTCAGCTCACTGCAACCCCTGCCTCCCAGGCTCAAGCAGTCTTCCTGCCTTGCCTCCCAAGTAGCTACAGGAGGTCGAGGTGTGAGCATCACTTGAGCCCAGGAGTTGGAGACCAGCTTGACCAACACAGGGAAACCCCATCTCTACAAAAAAATTTTTAAAAATTAGCCAGGTGTGGTGGCACACACCTGTGGTGCTACCTACTTGAGTGGCTGAGGTGGAGGATTGCTTGAGCCCAGGAGGTCAAGGCTACAGTGAGCCGTGATTGCATCACTGCACTCCAACCTGGGCAACAGACTGAGAGACCCTGTCTCAAAAAAAAAAAAAAAAAAAAAAAAAAATTCTAATTCATTAGATCTTAACATCTGGAAAATCTTTTGTTGTTGTTGTTGTTTATTTTATTTTATTTTTTATTATTATTATACTTTAAGTTTTAGGGTACATGTGCACAATGTGCAGGTTAGTTACATATGTATACATGTGCCATGCTGGTGTGCTGCACCCATTAACTCATCATTTAGCATTAGGTATATCTCCTAATGCTATCCCTCCCCCCTTCCCCCACCCCACAACAGTCCCCAGAGTGTGATGTTCCCCTTCCTGTGTCCATGTGTTCTCGTTGTTCAATTCCCATCTATGGGTGAGAACATGCAGTGTTTGGTTTTTTGTCCTTGCGATAGTTTACTGAGAATGATGATTTCCAATTTCATCCATGTCCCTACAAAGGACATGAACTCATCCTTTTTTATGGCTGCATAGTATTCCATGGTGTATATGTGCCACATTTTCTTAATCCAGTCTATCATTGTTGGACATTTGGGTTGGTTCCAAGTCTTTGCTATTGTGCATAGTGCCGCAATAAACATAGGTGTGCATGTGTCTTTATAGCAGCATGATTTATAGTCCATTGGGTATATACCCAGTAATGGGATGGCTGGGTCACATGGTATTTGTAGTTCTAGATCCCTGAGGAATCGCCACACTGACTTCCACAATGGTTGAACTAGTTGACAGTCCCACCAACAGTGGAAAAGTGTTCCTATTTCTCCCCATCCGCTCCAGCACCTGTAGTTTCCTGACTTTTTAATGATCGCCATTCTAACTGGTGTGAGATGGTATCTCATTGTGGTTTTGATTTGCATTTCTGTGATGGCCAGTGATGATGAGCATTTTTTCATGTGTCTGTTGGCTGCATAAATGTCTTCTTTTGAGAAGTGTCTGTTCATATCCTTTGCCCACTTTTTGATGGGGTTGTTTGTTTTTTTCTTGTAAATTTGTTTGAGTTCATTGTAGATTCTGGATATTAGCCCTTTGTCAGATGAGTAGGTTGCGAAAATTTTCTCCCATTTTGTAGGTTGCCTGTTCACTCTGATGGTAGTTTCTTTTGCTGTGCAGAAGCTCTTTAGTTTAATTAGATCCCATTTGTCAATTTTGGCTTTTGTTGCCATTGCTTTTTGTGTTTTAGACATGAAGTCCTTGCCCATGCCTATGTCCTAAATGGTAATGCCTAGGTCTTCTTCTAGGGTTTTTATGGTTTTAGGTCTAATGTTTAAGTCTTTAATCCATCTTGAATTAATTTTTGTATAAGGTGTAAGGAAGGGATCCAGTTTCAGCTTTCTACATATGGCTAGCCAGTTTTCCCAGCACCATTTATTAAATAGGGAATCCTTTCCCCATTGCTTTTTCTCAGGTTTGTCAAAGATCAGATAGTTGTAGATATGCGGCGTTATTTCTGAGGGCTCTGTTCTGTTCCATCGATCTATATCTCTGTTTTGGTACCAGTACCATGCTGTTTTGGTTACTGTAGCCTTGTAGTATAGTTTGAAGTCAGGTAGCGTGATGCCTCCAGCTTTGTTCTTTTGGCTTAGGATTGACTTGGCGATGCGGGCTCTTTTTTGGTTCCATATGAACTTTAAAGTAGTTTTTTCCAATTCTGTGAAGAAAGTCATTGGTAGCTTGATGGGGATGGCATTAATGTTAAGAATGGAATTTTCTCTTGTGAAATGCAAAAATCTTAGAAAAAGAAACAGGCTTGTATACATAAAAGTTTTTATAAAAAACTTCAGAGGTTTTATTAAACTAAAAACACCACTAAGTGAAAATCAAAGGCAGTCTATAAAACCTATTATTTTGTTGTGTTCTTCTCATACTGTAGACATATTCAATTCAGTCAGCATTTAATTACATACAGGTCAGAAATGCTCACTTGAGCCTGATCTTAATTAAGGATATTGTATGAATGTGGAAGACTTTAATATTTGATCCATAGTTCTAAAATATGTATTATTATACAGGGTATCAGTATATTTATTGCTTATCTTTTTTTTCTTTTTTTTCTTTTTTTTTTGGACAGTCTTGCTCTGTCACTCAGCAGAAGCACAGTGGTGTGATCTCAGCTCACTGCAGACTCTGCCTCCTGGTTCAAGAGATTCTCCTGCCTCAGCCTCCCGTGTAGCTGGGATTACAGGCATGTGCCACCACACCCAGCTAATTTTTGTATTTTTAGTAGAGATGGGGTTTCACTGTGTTGGCCAGGCTGGTCTGGAACTCCTGATCTCAGGTTATCCACCCACCTCGGCCTCCCAAAGCGCTGGGATTACAGGCATGAGTCACCATGCCTGGCCCTGTTTATTACCTATCTATATATTTACTTATTTATTTTTTATTCTTAAAGTATGACAACTGGATGTCAGGGCCAGCTTGCTTTCTTTGTCCAAGACAGAAGGCATAAAACTGGCCTCCTGCATCAGTGCTCCACATGCTATTTCAGCAGTGGGTATCACCACCACGTCCTGGAGAGCAGCTGCTCATGGCTTCTAGGTCCACAGCTGAAAGAGGAAAGCAGCTGAAAGAAGTATTAAATCGGTTTTCAGAGTCAGTCCTCAGGAAAGTTTTTCGCCTGGGCTAATAAACATGAAAATGAATGCATGTAGGGTAAAGAGGAAACACTCTTCTCATTCAGTTCAAAGATGATCACTAGAGTGATGTCACACTGTGTGTGGCCACAATTTAAATACTCTAGGCTGTGTTCAAAGCTGCCCAGGACTTCATCAGTGAATACCGCCTCCTCTGAAATTATGCTCTGCATGAGACATACAGCCCAAGGACACACACTTTCACACAGGAGTGAACAGAAAAAGTTCTGAAGCACTTAATTAAACTTACAACAGTAGCCTGGATAGTAAATGTGGGCAAGTTACCTCTAGCATCTCCATTTTGTTCTATGTATAATGGGATTAAGATCATCTCACTCATCAGGTTCTTATAAGAGCTGAATTAAATTAAAACACATATATTAGAATATAAAATGTCAATAGCAGGCTGGGTGTGGTGGCTCACACCTGTAATCCCAGCACTTTGGGAGGCCAAGGTGGACAGATCCCTTGTGGTCAGGAGTTCGAGACCAGCCTGGCGAACATGGTGAAAACCGATCTCTACTATAAATACAAAAATTAGCCAGGTGTGGTGGCACGTGCATGTAGTCCCAGCTACTCAGGAGGCTGAGGCAGGAGAATCGCTTGAACCCAGGAGGTGGAGGCTGTAGTGATCCAAGATCATGCCATTGCACTCCAGCCTGGGTAACAGAGTGAGACTCTTGTCACAAAATAATAATCAAATGTCAATACTACATAACAGTGATCCTAAACAACAACCACAGAACTCTGTGACTTCTAAGCTTCACAGTCATCATGCAGGTGGAACACAGTGTAACCAGCCCATACTGCAAGGGAATTCGGAGAGAAAAGGCAAGAAACAACCACATCGCAAAGTAAATAAACAAAAGCCTTCTACCTATAAAAACTGATCAACTTTTCAAATAATCACTTCCCACTCCCCTTGAGATTCTAATGTCTGGGGTAGAAAAATATGTCTTTAGTATATTCCTACTAGTAGTGAATATTTGATCAACTCTATGTTGTGTGACCGTTTTTATTATATTATTACACGTGCTTTTTCAAACTACACTGTTATCTGATATGCCTCCCCCAGAGTATTGCTCTCTTTTCCCATCTCGTACTACTCTCCAAATGAGAGGTGCTGATACCTGCTACCTTGCAGGAATGATTAAAGCAGATTACAAACATAAAGTAGCTAGCACAGTGCCTGATCAATAAACGTTATTATGAGAGGAAGGGAGGGAAAAGTTGGAAAAAATAATAAAGTGAATAAAATTGCTGCCATAAAACATGTGTTTTTCAAGTTTGAAATCCTCAAGGAACCCCTAATGCTACCCAAGGAAAAAAACTGTAGCAAATTATCTGACAACTTTGATGAGTGAATAATGCATTTTATGTGTTGTAATAAATATTTCTTACTGAGATCTCTAAGTAAGGGACAAATACTCTGCAGATGTGATAGGCAAAAAATACACTGATTTTCTTTCTTTCTTTCTTTCTTTTTTTTTTTTTTTTTTGAGTCGGAGTCTCTCTCTGTCACCCAGGCTGGAGTGCAGTGGGACAATCTGGGCTCACTGCAGTCTCCACCTCTCGGGTTCAAGTGATTCTCCTGCCTCAGCCTCCTGAGTAGCTGGGGTTATAGGTGTTCACCACCACACCTGGCTAATTTTTGTAGTTTTAGTAGAGACGGGGTTTCATCATGTTGGCCAGGCTGGTCTTGAACTCCTAACCTCATGATCCACCCGCCTCAGCCTCCCAGGTGCTGAGATTACAGGTATGAGCCACCACGCCCGGCCTGATGTTTTTCTAAAAGTAGGTATATCTATTACATATCAATTAAAAAATTAAATTTCATTTAAAAAAGCTAAAAAACTAAAAAAGCCACTATTTTTTACTTTATATTAAAGAAAAATTCAAACATACACAAAAATAAAGATATGTATAATCAAATGCCACATGCCTATTTCCCAATTTTAATAAAAGTTGATAAAATCAACTTTTTTTGACTTAAACTTGAGTCAAAAGCTAATAAAGTTATAACTAAGACTTATTCATTTATAAATGTATATTTTGCCCTCCTCCCCCATGCTGGAATATCTTAAACAAATCAGTGGTCATTTCTTAAAATGAATTTTACCTTGATAAAAGTCAAAGAAAAATTTCGTCATTAGTGTCAGAGATAACTGGAGGAAGTCAAAGTTGACATAAAGCTGTTTAATGAATGGATTCCGGAAGGTGGGCTTGGGCAGACATCAGAAGAAAAAATGTTGCTTTCTTACAGTTACAGTGTTTTCAGGGATGTGTCTAATTGTTTACTTGTGAAATCACATACATACAGACTTTCTATTATGCTATTTAGCGTCCTTTATTTCTAGTGTTCTGTTTTGCTCAGGTACAAAGAGTAAAAGTATATTAATTTCTAGATCTAGTCTGTATTATGTAAAGATGAATTTTAACTTTTTTGAAGAAGACAACATAGCTTTATAAAAATGGAGCCACAAAACAATAGTGCTGTCTCATGTGGCATAAAAGTGTGTGTGTGTGTGTGTGTGTGTGTGTGTGTGTGTGTGTGTGTTTAAGATACAAGATAATAGCATACAAATTGAGAGGGAATAAATGGATTAAAAGTAGCAGTTTCTTTCAGGATCTGTTAAACTTTTAGGTTCCGGGGCATATGCGCAGGTTTGTTATATAGGTAAACTCATGTCACACGGGTTTGGTGTACAGATTATTTCATCACCCGGGTAATATGCATAGTACCCTACAGGTATTTTTCCTTATCCCGTTTTTTTCTCCCACCCTCCACCCTCAAGTAGGCCCCAGTGTGTGTTATTCCCTTCTTCGTGTCCATGTGTTCTCATCATTTAATTCCCACTTATAAGTGGGAACAGCTGTATTTGGTTTTCTGTTCCTGCATTAGTTTGCTAAGGATAATGGTCTCCAGTTGCATCCACGTTGCTGCAGAGGACATGATCTTATTCTTTTTTATGGCTGCGTAGTATTCCAGGGTGTATATGTACCACATACACATTTTTAAAAGCCAGTCCGCCATTGATGGGCATTTAGGTTAATTCCATGTCTTTGCTATTGTGAATAGTGCTGCAATGAACATACATATGCATGTGTCTTTATGGTAGAGCAATTTATATTCCTTTGGGTATATACCCAGTAATGGGATTGCTGGGTCAATGGAAATGCTGTTTTAGGTCTTTAAGGAAGCACCACACTGTTTTCCACAGTGGCTGAACTGATTTACACTCCTACCAGCAGTGTATAAGTGTTTCCTTTTCTCCACAGCCTCGCCAGCATGTGTTATTTTTTAATGTTTTAATAATAACCACAGTGACCGGTGTCAGATGGTATATCATTGTGGTTTTTTTAGTACAAAAGTTTATTCTTATATTTACACCAGTTCCGAGACAACACTTCATTCCAGCTATAGGTGGCAAAAGATGTTATGGCGGGGAATACAGGTGTTTAAGTACAAATGAAATCAAGAGTCACCAACTCCTCAGGCACAAGGAACAGCTTACTTTTTGCCAGATTTCTTAATTTGACCTCTAGCCAGGGGCCCCTTCCCTGCAGCTTTCACTTTTAGCTCCTCGAGTTTCTTCTGCTCTCCTTGCAAATATTTTCTCTCATTCTGTAGGTTGTCTGTTTACACTATTGATAGTTTCTTTTGCTGTGCGAAAGCTCTTTAGATTAATTAGTTCCCATTTGTCAATTTTTAGCAATTAATTTTCAGCTTTGTTAAGGGAAGGGGCATGTTGCGATCTGTAAAGCAATCACTGGAAGGATGATAAGACAGGAAAAACTTCCAAACAATGGAGAAAAGAAAAGGAATAATAAAAGATATTCAACTGTTCTAAAAGCAAAAATGAATCAAGTACATATGGGAAAATAAAAATACAATAAGACGATAGGTATAAACCTAAAATATCAGCAATTGTGTTAAAGCATTTACAAAATAAATATTGCCAAATTAGATTTTTCAAAAACAACTATATGCTACTTACATATGTGTAGCGATATTAAACACAAGAAAACAGGAGGCTTGAAAGGAAAAGAGTGAAAACATTAACAACAACAAGAAAAAAAGAAAGATGGTGTACCTACACCAGTATCATGCAAGCTAGTCACTGAGATAAAAGCATTATGAGAATTAAGAGGAGCACTTCATAATGACATTAATTCATTTGGAATTATAAAATTCTAGATGTACAATCATACAGTAAAACATCAAGATAAATGAAAAAGAACTACGGGAAGAAGTAGACAAACCTATAATCATAATGGGAAATTTCAATGCCTATCTTCTACTAGCTAATAAAATCAAAGCACAAAAAATCAGTATGAATAGATTTTTTTTAAAACATGGCTAACAAACTTGACTCTCATGAACATATGTAGAAAACTTCACCCAAAAACATTAAAATACAAATGTTCCCAAACGTGTAACGCAAGTGTTAACCAGTTCCAAAGGGTTGAAATCATACGTACTGTGTGCTTTGACTACAACGCAATTAAACTAGAAACCAATAACAAAAAGAGGACTTAAACTTTCTAAATATTTGTAAATTTAGGAGGACACTTATAACTAAGCCAAGGATCAAAGAAGAAACCATGATAAAAATAGAAAATATTTTGAAAGTATAACAAAATGTAACATATCAAATTTTGGGGACATAGCCGAAGCAATACTTAAAGGAATAATTTATATGCATTTATATGAATTTTAAGCATACGTAAGAAAAGTAGAAAGGGTGAAAAATAAAGATCTAAAATATCTAGCTCAAGAAATGAATAAGAAAGTTGTGAATTAAACCCAAGGAATTTTAAAAGAAGAATGAATGAAAAGAATAAAGATAGTGGAAATTATGAAAAAGAAAACAACAACATTAAGATTTGTTTTGTTTTTAAAGACTAGTAATATGGATAAACCCTGATGAGACTGACCAAAAGACAGATACAGAGAGGGAACGCACAAAGACCAACAATATAGGATTGAAAAGGGGAATATTGTCACAGACTCAGAAGCAGTAAAAAACAAAATTACACCACATTATGACCAGTATTATGGCAATAAGTTTGAAAATTTTGGTAAACTTAACACATTTCTGAAAAAATATAATGCATAAAACTGTCACAAGAAAAATAGAAATTCTAAATAATCCTGAAACTATTAAAGGAATGGAATCTATAAATTTAAAAAATTCACACAAACAGAACATCCGGCCTAGATGGCTTTGCTGGCGAATTGTACTAAATATTTACAAAACTTTTATAAACTTTTCAAGAGAATAGAAAAAATAAGAACTCTTCCCCTAACTTCTTTTATGAAGTTAATCTAATGTCGGTACACAAACTTGATACGGACATTCCCGAAGGAAAAATTACAGAACAATCACTCCTGAAACTGAAACAAGCACTCCTGAAACCGAAACAAGCACTCCTGAAACCTGAAAAAAATAACATTTAAACATTTGTTTAACCAATGTTTAGATTTGCCAGCAACAACTAAAAAAGATAGCAGCCCACAACCAAGTTGAATTTATTCCAGGAATTTGAGATAAGCTTACTAGTCAAATATCACTGTACATTTGATAAAATGTCATAGAATTTTGCACAAGCATGCATTAGAAAAATGAGTGCACGCAAAAACTGGTGAAATGTTCTAGAGGGAAGTAGAATGCAGGATCCACATATGGCAGAAAGTGGAAGGGCCAAGAGAGAAAGCCCACTCTTGAAAGCTCTGTTTGCAACAGCATTAATCCATTCATAGACTGGAGAGGCCTCATGACCTAAACACCTCTTGTTAGGCCCTGCCTCCCACTACTGTTGGATGGGAGATTGTTTCAACATGAATTTGGGAAGGGACAAACATTCAAATAATAGCATTACTTAAAATGCTGTTAATTATTGTTATTCTTGATTATTATGTATTGACCTCATATTCAACAACCTTGCTAATTACACTGATTAATTCCAGTAATTTGTAGATTAAATGGATAAAAGAAAGCCAAGTGTTACTCATCAAGAAAGTGGGAGAATGATCCCAAAGGCATTTTGGAGGTCTTCAAGGCTGCCCCTCTAATCACAGGCCCAGAGCTTTAGGGCTTTGTGGGCAGAAGGGTTTTGGATGATGGGCCCAGGGCGCCCTCCGTGGGCTGCTCTCTATCAGGGCTGTCTCAGGACTCTGATCCATGCATTCTAATGCAACTCTCCTTGGCCACACCTAGTCTTCCAGAAGGCAGATTGTAAACCTTCGAGGCATCTATGTGGTTCTAATTCTGCAGGCTCACATAGTGCCAGAGCTGAGGAGGCATGAATTTCTTCAACAAGACTTCAAAGGATGTTATGGCAAGTCATGGGGCCCAGGCAGAGACTTGTCACAGGGGTGGGGCCACCACAGAGAGTCTTCATCAAGGTAATGCCTAGTGAAGCAATGGGAACAGGGACCCCCCCACCACCCCGCCCCGGGACCCTGAAAGCATAGAGCCACTAGTATACACTGCCAGCCTGGGAGAGCACAGGCATGAGACTCCAACTCATGAGAGATGCTGTGTGGGCTGAACCCAGCAAAGTCATAGGGGCAGGGTTGTCTGAGGCCTTGGGAGGTCAACCCAAGTGTGTCTGAAAGGCAGGCCATAGAGTCAAGATTTTTTTCCAAGCCTTAAGATGTAAGGCCCTATTGGCTTTGGGACTTGAAACCTGCTACCCCTTTCTTCTTGCCTATTCCTCCCTTTTAGAATAGGAATGTCTATCCTGTGCCTGTCCCACCACTGTATTCTGGAAACATATAAATAAATAGTTTGATTTCATAGGTTTATTGTGGGAGGGGATTCGTCTCAGGATGAACCATGCTTCAGTCTCACCCATATCTTCCGTTCTGTAAGGGAACACAGAAAATGATGAACCATTAATCTAGGAAGATTCTTCTGACTCCTCAGGGCTATTTATCTCTAATGGCCTTTAAGACACTACATGGGTAAGGAACTTCTTCTGCCGGCTTCTTCTGAATATCTGCCTACAAACTCCTAATTCTGCAAATTTTCTTCCATTTAGATGGGACTCTGGACTTTGGACTTACCGGGACTATTGAGAAAGAATTAATGTATTTTATATGCGAGGACGTGAGTTTTGGGGGACCACAGCCAGAATGCTGTGGTTTAAAATGGTTTGAATGTTTGTCCCCTTCCCCAACTGATGTTGAAATTTGCAATGCAAACAGTATTGAGAGGTGGGGCTTGATGGGAGGTGTTTACATCATGATGGCAGAGCACTTATGAATGGATTAATGCAATCGTAAAAAGGGCTTTCAAGAGTGGGCTCTCTCTTGGTCCTTTTCACCTTCCACCACATGAGGAGTCAGCGTTCTTCTCCCCTCTGGTTGGTGCATTGACCTTAGTCTTCCCAGTCCTCAGAACTATGAGCCAATACATTTCTGTTTATAAATTACTCCATCTGTGTTATTCTGTTATAGCAGCACAAAATAGACTAAGACAAAAATTAATTTAAAACAGACTTTATAATAGCATAAACAACTTCAAATAAATAGTAATAAATCTAATAATAGGTGCATAAGATCTTTATGCAGAAAATGATTAGACATTATTTAGAGACATTTTTAAAGTCCTAAATAAATGAAGATTAGATAGAAATTAATGAAAACATGTAATTTATTCCTAAGTTTATCAGTATGTTCAATGAAATCCCCATCTAAATCCCAACACTTTTTGAGTGAAAATTGATGAGTTAATTTTAACATGAATATTAAAATGCAAATAGTCAAAAATAGTGAGACAGTCTTAGAGAAGAACAATGTGGGGAGAATTACTCTGCTAGAAAACATGACTTAGTTAGTTCTAGAAATCAAGATTGAAAAATAGGCTAAGGAAATAATAGAGAGCTCAGAAATGACCCACTCATGTGGACACCAAATTCATGACAAATATGACACTGCAAAGCAGTGAAAAGAGTTTCTTTTTAAAAACGAAGCAATCTATAGCTCACACCATAAGCAAAAATCAATCCTAGGTGGATTGTAGACCTAAAAGTAAAAGGTAAAACAATAAAGCTTCCAATAAACATCAGTGCAGAAAATCTTCATGACCTTGGGCTATAAGAAAATTTGTACACAAAATGCACTAATAGTATGTATAAAACATAAAAGGCATTAATTATAAAAAAAGACTGATACATTGGAATATTAAAGAAATGCTGAGTTTCAAATATGGGGAGCAAAATAGCTGAACAGGCCTTCTGTCAATCACCCCCCACAGGAACATCAAATGGAACAACTATCCTTGCAAGAAGACACCTTCAAAAGAGCTAAAGAAATCAGGTGAGCTATCACAGTACCTGGTTTTAGCATAATAACAAGAAGAGATACACACTGAAGAAGGTAAGAAGGATAATCACTCATTGCCAAAACCACCTCTCCTCAATGCCAGGCACCATAGAGAGGAGAGAGACAATTCCTGCTTGGGGAAGGGAATGGGAAGTGGGTATGGGAATTTGTATTGGAATTTAGAGTCAGGCCTGCCACGGTGCAACACAGCACAGGCAGAGCCCCCACAGTGCCTGATTCCAAACCTAGAGAGGGAGAATTTAGACCTTCCCTGGGACAGAGGAGAATCCACTGCCCCAACTGGAGGAAAACAAGTCCTGGCCTGCTTCACCACTACCTGACTGAAGCGGAAACATTTCATAAAATACAACGTCCCTTCATGGTGAAATGTCTCAACAAACTGGATATGGAAGGAAAATATCTCACAACAATAAAGGCTATATATGACAACCCGCAGCTAACATCATACCAAATGGAGAAAAATTAAAGCCTATGCCCTAAGATCTGGAACAAGACAAGTATGCCCACTTTCACCACTTTTACCACTTTTATACATATTAATAGTACTAGAAGTTGTAGCCAGAGTAATCAGACAAGAGAAAGAAATAAAGGGCATCTCAACTGGAAAGAAAGAAGTCAGATTATCCCTGTTTACAGATGACATGGTGTTATATTTAGAAAAACGTAAGGACTCCACAAAAAACTGTTCAAATTGATAAATTCACTCAAGTTGCAAGATGCAAAATCAACATTTAAAAATCCATAGCATCTCTATTTTTTTTCTATTTCTGTGAAGAATGTCATGGTTATTTTGATAGGGATTGCGTTGAATCTGTACTCAGCCAATAGCCAATTGCAAAAAAATCTTAGAAATTGAGAAAGCAATCCCATTGAATCCTACTGAATAGCTACTTTTTAAATTTTTAGGCATAAGTTTAATCAAAGAAATGAAAAATCTCCACAAGGAAAATATAAAACATTGATGAAGGAAACTGAAGAGGACCCAAAAAATGGAAAGATATCCCATGCTAATGGATTGGAAAAATTAATATTCTTAAAATGGCCATACTACTCAAAGTAAGTACAGATTCAATGCATTCCTATCAAAATACCAATGACATACTTCACAGAAATAGAAAAAAAATTCTAAAATGTGTATAGAACTACAAAAGACCCTGAATAGCTAAAGCAATCCAGACCAAAAAGAATATAACTAGAAGCATCACATTAGCTGTCTCAAATTATACTATAAAGCTATAGCAACCAAAGCAGCATGGTATTGGCATAAGAACAGACACACAGACTAATGGAGCAGAACAAAGAATCCAGAAATAAATCCACTATTCCCAGCCACCTCATTTTTAAAAACTGATACATTATAATTACATATATTTATGAGGTATAACTTGATGTTTTAATATATATATGTTGTATAATGACCAAATAAGGGTATTTAGTGTTACCATTACCTCATGCACTTATTATTTCTTTATGGTGAGAACATTCAAAAGCCTCTGTTTTAGATATTTTGTACTATATCATATCTTAATATAAATTGTCACCATATTGTGCAATAGAACTCAAACTCATTTTATGAGGCCAGCATTATTCTAGTATCAAAGCCAAATAAGGACACTACAAGAAAAGAAAATTACAGGCAAACATTCCTAATGAACATAGATTCAAAAATCCTCAACAAAATACTGGAGCAGAGCAGGTGCTCAATAGATCTTTGTTTCTTTGTTTCTCCTTCCCAAATCCACTATAGGCTTCATACCTGCTTGCATTTGCTCCATCTGTACTTTTGGACTGCAAAAACCATTTCTCAACCCCTCAGACCCTAGTCAAATAGCATCCCCCTTGACAAAATTCATTTTCCCTTCATCTAAGTGTGAAATCCAACTCTAGCACTAATTTTCCTAACTCAACACCACCCTGATGTCAGAATCAAGTCCACTCATCAAGCCCACCCAGGCTTGGTCCAGAACCTTGCAACTGGTGGTCCTCAATGATTTTTGGGGTTTCAATGAGTTCCCTCTAGCTCCCCCAATTCTCCTTCCTTGCTTATCTACACACCTTGTCTTTCATGCCTCAGTACTTTTCTTTAAATCTTACCTGACCCCTACTGCATAGCATACTCCCTCCTCTGACTTCTTACTATGCCCCGGCTCTGCCTAGTCTGTAATTTGGGCCATTAGTTATTGTTGCCTTATGACATCTCCTCTATTATTCTTTGTATATCTTGTAAAGTTGCTTAAGATTTAATCTTTCTACACTGCAAATCATTAGAGGCAGGCAGAAACAGTGCCTTCCTTGTGTTTCTGTGTGTCTTTCATGAGGCTAAACACAATGCCATGCATATGAGTGCAAAATAAATATTTGCTTTGATTTGGTTTGTGATAGCACATGTGTAGATCTATCCCTAGGGCCCTAGTACTATGATTGACTAAAGAAGTATGCTTTATGCTCTGATTCTGTCTCCCACGCCTCTGAAACTTGATCCCTTATAGACATTTGAGAACACATGTACGATTTTCCTGGGGTCTGCAGACTCCAGCAGGGACTGCTAATCATGCACCAAAATCAGTTCTGCCCTTCTTTCTGTGCTCATTTCAATACGCCATTTCTTAGCCTTTTGCTGTAGCACATCAAAAAGCTTCCAGCTGACACTGAGACAAGTGGAAAAAAGTGAAGGTGATGCATGCCACTTCCAGGCTGGTGCTTCAAAACCAAGGTTCTCAAGAGGATGCTACTAATTTGAGTGGCCATAGAAAATGCTCCAAAATTTCAATTCTACCTTAGACCAATTCCCTAAAATCAGTTATTTCATTCTCTCTCTTCCCTATCTACCTTTTCACCTTATCTGCTGCTATTATCAAGTGAATGATTATGTAGTATTACCACATTGAGGATATGAAGAGTGTCCTGGAACTGGATGTGCCAAACGACTAAGACACAATCCCCACCATGGAGATTTTCCCAATGTTTTAGGCAAGGAACAGACACCAAATATCAGGCAAATACTGTGCAGTAGATGGAGAGATGTAAGAACAAATTGGCCAGGACAGAGTGAGGAAGAGGACAAGAGAGAAGGCCGGGCATACAGTGGAATATAGAGGGATAAATGTTGACTAATTAAAGGCACGCAGGAACAAGAAGGACAAGTTGAAACTGTTGAGGAAAGGTATTCTATAGAGAAGGATTTGTAGTGTTTGGAGGAGAACACTTGTTGTTTAGTGAGGTTGAAGCGTAAGGTGAAAAGACAAATCTAGAGGAGTAAGTGGTATTAGACTTGAAAAGCTTGTCAGCTAAACTCTAGAATTTGAACAGAGAGGAAACTGAATGGAGCCCATAGAAGTCTCTGTTCAAAACCCGGCATTCCTTCTCCTAACACTCACTCATCTGTTAGGGAAACTGGTTACAGTCCTGATATTTTATCTACTCCTTCCTCTCTCAAAGGAATATGACTCAATTGTCCACATTATGGATTTGCTGAAAGCCTTGCAATTCTATTCATCTGTGACTTAAATGGAAAGAACAGTGATAATTTTCACTAGGAAAACTTGATTCATGAGCTCTTCAGCTATAGCTCACATCTCACTGAGCACTGTAATTCTCTGCTGTCTACACATCCTGGCCAAAGTAGCAAAACTTCCAGTGAAGACCCAAAAATAGAACCTCAATCCAGGTTCTGTGAGTGAAGAGATGTCTGTTTTGTTATCAAGTTGATTCTAACTCAGCCCAGAAATAAAATAGTATATCAAAGCCACACATTTTAATATACAAGAAAATCCACACTAAACTTTTATTCTCTTTTGACTTATGTTCAGTAGCTTAATATTCTGAAGACCAGCTTGACCAGAAGGAATGCTGTCTAAGAAGTCACCACTGATTATTTTCTGTCAAGTAGCTACAAATCCAGAAAAATATGCAAAACAGTTGCTAAACAGAGGTTCCTAGAAACATACAGTGTGAGTTCTTGCATCTCCTGCTCTTAAGTTTGCCTCTAGTGGTGTTATTTCTTCCCTGCAGTGTCAGCTAGCACTTGCCATTTCCCATCTCCCTCCCTCTGTCCCATGACTCCAATCATGTGACCTAATAATGCCTTTTAGCTACGTTAGATTAATTGCACCATTTGTTAGAAAATCCAGGGAGGATGTAAGAAGAGAGAAAGTTAATAGCTGACTCAGCTGTTTCTCACTGAATCTTAATCCCATGTGTTCAATACTGTGAAAATCAAAAGCTAAGATAACCTCAAAACTGGAAGGGTCCTTAAGGCTACATTAAATAAAAGGTGCCCAAAGTCACTCAGATAATTAGAAACATCCGTCTTCTAAGCTGCCTTTTGGATTCTCCTGGACAACGATACACATGTTAATAAAGTTGCAACCTGCGTAATCTAAAACTGAAAACTAAGACTTCTATTCTTCTGATTCCAGCTAAGGAAAATGATGAGCAAATCTGAAAGGTCAACATAAACATTATTGTTTGGCTTTAGGACAGTGGGATACGAATGTCTTTCCTCCCACTGCATTTATCATTAACACATATATCCTCATTTCTAAAATGAGGTAAAAACACTAACCCATTATTGTATACAATGGAATTTCATGTAATACCTAGTAGTATTTATGGGTAATGACAGTGACACCAAATGAATATAAGCTGGGAATTCAGGACTTATAAAAATAAAGCAATTTTCCCATTCTTACGTCAGAAGCAATTGTTTGTAAATTTTACAATTTTTAAACACAAAATTTTAGGACTTAGAGGATAAGTCTGACTAATGCTCATATAACTATATAAATAAAACTTGTGGGTTAATATCAAAGATCAAATCTAAGTTAATTCATTGTATATTCCAAAACCTATTCAATGTCTTTTAATATTTACTATTCTTGGAATATAGTGGGATAGGTAAAAGAGGGAACAAGAAAAGATACTGTAATTCTGAGCGTTAATTCTTTTTCATTGGGAAGAGACAGATGAGGAAGGAATAAATGAGACTGTCTGTTGATATAATCTTACATATACAAAACCCTAAAGATTTCACCAAAAAAACTGTTAAAAGTGATCAATTCAATAAGATGCAAGTTATAAAATCAACATGCAAAAATCAGTAGTGTTTCTGTACACTAATAACAAACTATCTGGAAAAGAAATTTTAAAAATAATCTCATTCACAATAGCATCAGAAAAAATACTTAAGAGTAAATTTAACCAAGGAGGTGAAAGATCTCTACACTAAAAGCTATAAAACATTGATTAAAGAAATTGAAGATGACACAATAAATGGAAAGATATTCTGTGTTTATGGATTGAAAAAATTAGAATTGTTAAACTATCCATAATACCCAAAGCAATGATTTACAGACTCAATACAACTCCTTTTAAAATTTCAATGTTATTTTTTTATAAAAATAGAAAAAAAATCCTAACATGCATATGGAACCACAAAGACCCTGAATAGCCAAAACAATCTTGAGCAAAAAGAACAAAGTAGAAGGCATCACATTTCCTGATTTCAAAAATATTATGAATGTATTGTAAAAACAAAACAAAACAAAAAAACAGCATGGCACTGGCATAAAAACAGACGCCTCAACCAATGAAACACAATAGAATGCCCAGAAATAACCCGAAGTGTTTATGGCCAATTGATATTTGACAAATGTGCCAGGAACACAAATTGGGAAAAAACAGTCATTTTAATAAATGGCATTCTTCTACATGTGGATATACTTATCTCACACTCATATGCAGAAGTCAACTCAAAATGAATAAAATACTTAAACGTAAGACCTGAAACTGTGACACTACACAGTTAATGTTCAATACTGTGAAAATCAAATTGAGGATACTCTCCATGACATTGGTGTGGGCAAGATTTCTTGGACAGGACTCCAAAAGCACAGGCCACAAGAGCAAAAGTGGACAAATTGGGATCACATTCAACTCAGAAACTTCTGCACGGCAAAAGAAACAATTAACAGAAGTAACAGACCACCCACGGATGGGGAGAAAATATTCACAAGCCATACATCTGATAAGCAACTAATATTCAAAATATATAAGGAACTCAAACAACTCAAGAGCAAGAAAACAAACAACATGATTAAAAATGGGCAAAGGATCTGAACAGGCATTTCTCAAAATAACAGAAAGGAATGGCTAACAGATACATGAAAAATGCTCAGAATCTTTAATCATCAGGGAAATGTAAATTTAAAACACAATGAGATATTGCCTTACATCTGTTAAAATAGCTATTATCCAAAAGAGGAATGATAAGTGTTAGCAAGGATCTGGAGAATAGGAAACCCTTGTATGCTGTTGGGAACATAAATTAGTACAGTCATTTTGGGAAAAAGTATGAAGTTTCCTCAAAAAAACTAAAAATATAATTACCATATGACCCAGGAATTGCACTCTGGATATATATTTAAAGGAATTGAAGTTGGTATGTTGAAGAGATGTCTGTACTCCCATGTTCATTTCAGCATTATTCACAATAGCCAAGATATGGAAGCAACATAAGTGGTCATCAATGATAGTATGGATAAAGAAAACATACTATATTACACAATGGAATACTATATAGCCTTGAAAAAGAAGGAACTTTTGTCATTTGTGACAACATAGATGGAGCTGGAGAACACTGTGCTAAGTGAAATAAGCCAGTCATGGAAACAAATACTGTATAATCTTACTTGTTTGTGGACTCAGAAAAAATGTGATCTCATAGAAACAAAAAGTATAGAGGGATTACCAGTAGCTAGGGGAGAGGAGGAGGGATGGGGAATGGAAAGATGTTGATCAAAGGGTACGAAGTCTCTGTTAGACTGGAGGAATCAGATTTAGTGATTGGTTGCACTGCATTTTGACCATAATTAATAATAATGTATATTTCATAATTGCTAAAAAGAATAGATTTTTAACATTCTCATCACACCAAAAAAAAAGCAATAAGGTGATAGATATGTTAATTACCTTGATTGACTCTTTCTACAATGTATACATAGATCAAAACATCACACTGTACCCCATAAATGTGGACTATTATTTGTCAATTATAAATAAATATTTTAGAAAACTAAAACTCTCTACAAAAAAATTAAGGAATCATGAATATGATACAGAAATATTGAACTTAATAAAACCAGGCAGCAGGAATATAAGAAGATCAACACAGCGTTGTACATACTTGTTCTGAGATTGTGTTGCCCAGAGGTGTGGGGAGACCGTAAACCCTTTGAGGACTGTGTATGTTTTCTCTCACTCTTCTTAGTGCTATATAAGCATGAGAGTTCGCATTTGGGAGGTAAAAGGGTTATAGAGCCAATCCTTTTCTGTAAAAGATGGGGCTTAGGCTTGTGTGCTGAGGTTTGCCCAGAGTTATAGAGCTAGAAAAAACCCTGGGTTTCCCGACTCCTTACGTGATGCTTGCTATTCTTATGCTTGCTACCACTGCTACACAAATAAATAAATATTATTATTACAGGGAAAAATCACAATAACCGCCCTCTAAAGCTGGGTTCTCCAGGGCGTGAGGACTCCTCCGGATTTTGAATTATTTGTTAAGTTGAAGGTCCATTATGATGGAGAAAATGTAATACTTTTCTGTATGTGTTTTTAATGGGATTTGACCTGTGGTGCCTTCCTCTGACAACTTAAGAATTTTCCAGCCATCCTTGAATATCTTTATGAAGGTAGCTAGAAAACAGTAGGAACTTTACTTTACAGAGGAGGAAATTAAGGGGTGAGGTGACTTCTGGAAGGGACATCAGTGAATGAGTGGAAAGCTAAAATAATGATGTGTTTAATCTTCATTAGCAAGGGCAGGGACTGAATGTGTCCAGATGAAATACGGCTTGCTGAGAATGTTGTAATCAGTGATGGTGGATATAAGTCCAGTCACTGAACAGCCTTGCCTCACAGCTTTTCCCTCACCCTGGGAAACAGACATTCATGTGGCTAATCTAGTCATACACTTGCTCAGATATTGATAGCAATTTATTTTATTGCAAAATGTTCCGTTTCTTCTAATCATCTTTTTCTCTCTTCTTAGTGACCCTAGGGCGCCAGTGAGCCATTCATCACACACAGAACCTCACAAGGAGGATGACTCACACACACATCAACAAGCTCTGTCTCTGTTTCTTACTTTATCCATCTCAATAGACTGTCTTGAGATATTCTCAGTTAGATTAAAAGTGGATATGAAGGTGAGTCTGTCTATTCACTCCTTTAAGTAATTGCAATGAAACTATAACTATAATATGGGGTGCATATTGTTTGATTTTTAAAATGTCAATAACATTGTTTCAAGGCTATTCTCTGATGTTATGGGGTAGTCGAGAATATTTGCTTGTTAAAAGGAACCACCCATTAGGGACCAGGCATTGGATTAGGAAGCTATATGTTTAAATAATCACAACAAATCTATGAGGTACATAATCTTATACCCATTCTATTGGTGAAGAAACAAGACTATACAACAAGAAAGTGTCAGAACCAAGATGTGGAATGTGCACTCTCCACTATCCACGCTGGGCTCCTAAGTACTGGGAAGAGGTGAGACTATTTTCTGTGCCTCAGTGTTATAATGTTGGCCATCTGCAATTGCCATCCCAGTTATTAGAAAGCCCTTTATGTGGCTCTGGGGCTGAATGTAGGTGCACAGCATAAGCACATGAGTATCCACAACAGCCTTGCTTTTCCTCTGTGTAGTGATATGTTGGAGGTTTTTTAATAAACAGGATGATAAAAGAACATTCATTCCATGAGGTGGAAAACAAGAGGGACCTATTGTAGAAGACAGATGGCAAGAATGAAAATGCTAGATAGTATGAACTCATTCGAGGAACGAGACACCCTGATTCTAAAGTTCAAGTTGCAGCTGCACCCATGTGCCTTGACTGCAATAAGGATCAAAGAAATGTGATGTATTTCTGCTCATATCCTGTGCTGTGCACATGATCATTGTGTGTGTGTGTGTGTGTGTGTGTGTGTGTGCATCTCTGTGTGCACGTGTGCTCTAACAGGTCACAGCCAGGAGAGCCCAGTCAGAGAAATCTACAGCAGCAGTAGCACTGTTCTCTGCCTGACAATAAAACACCATGGAAGACTCGCCCCTGAAGAGAGGTCCTGGGCTCCCCATGAGAACGGACTGAGGATGATAAAATGTGTGCGTCTAGCCTCACATGCTTTTGTTCTTCTACAGGGGCACTGCTCAGAGGCACTTTTCAGATACAACAGCTCGTTTTAGAAAGTCTCCCTGGCAGGTGACCTTGAAGCATCCACTCAAGTTCTTTGGGGGTATAATTTGCTCCGTCTAGAAATTCAATTAAATTGAAGTCAATGTCTCAAATATGTATTAAACAGTAATTATGTGCACAGCAGTGTATTAAATACAAACCATGAAAGATGTAGAGATTAATAAGCTATAATCTTTCAAGGAGTTAATTTTATAACAGAATTAAGATGTTTATCCGAATAATGATAATAAAAGGCTGAGTGTTAAGAGTCCTAGTTTACCACTGAGCTGAGCCAAGGTATTGGTAGAATTTGAACCACCAGAGTAAAGGGTGGCCTGCACAGAGAAACAGCATGGGCACAGGCCAGGGGAAATAGCATGTATTAGTTTTGACTGGTACATGGATTGCATGAGGGAGAATAAGTGACAAGCCTGGCGGCAAGGACAAATTATATGGTGGACAGGGATGGAGAAAGAATCAACCCAGCTAGTGATCAGAAGGTCACTGGTGACTTTCCCAGCAGGCGTTTTGATGAAGCAGTGTGATCAGAAGTCAGTTTGAAAAGCTAAAGTTGAGGAAAGTGGCATGTCGGGAGGTAGAAGCAGTTAAATGTCAACAGTCTTATAAAACATGTGGAGCTTAAAAGTTTCTATTGTAACAGCATACACTGCCTGCTATTCTCTTCTTCTAGTGTTTGGCTTAAGACCCATTAACACAAAGCATTAACTCCCGATTAGCTAATGGAGAATCTTATAAATCAACACAAGTGGTTGTTACTTGTGACGCTACACTCACACAAGGGCAGTTTTCACTGTTGTCCTTAGAGGTAGTAGAGCAGGAGGATTAAGTATATTTCAGTGTTTTAAATGATGCTTAGAAGACAAAAGAAGAATTTCATAAGATGTTAGTCTGTTTGCTGAAAGACAGTGAGTTAGAATGGAATTCAAGAGGCTTTCCATAGCATGTGGAACATGCAAGAAAAATTTTTCCCTAAACTACCTCAGAGAAGATCGCTACCAGTTTGGCAACCACTGCTACTTACTTTTAAGTAATTAGGTTATGGCTTAGCTACTGGGTCTAATTGCAGGCTATAAGTTAATACTGTTTCAGTCCCTAAAGGAAATACTCCTTGTTGCGTTTCTAGCTCAGAATGTTCCACAATGTTTCTAAATAAACTCTGCAGTCTGGTTTGTCCTTTTGTCTGCAGAATTGTGTAACAGACCAATCAGGTGTGGTTTTTTTTGTTTTGTTTTGTTTTCTTTTGGAGGTTTTTTTGTTTTGTTTGTGCAGAAATACCTTAGCTATTAGGAATTAAATGTAAGAGGTTTTCAACAATTCCTCCTAGCTCTTTCTGGCAAAAAGGTAATTGAGCCAAAAGGTTAACAGATTCAGAAACTTGAGGTAAAAACATGTAGGAAGCAAAACAGGGTTAATTCGGTCAAACTGCACCCCTCTTTCTTCATGTCCTTAGTCTGTTGCTTAAGCTTTTTGTTTGCCTTTTGCAAAGAAATCTTTTAAGGAGGCAATTTGGATTAATTTAGTCTTTTGCGTGCCTCCCAGTACCAATTAAAAAATACATCCCAGTATTTTGGGGGGGTGGTTCTGATCTCTGTTTTTTCTGAATATGCCTCACAAGTAAACAATTCTGTCCAAATTAAATGTCACCACTGTGGCCACTTTAATTTTAGATTACCTTTAGAAAGGCTAACTCTACCTATCTACAGAGCCCAGTTGAGTTCTGTCTGACCCAGTCAGACTGAGGCCTCCCTGTAGGACTGGGTCCTGTTTCTGTCATGATTCTCAAATGCTCTCTCAAGCACAAAACCCTGGATTCAAATGCCGAAAAGATCAAAATTACCTACCCCAAGGCCTTTAACTGGATCCAATCTAGTTAACTGTTGAATCCAATTTGATTTTGAACCCTGTTCAGACTCTAACTTAATCAGATGCCTGGCCTCTTAAGTGAAATCCAATTCAGTAAAACAGGAGAAAAAAGAAAGAAAAAAAAAAGGAGAGAGAGAAAAAGGAACAAAGGTCGCTGAGATAAACGTGGAGAGCTCAGAACACAAAATAAGTGGAAGTTAGAATCCCAGAGAGAGGCTCACCCAGCAATTCAGGCCCAGAAAAGAGATCCCTGGGCTCAATGGGCCCTGGAGGGCACTTACACAGTTGCTTTCTGTTCCTGGGATGGTCACTGGAAGTTCAGATCCTGTCGACTGGGTCAATCTGTTAAAGAAAAGTCCAAGTTAAATTAAATTTAACAAACTTTATTTGAGCAAGAAAAGGATTCTAGAACCAAGCAGCCCTCTACACTGAAGATGGTTCAGAATGCCCCCACCTCCGATGAGGTGAGCTACATTTATAACCAGAGAACAAGCAATGACATAAAGAGACTACCTGATTTGTGCAGTTTGGCCTAGGCTTTATTTGAGCAGAATGTGTTAGTTTTCAGCCTGGGATCACTTGGTTACAAAGGTAAACTCCTAGGTTAGGTTACAACTTGTTTACACATCAACTAAGGTAAAGTTCACAAAGTAAGGAGACCAACAGGGGACAAACCGTATTACCCCAGTACAAAGGACACTTTGAGCCAAACTTAAATCTAACACTGTATTTAACCCACTGAAAACATCACCAAGGAAAAAAGAAACCAACACTTTAGCTGGTGTGGTAGTGTGCACCCATAGTCCCAGCTGCTCCGGAGGCTGGGGTGGGAGGATCACTTGAGCCCAGGAGTTCAACACTGCAGTCAGTTAGCTATGATTGCACCACTGTACTCCAGCCTGGGCCACAGAGCAAGACACTATCTCTAAAAACTGAAAAATTGTAAAAATGTATTCCTTCTGTCTAATTGAGACTTTGTACCCTTTGACCACCATCTTCCCATTCCCCCAACATCCCGTGCCAGCATCTTTTGATCACCATCCTACTCTGTTTATTTGATGTTGATTGTTTTAAATTATACAAATAAGTGAGAATTTGCTATTTGTATTTCTGTTTCTGGCTTATTTCACTTAGTGTTCTCCAATTCCATCTATGTTGTCGCGGCCTTTCCTTTTAAGGCTCAATAATATTCCATTGTGTCTACATACCACATTTTCTTTAACTATTTTTATCTGCTGGTGGACATTTAGGTTGATGACATAACTTGGTGAATGTGAACAGTGCTCCAATGAACTTGGCAGTGGTGGACATCTCTTTGATAAACTGATTTTAATCTTCTGGGTAAATACCCAGCAGTGGGATTAGTGGATCAAATACTAGTTCTATTTTTAGTTGTGTGTGCTTTTTTAGGAAACTCCATATAATTTTCCATAATGGCTGTATTAATTTACATTTCCCCCAACAGCATATAAAGGTTTCTTCTCCACTTCCTCACCAACACTTAACTTTCATCTTTTTTATAATAGTGATTCTGACAGGTGTGAGGTGCTATCTCCTTGTGGTTTTAACTTGCATCTTCTTAATATTAGTGATGTTGAGCATTATTTTGTATATCTTCTGTGGGCCATTTTATGTCTTCTTTTGAGAAATGTCTATTCAGGTCCCTTGCTCATTTTAAAATTGGATTATTTGTTTTCTTTCAATAGAGTTGCTTTAGTTACTTATATAATTTGGATATTAACTTCTATCAGATTTTTGGCTTACAAATATTTTCTGCCAATTCATAGCTTGTTGCTTCACCCTGTTGTTTCCTTTTTTGTGCAAAAGATTTTTAGTTTGATGTAATCTTATTTGTCTACATTTGCTTTTGTTGCCTGTACTTCTGGGGTCAAAACTAAAAAATCATTGCCTGGACCAATGTCATGTAATTTCCCCACTATGTTTTCTTCTGGAGGTTTTATAGTTTTAGTCTTATTTTTCAGTGTTGAATCTATTGTGAGTTTATTTTTATATATGGCATGAGATAAGGGTCCAATTTCATTCTTCTGCATATGCATATACAGTTTTCCTAACACTATTGATTGAAGAGATTGTCCTTTACCCACTGTGTGTGTGTGCGTGTGTGTGTGTGTGTGTGTATTTTTTTTTTTTTTTTTTTTGAGACAGAGTCTCACTCTGTTGCCCAGACTGGAGTGCAGTGGTGCAATCTTGGCTCACTGCAGGCTCTGCCTCCCAGATTCAAGTGATTCTCCTGCCTCAGCCACCCAAGTAGATGGGATTACAGGCATGCACAACCGCGCCCAGATAATTTTTGTATTTTTAGTAGAGACAGGGTTTTGCCATGTTGCCTAGGCTGGTCTCGAACTCTTGAGCTCAAGCAATCTGCCCATCTCAGCTTCCCAAAGTACTGGGATTAAAGACATGAGCCACCACGCCCAGCCAACACATTGTATATTCTTGGCACATTTGTTGAAAATCAACTAACAGTACATGTGAGAGTACATTTCTGGGCTTTTCCTTCTATTCCATTGGTCAGTGAGTCTATTTTTATACTATTGCCGTGTTGCTTTAATTACCATTGCTTTGTAGTATGGTTTTAACTCAGGTAGTGTGATACCTCCAGCTTTGTTTCTTTTGCTCATGACTACCTTGGCTATTGATGGCTTTTTGTGGTTCCATATAAATTTGAGGATGGTTAAGCACAGCACGTTGATTCACATCTGTAATCCCAGCACTTTAGGAGGCCAAGACAGGAGAATTGCTTGATCCCAGGAGTTCAAGACCAGCCCAGCAATAAAATAAAACCCTATCACTACAAACAACAACAAAAAATTAGCCAGGCATGGTGATCCATGCCTATAGTCTCAGCTACTGAGGAGTCTGAGGCAGGAGGATCACACAAGCCCAGAAGCTCAAGGTTATGGTGAACTATGATCATGCCACTGTGCTCCAGCCTAGGCAATAGAGCAAGACCCTATCTCTTAAAAAAAAATTAGGATTTTTGGCCAGGTACAGTGGCTCATGCCTGTAATCCCAGCACTTTGGGAGGCTGAGGCAGGCGGATCACGAGGTCAGGAGATCAAGACTATCCTGGCTAACACGGTGAAACCCCATCTCTACTAAAAATACAAAAAATTAGCCAGGCGTGGTGGTGGGTACCTGTAGTCCCAGCTACTTGGGAGGCTGAGGCAGGAGAATGGTGTGAACCTGGGAGGTGGAGCTTGAAGTAAGCCGAGGTCGTACTGCTGCACTCCAGCCTGGGTGACAGAGCGAGATTCCCTCTCAAAAAAAAAAAAAAGATTTTTTTTTTTATTCATTTGAAAAATGACACTGGACTTTTGTTAGTGATTGAATTGAATCTGTAGATTACTTTGGGTAGTATGAACATTTGAACAATATTTTTTCATGGATTGGATTGTCTTCCAATTCATGAAGACAAAATATCTTTTCATTTATTTATGTCTTCTTGAATTTCTTTCACTAAAATTTTATAGTTCTCAGTGTACATGTTTTTATCTCCTTTGTTAAATTTATTCCTAGGCAGTTTTTATAGCTATCATAAATATAATTGTTCTTTTGATTTCTTTTTCAGAAAATTGATGGCTACTGTATAAAAACACTAGTGATTTTGGTGTGTTGATTTTGTATCCTGCCACTTTACTGGACTTGTTTATTAGATCTAATATTTTTGTGACGTCTTTAGGGTTTTGTATGTATAAGAGAATGTAGCTTCAAACAGAAATGACTTCACTTCCTCTCTTCTGTTTTGAATGCCTTTTATTTCATTTTCTATTCTAATTACTCTGGCTAGGACTTCCATTACTATGTTGAGTAGAAGTGATGAGAGTGGGCATTATTCTCTTGTTCCAGATCTTAAAGGAAAGAGTTTCATTGTTTTGCCATTGAGTTTAATGTTAGCTGTGGGCCTATAATATATTGCCTTTATTGTGTTGAGGCACATACCTTCTATTCCTAATTTGTTGAGAGTTTTTATCATAAAAGGTTATTGAATTTTTTAATGCTTCCATGTCTAATGAGATGATCCATGGTTTTTGTGCTTGATTCTGTTAATGTGGTATATTACATCTTTGATTTGCGTATGCTGAACCATCCTTGCATCACTTCATCATGGTGAATGATCATTTTAATGTTCCATGGAATTTAGTTTACTAGTATTTTGTTCAGGATTTTTGCATCTATGTTTATCAAGGATATTAGCCTGTAGTTTTTTTTTCCTTTGGATGTCCTTATCTGCCTTTGGTATTCAGTGTAACTCTTGCCTTGTAAAAAGAATTTAGAAGTATTTTCTCCTTTTCCACTTTTTGAAGAGTTTGTGAAGGATTAGTATTAGTTCCTTTTAAAAATGTCTGGTTAATTTAAATTCTGAAATTCAGCAGTGAAGCCATTAGGTCCCGGCTTTTCTTTGATGGGAGACTTTTTATTACTGTTTTGATTTCGTTGCTCATTGTCTGTTCATGTTTTGTATTGCTTCATGGTTCAATAGGGGTAGGTTGCATGTATGCAGGAATTTATCCATTTCTCCTAGGCTTTCCAATGTGTTGTCATACAGTTGTTCATAATATTCTCTAATTATCTTTTGTATTTCTGTGGTATCAATTGTGATGTCTCCTCTTTTGTCTCTGACCTTATTTATTTAGATATTTTAAAAAATTTAGCCTAGCTGAAGGTTTGTTGACTTTTTTACCTTTTCAAAAAGCTAAACTTTCAATGATCTGTGTATTGTTTCCCTACTCTCAATTGTATTTATTTCTGCTCTGATCTTTATCATTTCATTTCCTTCTACTAATCTTGGGTTTGGTTTGTTCTTGCTTTCCTAGTTTCCTTGAGGTACATTGTTAGGTTATTTATTTGAAGTCTTACTGTTTTTTTTGATGTCGGCATTTATTGCTATGAACATCCCTTGTGGTGCTTCTTTTGCTGCATTCAGTAGATTTGGTTTATTGTATTTCCATTTTAACTTGCTTTAAGATAATTTTAATTTTATTCTTAATTCTTCATTGACCCCTTGATTTTCAGGAGCATGATTTTTAAATTTCTCCATATTTGTACGGTTTCCAAAGTTCCTCTTGTTACTGATTTTTACTTTTATTCCATTGTGATCTGAGAAGATGCTTCATATGACTTTGACTTTGTTCAGGCTTGTTTTGTGGCCTAAAATATGATCTATCCTGAAGTATGTTTCATGTGCTGATGAGAAGAATGTATGTTTGGTATCAGTTGGATGAAATGTTCTGTAAATGTCAGTTAGGTCCACACAGTAAAGAATGCAGTTTAATTCTAATGTTTCTTTGTTAATTTTCTGTCTGGACAATCTGTCAGGGTGGGGTGTTGAAGTCTCCTACTATTATTGTATTGCAGTCTATCTTCACTTTTCTATCTATAATATTTGCTTTATATATTCAGGTGCTCCAATGTTGGGTGTATATACATTTACAATTGTTATATCCTCTTGCTGAATTGATCTTTTTATCATGGTATAATAGCCTTCTTTCCCTCTTTTTACAGTTTTTGATTTGAAGTTTATTTTATATAATATAAGGATAGCTACTACTGCTCTTTTATGGTTTTCATTTTTCATTTTTTCACTCTCTGTGTGTTTCTATAGATGAAGTTAGTTTCTTATAGGCAGCATATAGTTAGATCTTTTAAAAAATCTATTCAGCTACTGTATTTCTTTTAATTGGAGAATTCCATTTTCATTCAATGATATTATTGATAGGTAAGGAGTTAGTACTGCCATCACATTATTTTCTTTCTGGTTGCTTTGGAAGTCCTCTTCTCTTGTCTTCATTTCTTACTGTTCTCCTTTGTGGATATGTGATTTTCTCTCATAGTACGTCTTAATTCCCTACTTTTTATTAATCGTGTATCTATTATAGGTTTTTGCTTTGTGGTTACCATGAGGCTTGCAAAAAGATATCTTATAGTTATATTAAGTTATTTTAAATTTATGACAACTTATCCTTGATCACAAAGTAAAGAAATAAGCAAAGAAAAAAACAAAAGTTCACACTTTGACTTCATTCCTTCATCCCACATTTTGACTTTTTGTTTTCTCAATGTATGTATTTTCATATTTTTAAATCTTTTTTAATCTCTTAAAAATTGTTATAGTTTTTATTTCGATAAATTTGTCTTTTATTCCTCATACTAAAGATACAAGAGCCTTACATACTACGACTATACTATTAGAGTATTCTGAATTTATCTGTGTATTTACTTGTGAGTTATATTCCTCCAGATGTTTTCTTGTTGCATGTTAGCATTCTCTCTTCCATATTGAAGAAGTAGCATTTTTGTAAAACAGGTGGTGGTAATGAATTTCCCCAGTTTTTGCTTGTCTAACTAATTCTATGTGTCTTTTTGACGTAAGCAGGATAGCTTTGCTTGGTACACTATTTCTGGTTGGTAGTTTTTGTCCTTCAGCATTTTGAATATGTCATCCTACTCCCTCCTAACCCATAAGTTTTCCACTGAGAAGGCTACTGTCAGATGTATCAAAGACCTTTTATATGTTTTGTTTTTGTTTTCTCTTGCTTATTTTAGGGTCCTTTCTTTTTCCTTGATCATTGAGAGTTTGATAATTATATGAGTTGGGGTAGTCTTCCTTGGGTTGAATCTGCTTGGTGACTTTGACTATCTTATACCTGGTAGTTTATATCTTTCTCTAGGTTTGGAAAGTTTTCTATTATTACTTTTTTGAATAAACTTTCTATTCCTATCTTATTCTCTACTCTCTTTTTAAAACTAATGCCTTAACATCACCCTTTTGAGGCTATTTTCTCTATATCATAAATGTTCCTCATTCTTTTTCATTCTTTTTTGCTTTTTTCTCCTCTATGTATTTTCAAATAGCCTCTCTTTGAGCTCGTGAAGCCTTTCTTCTGCTTGATTAATTCTACTGTTGAGACCTTTCATGCATTTTTCACTATGTCACTTGTATTTTCAGCTCTAGGATTTCTATTTGATTTTTGAAAATTATTTCAATCTCTGCTGAATTTCTCTGATGTTTCTGAGTTGCTTCTCTGTGTCTTTTTGAAGTTTATTAAGCTTCCTCAAAACAGCTATTTTGATTTCTCTGTCTGAAAGGTCACACATCTGCATCTCTCCATGGTTGGTCACTGGTACCTCATGGTACCACTGCTACCTTTTGGGTGAGGTCATAGTTCCCTGAACATCCTTGATGCTTGTGGACATACACTGATGTCTGGGCATTACAGATTTAGGTGTTTATTTTAGCCTTCATAGTCTGGCCTTGTGTTATACCCATCTGTCTTCAGAGTGCCTTCCAGAAATTCAAAGTAAACTGGCTGATAAGTTATCTAAACCTGTAGTCACTGCAGTCATTACAGTACTGGAGAGTGCCCTAAGACCGTATATGCCGTGATTCTAGTGCAGACTCCTAGATATTCAGCGCTGATAGACTTGAAGAACAGGAAGAATTCCCTGAGTTCCTAGGGAAAGTCTCTTGCTCACTTTTCTTTCTTTCCCCCAAGCAGAAGGAGTCTCTCTGTGTTGTGCTGCCTGGAGTTGACGAAGGGCAACAAAGACACTTCTGTAGCCACTAGAGCTGGCCCAAAGCTAGGTTGCATCTGAAGCCCATGGCCTTCCAGACAAGTACTACAGTCACCCAAGGCCTGCAGTCATTTCTGCCTGACTACCACTGATGTTTATTCAAGGCCCAAGGCCACTTTAGTCAGCTGGTGGTGAAGTCTGCCAAGACTTAGGTTTGTCCTGCTTGAGTGGCAGATTCCCTTCAGGCCAAGGGTGGGTCTAGAAGCTCCATATTGGAACAATTGCATGAATTCAGATCTTGAGGTTCTGCCTAGTGCTGCATTGTTCTGTGGTGGGTGGGGCTGGTCCCTTCTACTTTTTCCTCTCCTTATTCAGAGTAGAAGGATTCTGTCTCCACGCTGCACTGCCTGGTGTTGGGGAAGAGGCGACAAGAGCACTCCCATGACCTCCACAGCTGGTATCACTCTGGGTCATACCACAAGCCCACAGCCTCCCAGAACAGTGCATCACTGGGGTTTACCCAAGGACCATGATTGCTATAGCTTGGCCACCACTGAAATTTATTCAGGGCGGGGCCCAAGGCCACTTCATTCAGCTGTTGTTAAAGGGGACTTGTACTCAGGTTTCTCCTGATAGGGTAGGAGATTTCCGTCTGGCCTGTGGCAGGTCTGAATTCTTCCTCCATGGGCACTGGCCTGGAATCAGGAGCAGTGGAATTCTTTTTTTTTTTTTTTTTTTTTTTTTAGACAGAAGCTCACTGTGTCACCCAGGCTAGTGTACAGTGGTGTGATCTCGGCTCACTGCAACCTCCACCTCCTGGGTTCAAGCAATTCTCCTGCCTCAGCCTCCTGAGTAGCTGGGATTACAGGCGCTCACCACCACACCCAGCTAATTTTTGTATTCTTGGTAGATACCGGGTTTTGCCATGTTGGCTAGGCTGGTCTCAAACTCCTGACCTCAAGTGATCCACCTGCCTCGGCCTCCCAAAGTGCTGGGATTACATGCGTGAGCCACTGCGCCTGGCCAATAGCAGTGGAATTCTGTTGAGTGCTTTGTACCACTGTGGTGAGATTGACACTGAGTTCCAATGCAGTCTCCCACTCACTTCCTTCTCTTTGTCTTAAGTATATAGATTCTGTCACTGCAATGCACTGCCTGGGGGTGGGGTAGAGTGGTATAGGTAATGTAAGACTATCCTTCATATCTTCTTCAACGTATCTTTTCTTGTTATTATGCAAAAATCAAGTACTACAATCTCTCACCTGATTTTTTAGTTTTTGTGAAGGTACTTTCTGTTTTAGATAGTTGCTCATTTTGATCTTCCTTCGCAGGGCTGGTGGGGTTACTCACTGGAGGTTTCTATTTATCCATCTTCCATTTGCTTTATAGTGTTGAATAATATTCCATTATCTGTATGTACCACAGTTTATCCATTCACCTACTGAAAGGCATCTCAGTTGCTTAATGTTTTGGTAGTTATGAATAAACTTGCTATAAATATTTGCGTTCACGTTTTTATGTGGACTAAGTTTTCAACTTCTTTGGTTAAATACCGGTGAGCACAGTTGCTAGTTCATAAGGGAAGAGTATGTTTAATTTTATGAGAAACCACCAAACTGTCTTCAAAAGTGGATGTGGCATTTTGCATTCCTGTCTGCACTGAGTGAGAGTTTCTTTTGCTCCACATTTCTGCCAACATATGTTGTTGTCAGTGTTCTGGATTTTGCCCTTTCCAGTGGATGTGCTGTGGTATCACCCTGTGGCTTTAATTCACACTTCCCTGATTATTATTCATATACCTATTTGTCATCTGTATATCTTCTTTGGTGAGATATATATTAAAGTCTTTGGCCCATTTTTAAAATTACATTGTTTGTGTTCTTATTTTTGAGTTTATGAGTTCTTTGTATGTTTTGAATAACAATTTTTTATCTGACAGATCTTTTGCAAATATTTTCTCCCACTCTGTAGCTTGTCTTTTTGTTCTCTTGACAATGTCTTCTGCAGAGCAGTTTTTTATTTTAATGAAGTTCAGCTTATCAGTTCTCTCCTCCATGGATCATGCCTCTGGTGTTTCATTTAAGAAGTCGTCACGAAACCCAACGCAATCTAGATTTTCTTCAATGTTACCTTCTAGAAGTTTTATAGTTTTTTATTTTACATTTATATCTGTGATCCATGTTGAGTCAGTTTTTGCAAAGAGTGTAAGTTCTGTGTCTAGATTCATATTTTTTTCATGTAGATTGTCTGAACACCGTTTGTTGAAAGGTTATCATTTCTCAACTGAATGCCTTTACTCCTTTGTCAGAGATCAGTTTGCTTTTATTAATCTGGATCTGTTTCTGGACACTCTATTCTCTTCCATTGATCTATCTGCCGTTTCTTTTGCCAATACCACATTTTCTTGAATACTGTAGCTTTCTGGTGTCTTAAAGTAACACAGCATCAGTTTTTAATTTCTTCATATAAATTTTAAAATGAGTTTGTTAATATCTATGAAATAACTAGCTGATATTTTGGTGGAGAATGTAATAAATTTATAGATCAAGTTGGGAAGAACTGAAATCATTACAGTATTGAGTCTTACTCTCCAGGAACATGAAATATCTATTTATTTAGTTCTTCCTTTTTATTGTTTATCAGAGTTCTATAGTTTTCTTCACATAGATCTTGTACATATTTTGTTAGATTTGTACCCAAGTATTTTATTTTTGTATGCTAATATAAGTAATATGATATTTTACATTATAGATTCAATTGTTCATTGCTGGTATATAAAAAGGTGATAGCCTTTTTGTATCAACCTTGAACCGTACATCCTGCTATAATTGCTTATTAGTTCCAGGAGGTTTTTTGATAAATTATTTTGGACTTTCTACATAAACATGTCATCTGCAAAGGAAGATAGTTTTATTTTTTTTCTTAATCTATATACATTTTTCTTTCATTCATTTTCTCATTGCATTAGCTAGGACTTCCAGTATGATAAATGGTGAAATGGAATATCCGTGCCTTTTTCTTCATCTTAGTGGGAAAGCTTTTAGTTTCTCACTATCAAGTATGTTAATTGTAGGACTTTTGTAGATATTCTTTACCAAGTTGAGGATGTTCTCTACTATTCCTAGTTTACTGAGAGTTTTTATTATGCCTGAGTGTTGGATTTTCACAAGTACTTTTTCTGCATTTATTGATAAACTAATGATTTTTCTTCTCTATCCTGTTGATGTGATGGATTACATTATTGATTTTCTAATATTAAACCAGTCTTCCATAACAGGGATAAATCCATCTTGGTCATGGTGTATAATTCTTTTCACATTGTTGGAATCTATTTGCTAAAGTTTTGTTGAGGATGTTTGCGTCTATATTCATAGAAAATGTTGGTTTGTAGTTTTCTTTGCCTTTAATATCTTTGTCTGATTTTGGTATTAGGTTAATAATGGGCACATAGAATGAATTAGGAAGTATTACCTCTGCTTCTATCTTCTGAGAGAGACTGTAGAGAATTGGCATAATTTCTGTCTTAAATGTTTGATAGAATTTAAGAGTGAATGTGTCTATGCCTGATGCCTTCAGCTTTGGAAAGTTATTACTGATTCAGTTCTTTTAAAATATATATATTTAGGTTTATTCAGAATGTTTATTTCTCTTTGAATGAGTTTTGGCAGATTGCACCTTTCAAGGAATTGGTACATTTCATCTAGGTTATCAAATTAGTGGGCATATATTATTCATGGTATTCTTTTATTATTATTTTCGTGTCCGTGAGATTTGTAGTGATGTCTGCTACTTCATTGCCGGTATTACTCATTTGTGTCTTTCCTCTTTTTTCTCAGTTACGTTGGCTAGAGCCTTATCAGTTTTATTTTTCTTTGCAAAGAACCAGCTTTTGGTTTCATTGCTTTTCTTTACCGATTTCCTGCTTTCAATCTCAAGCAGTTATTTATTTTCTTCTGCTTCCTTTGGGTTAATTTGCTCTTCTTCTAATTTCCTAAGGTAGAAATTTAGGGGATTGATTTTATATATCTCTTCTTTTTTAATACAGGTATTTGATGCTATAAATTTCCCTCTAAGCACTGCTTTCACTGCATCCTACAAATTTTGATGATACATTGGGCTTTCATTTTCATTAAGTCAAGGTTATATATGCAAATCATTGTCCACATCAACACCATGGAGCATTTCCTCTCTATTTTCATCTAAAAGTTGTGCAGTTTTAGGTCTTATATTTAAGGCTCTGATTCATTTTGAGTTGATTTTGGTATATGGTGTGAGACAAAGGTCTAATTCACTCTTTGACATGTGGATGTCCACTTTTCTCCACACCATTTATTAAAGAGGTAGCCTTTCCCTCATTGTATTCTTGGCATCTTTGTCAAAGTCAATTTGGCTGTAAATGTGTGGATTTGTTTCTGGGCTCTTTACTATGTTCCGTTGCTCTCTGTGTCCATTTTTATCCCCTTTTGATATTTTGGTTTTTGTTTTGTTTTTTGAGATGCTGTATTGTTCTGTTGCCCAGGCTGGAATGCAGTGGTACGGTCTCAGCACACTGCAGCCTCCACCTCCTGGGTCCAAGTGATCCTCCTGCCTTAGCCTCCCAAGTAGCTGGGACTACAGGCACCTGCCACCACGCCCAGCTAGTTTTTGTATTTTTAGTAGACTTGGGGTTTCACCATGTTAACCAGGCTGGTCTGAAACTGCTGACCTCAGGTAATCTGCCCACCTTGGCCCCTGAAAGTGCTGGGATTATAGGCATGAGCCACCGCACCCAACCTGATATTGTTTTGATTACTAAAGCTTTATAGTAGATTTTGAAATCGGGTAGAGTGATGTCTCTACCTTTGTTCTTTCTATTCAACACTGCTTTGTCAATCCAGAAATTTTTGTGGTTTTAAAGAAATTTTAGAATTATCTTTTCTATGTTTGTGAAAAATTTCTTTGGAATTTTGGCAGGGATTGTATTGAATTTGTAGATTGCTTTGAATAGTATAGAATATTTTACGATATCCTTTCTTCCAACACATAAACATGAGAATTCTTTCCATTTATTTGTCTTCGTTTTTATCAATGTTTTATAGATGTCAATGTACAAATCTTTCACCTACTTGGTTAAATTTATTTCTAAGTATTTTATTTTTGTGGCAATTATAAATGAGATTTTGTTGTTAGTGTAGAAACACTACTGATTTTTGTATGTTTGTTTATTTTTCTAAAACTTTACAGAATTTATTTGTTAGTTTTAACAGTTTTATAGTGAAGTCTAAAGTGTTTTGCCCATATAAGACATTGTCATCTGCGAACAGAGACAATTTAACTTCTTCTTTCCTCATTTAGATGTCTTTTACATGGGTCATAATCCCAATAGACAGAATCCAAACATTATAATCCCTAATGTTGAAATCCTTAAAGATCAAAATCTCTAAAGTCTAAAATTCGTAACATCTAAAGTCCTGAAAATCACAACCACAGGACTGTTAAGGCAGAAATATTATTTGCCTTTGTCCTTTTGAAGAAAAAACGGGTTTCAGTTAAATTCCCAAACCATAATGACAGATTTGGAATTAGGTGCAACCAAAACTTCTAAAAGTGAATTTCAATGTGTTATCAATAAAGTTGGTTTTTTCAAGTCAGCACAGTACACTTGGTGAAAAATTCAGATGAGTGAATTGGCCATGTAATATGGCAACGATGTAAACTTCAGTTTAAAAATGCATCATTTGCCTGAGTTGGCATTCCTTTCAGCTGATGACATGCCAAAAGCTTTTAATAAATTAGCCCCATTTGCCTGAAGAAGCCAGTGAAGTTACTGACTGGTTTGAAAATAATTATGCGCAGGGCAGGTAAAAAGACACTTAGACAATGGTGTTGTATTTAATACCGGTATTATTTCTACCAAATTTGTGGTCTGTATAAAAGGGCATGCAGGATGGTTTCTGTGTGCCCAAAACAACAGAGAAGCATGGCACAGAAGATGAGACAATCTAATAGGGAATGCCGATGCCAGCGGATATTAAAGAATTTCAAAAGAGCGGGACCACATAGAAAATGAATGTGAATGTTTTTCCTGAGGAAAAGCATGTCCAAAAAGGAAAAAAAGGTAGTCATTTATTGTGTTGCAAGACTTCAAATATAGTTAATGATTATGAAAGTTGACCAACTCTTATGGACAATCTTCATGCAATTGCCCATAATCTTTTTTTTATTTTTGGTGTGGTGGGTACAGGGTCTCACTCTGTCACCCAGACTGGAGTGCAGTGGCACAATCTCAGCTCACTGCAACCTCCACCTCCTGGCAATTGCCCATAATCTATGCCTTTAATATACTTTTTCTTTTTAGCTTTTTTTTTTTTTTTTTTTTGCTTTTGGCTTTGCTTTTCCTTTTTTAAGTTTTTTCCCATTATTTTAGATTGTTATCATTATTTTTTACAATTCACCGTGCTTTGTATTTCACCGTCACATCACTTCCAGTATGGGAAGTATAAATTGTGTAAAGACTTTCAGAAAGTTGATTTATTTTATGCATTTCTTGCAAATATGACTTCATGAGGGTGCATTTATACAACATTGACTGTGTGTAAGCATTGTGCATGTGGATAAAAATGTTGAAATCATCAGTAAATGAAGAGATGTCCTTTTGTACAGCTACTTTTGTGAAAGATAAAATTTTTCGAAATCTTGGCTCTTTGGGCAACTGGTGCAGTGGTGATGTATGGTGATCCATTGTGGGTTTTTTTTACGAATTTCGTCAAAAGACTTAGGTTGTCTGTCACGTTATTTCAGATGACTGCTCTTATAAAGCTAGGTGCACCAACCTACTATTACCAATCATAGTGATATGCATTTATACATATCACCTTTGATTTATTTCTTTATGAATATGGTCTATCTGCTCATTATCATTATATCCATGGAATGTCATTAGTATATCTGAGTCTTTATGCTTGCAAAAACGTCTATGTTATTATTGCCTATTTTATTGTACAAAGTAGCCTAGAAAATGTTCTGTCATGTTGTATATATTTCTTAAATAAAACCCCTATTAAAAATTAAATAAGTATCTCTTAAATAATTTGTGTTATTTTTTCCAGAATCATATTTTTGGGATTTTGGTCTTTCAGGGTTGTGATTTATGGAATTTTAGACTTTAGAAATTTGATCTTTCACAGTTTCAACATTTGGGGTTTTGGTGTTCTGAATTGTGTCTTCCAGGATTATAATTGGCTCCCATTTTGTTTCTTTCTCTTCCCCAATTTCTCTGACTAGAATTTCCAGTACTGTGTTGGATAGAAGTGGCAAGAGTTGGTATCCTTGTCTTATTCTTGATCTTAAAAGAAAAACTTTCACATTTTCATTGCTGAGTATGATGTTAGCTGTGGGCTTGTCATATGTGGCGTTTATTATGTTGAGATACAGTTCTTCTATACCTAACTTGAGAGTTTTTAACATGAAGGGATGTTGATTTTTGTCAAATGCTATTTTTGCATCATTTAAGATGATGATATGTTTTTGCTCTATTATGTTAATGTGGTATATCACATTTATTGATTCGCCTATGTTGAACCATCCCGTATCCCAGAAACAAATCACATTTGATGATAACAAATGATTCTTTTAATGTGCTATTGATTTGAGGTTCGTACTAATTGATTGTGGAATTTTGCATGTATGTTCATCAGGGTCATATGCCTGTAATTTTATTTCCTTGTCTGGCTTTTATATCAGGGTAATGCAGACGTCACAAAAGGAATGTGAAAGTATTTCCTTGTATTCGATATTTGGAAGAGTTTGAGAAGGACTGGTATTAGTTCTTCTTTACATATTTAGTAGAATTCATTAGTGCCACCATCAGAGCCTGAGATTTTTATCCTTTTATTTTTAGTTGGCATGTAATAATTGTACCTATTTATGAGATACAGAGCGTTATTTGGATATGCGTATGCAATATGTAACGATCAAATCAGGAAAATTAGCATATCCATCACCTCAAAGAAGTATCATCTCTTTGTGTTTTGAACATTCAGAATCCTCTCTTCTAGCTTTTTTATAACATATAATTAATTATAGTTAACCATATTTACCCTATAATACTACGTAGCAACATAACTCCTTCCTCCTATCTAGATATAATTTTGTATCCCTTAACAAACCTCTCCCCAGCCTTCCCTCCCCCGACAGTTCCTGGTCTCTAATAACCACAGTTCTACTCTGTACTTTCAGGACTTTAAATTTTTAGCTCTCACATGTGAGATAAAGTGGTATTTATCTTTCTGTGCCTGACTTATTTCACTTAGCATGCTCCAGACTCATCCGTGTTGCTGTGAATGACGGGATTTCATTCCTTTTATAGTTGAATAGTATTCCATTAGGTATATAGTGTATACCATATTTTTAATCCATCTGTTGTCGGATATTGAAGTTGATTCCTTATCTTAGCTATTGTGAATAGTGCTTCAGTAAACGTGGAGCTGGGGTGGGGGCAGGGTGAAGACAGTCCTCTGCTATTCTGATTTTCTTTCCTTTGAATAGATTTCCAGTGGTGGGATTGCTGGATCATATAGTTGTTCTACTTCTAGATTTTTGAGACATCTCCTGTCTGTATTGCATAAGGTCTGTACTACTTTACATTCCCATCAAGAGTGTACAAGTGTTCCACCTTATCCACATCTACACCAGCATCTGTTATTTTTTGTCTTTTTTAGAATAGACATTTTAACTGGGGTGAGATGATATCTCGTGGTTTCGATTTGCATTTCCCTGCTGACTTGTGGTGTTGAACATTTATTTCATATATTTTTGGCTGTTTGTATGCCTTTTATTTTTATTTGTATTTTGTGAGGAATGTCTATTCAGATCCTTTGCCAGCTTTTTGAGCAAATTATGTGGGTGTTGCTATCAAGTTGTTTGAGTTCCTCGTATATTTTGCGTATTTGCCCCTGGTTACATGATTAGTTTGCAACTATTTTCTCCCATTCTACAGATTGTCTCTTCACTCTGCTGATTGCTTCCTTTGCTGTGGAGAAGCTTTTTAGTTTGACATAGTCCTTCTTTTATTTTCTTGACAGTGCTTTTGAAGTCTTAGTTATAAAATCTTTAGCTAGATCAATGTCCTGATGTTTTTCCTATGTTTTTGCCTTATAGTTTTACAGCTTATGGAGTTACATTTAAGTCTTTACTCAATTTTGAGTTAATTTTTATATAGGGTGAGAGATGCAGGTCTAGTTTTATTCTTCTGCATGTGGATATCTAGTTTTCCTGGTACAATTTATTTTCTGCTTCTGTAAGTTTGACTATTTCAGATACCTCATATAAGTAAAATTGTGCAGTGTTGTCCTTCTATACTGACTTATTTCACTTATGTCTATCCATGTTTTTGCAAATAATGGACTATCCTTATTTCAGGCTAAATACCACTCCATTGTATGTATATACCATAATCTCTTATCCATTCCTCTGTTGATGGACATTTAGGTTGCTTCCATATTATGGCTGTATTAGGGTTCTCTAGAGGGACCGAACTAATAGGAGATATATATATATTATATAATATATAAATAAAGAGGGGTTTATTAAGTAGTATGAACTCACATGATCACAAGGTCCCACAACAGGCTGTCTGCAAGCTAAGGAGCAAGGAAGCCAGTCCAGGTCCCAAAGCTAATGAATTTGGAGTTCAATGTTTGAGGGCAGGAAGCATCCAGCACAGGAGAAAGATGTAGGCTGGGAGTCTAAGCCAGTCTAGACTTTTCTTGTTTTTCTGCCTGCTTTATGTGCTGGCAGCCGATTAGATGGTACCCACCCAGATTAAGGGTGGGTCAGCCTTTCCCAGGCCACTGACTCAAATGTTAATCTCCTTTGGCAACAGTCTTACAGACACACCTAGGATTAATACTTTATATCCTTTAATCCAATCAAGTTGACACTCAGTATTGACTATCACTATGGCTACTATATATAATGCTGCAATAAACATAGGAGTGCATACATCTGTTTGAGATCCTGATTTCATTTTTGGGGATATATACCCTGGAGTAGGATTGCTGGATCATATAGTAATTATATATATATATATATATTTTAGGAAGCTTCATACTATTTTCCATAGTTCACACTAAAATTAAGAATGATTTTGGCCAGGCACTACGGCTCACATCTGTAATCCCAGCACTTGGGGAGGCTGAGGCCAGTGGATCATTTGAGCTCAGGAGTTTGAGACCAGCCTGGACAACATGGCAAAGTTTTGTCTCTACAAAAAATACAAAAATTATCTAGGCACAGTGGCACACACCTGTAGTCCCAGCTACTTGGGAGGCTGAGATGGGAGGATCGCCCAAGCCCAGGAGGTCAAGGTGGCAATGAACTGTGGTCACACCACTGCACTGCAGCTTCGGTGATGGAGTGAGACACTGTCTCAAAAAAAAAAAGAATGATTTAAACAGTACAGTAATACAGTATCAGCTATTTGTCTTTACATTTACCTTTATAAAGTGAGTTTATACTTTCATATACTTTTATGTTATCATTTAGCATCCTTTCGTCTCAACCGTTAGATACTTTTATGTTGTCATTTAGCATTCTTTTGTTTCAACATGAGAATCTCTCCTTAGCATTTCTTTTGAGACAGATGTGATGGTGATGAATTCCCTCAGGTTTTATTTATCTGGGAACATTTTATTTTATTTTATTTTATTTTATTTTATTTTATTTTTATTTTGAGACTAGGTTTCCTCTGTTACCCAGGTCAGAGTGCAGTGGTGTGATCTCGGCTCACTGCAGCCTCAACCTACTAGGCTCAAGCTATCCACTTAAGCCTCCCAAGTAGCTGGGACTACAGGTGCACACCACAATGCCTGGTTTATTTTTGTATTTTTTGAAGGGATGAGGTTTCACCATGTTGCTGAGGCTGGACTCGAACTCTTGAGCTCAAGTGTTCCACCATCCTCAGCCTCCCAAAGTGCTGGGATTACAAGCATGAACCACCATGACCAGCATTATCTAGGAACATCTTTATTTTCTCCTTCATTTTGAAAAGACAGTTTGCTGGGTATAGAATTCTTGGTTGCCATTTTTTTTCCCCCTCTTAGCCCTCTGAATATATCATCATTCGCGCTTCTGGCCTGCAAGGTTTCTGCTGAGATATCCACTGACAGTCTTATTAGAGTCCCCTTTTTTATTTTTATTTTTTGAGATGGAGTCTTGCTCTGTCACTCAGGCTAGAGTGCAGTGGCATGATCTCAGCACAGTGCAACTACAGGTCCTTTTTATGTGATGGGTCATTTCATTTAAAGTGTACTTTCTCTTACTGCTTTCAAAATGTTCTCTCTGTCTTTGACTTTTAAAGATTAATTTAGTTAATTTTATTGATGCCTAATAATTATAGATATTTATAGGGTGCATCTGATATTTTCATACATGTATACAATGTTTAATGATCACATAAGGGTCATCAGCACATCCATCACTTCAAATATTTATCATTTCTTTGTGTTTGAAACATTCCAAATCTTCTCTCCTAGCTATTTTGAAATATACAATAAATTATTCTTAAGTATAGTCACCCTACTGTGCTATCAAACACTAGAACTTATTTCTTCTATCTAACTGTATTTTTGTGACAATTCAATTATAACGTGCCTTGAAGCAGACTTCTTTGGGTTCTGTTTGGTGTCTGTCTGGATTCCATTTGGTGTCTTTTGAGTTTCATGAGTCTGGATATCCATTTCCATCCCAAAGTATGGGATTTTCTTGTCATTATTTTCTAAAATAAGCTTTGCGCCTCTCTCTCTCTCTTTCTTTTTTTTTTTTTTTTTTTTTTTGAGATGGAGTCTCGGTTGCCAGCTGGAGTACAGTGGCATGATCTCAGCTCACTGCAACCTCCACTTCCAGGGTTCAAGTGATTCTCCTGCCTGACCCTCCTGAGTAGCTGGGACTACAGGCACATGCCACCACACCCAGCTAATTTTTGTATTTTTAGTAGATACGGGGTTTCACCATGTTGGCCAGGATGGTCTCAATCTCTTGACCTCGTGATCCACCCACCTCAGCCTCCCAAAGTGCTGGGATTACAGGTGTGAGCCACCACAGCTGGCTGCCTCTCTCTCTTTTTTCTACTTCTTAGGCTCCCATAATATGTATACTGGTTTGCTTGACAGTGTTTCATAAGTCTCTTAGGCTTTCATCACTTTTTTTTATTTTTTTTTTCTTCTGATTAGATCATTTCAAATGACCCATCTTCAAGTTCATTGATTTTTTTTCTTACTCTTGATGAATTCTGCTGTTGAAGCTCTTTATTGAATTTTCAGTTTAGTTATTATATTCTTCAGCTCCAGAGTTTCTGTTTGGTTATTATTCACTTTTTTTTTTTTTTTTTTTTTTTTTTTGAGACAGAGTCTTACTGTCTCCCAGACTGGAGTGCAGTGGCGCAATCCTGGCTCACTGCAAGCTCCACCTCTCAGATTCACGTCATTCTCCTGCCTCAGCCTCCTGAGTAGCTGGGACTACAGGCGACTGCCACCATGCCCGGCTAATTTTTTGTATTTTTAGTAGAGATGGGGTTTCACCATGTTAGCCAGGATGGTCTCGATCTCCTGACCTCGTGATCTGCCCACCTCAGCCTCCCAAAGTTCTGGGATTAGAGGCTTGAGCCACCGCGCCCGGCCATTATTTACATTTTTTATCTCTTTGTTCATTTTCTCATATTGTTCATGTATCATTTTTCTCTGATTTTGTTTAGTTGTTTATGTCCTTTTGTAGCTCACTGAGCTTCTTAAGATGATTATTTTAAATTGTTTATCATGCTATTTATAGATCTTTATGTCTTTAAGATTGGGTACAGAAGATTTATTTTGTTCCTTTGCTTGTGTCATATTTTTCTGATTCTTCGTGTTCCTTGTAACTTTGCATTGGTGTCTGTGCATTTAAATAAGCAGCCACTTTTTCTAGTCTTTACAGATTGGATTTAGCAGCAGAAAACCTTTAACAATCAGCCTGTCTAGAGATTTTGTATATCTCTCGAAACTATTTTATAAATGTACACATTCTGCTACTATCTCTTTTGCCTTGGGGAGAAGTCTCAGGATTGTGCTTCTTCTTCCAAACCTGCAGAGTTGTGCTGGATGCTAAATGCTGCCTTATCCTTTTCTCTAGTACAGTGCATTGATATGCTAAAGCATTAGGTACAAGCTCAACTTCCCTTCCTCTCTCCTGAAAAGAAAATTCAGGATTGTGTGCATTTCCCCAGTTGCATGCCAGGTACTGAAAGTCATCCTCTCCTTTTTCCTAGGGCAGTGCACTGAGATGCCAGGATGTTGGGTGTAAGCTCCACTTCTCTCTATCCCTCCTGCAGAAGTAGTCTCAGGATTGTGTGACTTCTCCCAGTCCTGCAGAACTAAGCTGGCTGCTGAGATACGTGTTGTCTGCGGATCTGTGACATCTGCAGAAATGCATACTATCTACTAAGAACTGTGACATCCACTGAGATCCTTGCCACTGCTAGGGCCCATGCTTAGTGCTGGGGGTTGTGCCAGCCACTAGGGACTGGACTGGCAGCTGCAATCTGCCCTGGCAGCTGTGGTCAGCACCAACAACTGCAATTAGTGCAATAAGTGCTGGCAGCTGCAACCCATGCTGGATATCCAGTGCTGCATGGCTGTCTGGACTTGCAGGCTTCTGAAAGTCTCATCAGTTGCAGGGAGACCCACCATGGACTGGGAGTTGTATGCTGGATCCATGAAGGCTGCTCTTAGGTGTGTGGGGGCTGTTGGAGGCCATGTGGCTGCTGGGGCCCTCACTGGCTGTTGGAGGCCATGCCAAATGCTGAGAGCTACCTATCCCAAATCTGTTATTAGCTATGCATAGGTATTCCAACTATGCTGGATCCTTCAGTTCTCTGAATGAGTCAAGACAGGAGCATTTCTCTTGGCCCTGTGCCCTACAAGGTGGGGATGTTGGATGCACTCTCGCTTTCCTTTCTTCTTGGAAGAAATTGTGGGCCAAGTGGATCTCCCTCAGTGGTGAGCTATGCCAACTTGAAGGAGGGAGAAATGTGAGCAAAGTGAAACTGCTCTTCCTACCTGTTTCAATGTGGCCATTTTTTGGTTCTGTGCTCTTTTAGGATGCTGCAACTTCTACACTGGATTCTGGTATTCTCACAAAGCTGAAATGTGTGCTACAAGAAGGGATACAGATATCCCTAGTCACAGACAGCCTGAGTAGATTAGAACTCAGTCTGGAAACATGTACATTGGACAAGGGACATAAGAGAACCATCTTCCTGGACAGTATAGGAAGAAATAAAGGTCTATAGCAGAGCCTGGAATGGAGAAGGAAACATGAGATTAGCGGTCATTAGATCCCTTTCCCACCTCAAATTCTCTCACTCCTCATACGTCCCTATGTCATGCTCACATGTCCACCGCACACCTTTGTGCATCTTTTTTCTGCTAAAAATTCCTTTTCTCCGTTTCCTCTTTTGCAAGTCGTATAAGTCTTCTCACTTAAGATCCAGTTTGTATGTTGTTTCTATGACTCTCGTAATGAAGTTGCTTTCTCTTCTTACTCCCAGAGTCTTTGTATACATTTTTACTATAGAAGCAACCACATTTTGGTAAAACCATTTACAAGTTTTTCCACTATTAGAGATGGTACGTTTTATGTCAAATGTTGTCAATATCTATCTGTGGGATCTGGGCCAAGTGGTGTTGCCTCTTTGAGTCTCAGCCTTCTGTGTAGGATGACAAAGATAAACTCGTTGATCCCTCAGGGGCCTTGCAGCCTTATAGTTCTCGTTAATTCCATGGCCCTTTGATCTATAGCAAAACAAGTTGTGCACTTTAAGTGGCTAGTTTTTTGTGTCTTGTGCCATTAATAAGGTCTCTATGGGAGAAAGACCCAAAGCAAAGACCAGAGGCCAGAATTCTGAGGGATTCAGGTGGGGAAGGAGAAATTGTTCTTGGTGCCTCCAAGTAGTGCCAACAGAAAGCCATGCAAATTACAGAAAGTCCCATATGTTTTCTGGTTGCCAACTATTCCAAACTGCTTCCTTTGTAGTTGGTAAAATGTACATACTTCAACTGAGACACAGAGAAATACCTTTCTAAAAAGTTGCCTATTTCTGAACTCAATTTTTCCTGCAACTCTTATTACCAGTGGCAATGATTTTTCTTCTTCAAGTTATTATATTCATCTTCGCCTTAAAATTGGTATCATTTGTGTCAATATTTAGCCAGCTTCACAACAGAATGACTCAAACTATCCATTTGAAGTATTAACTCCTTATTTGGGCTATTCTTCTCTTTCCCTTTGCCTCTTTCTCCATAAGATGGCATTTGGAAGCAGTGGCAAACTTACATTTAACATCCTAGGTGATCAGGAAGGGTGTGTGGTCTGTATATATACTGCTGTTGACTTCCGTTCTAATGTCTGACATCGTTTGATCTTTGAGCACAGTCTCTTTATTTCAGCATCCACTGGTCTTTGGAATCCTGTGCTATAATCTCTTAAAATATAGGTGGTCCTTCCTGGTGTTTTAGGCATAATGCTGGCGTCTGCTGATGATGATCATGTACTTTGCGGTTACCTCCAGTTCTGAGGTTCCTGCACCTTGCAGCCTTGACATTTTGACCCCAGGTATATCTCCCAGTTGACTACATTTTTCAGCACTTCCAGTTCCATCTCACAATTAGTTTAACTCTCAACTGTTTATTTGACTCCACTTGAGCCTTAAGATGCCACCCTAATGTCCACACAAATGGGGACCTCCATCAGCCACCTGTGGCTCATCTAGTACCATGTTGGTTCATAATGACACACTCTGGAGAAATGGAGCACCAATTTTGTTGTTCTAAAACCTCCTCTCAACCAAATATATTTAGGTGATTCTATTTTATCATTACATTTTCCCGCTTCTTAGAAAAAATTTTTTGCCATTTTCCAGGGGTAAAAGCCTCAGTCTCTTACTCTAGTTTCAATGGTTTAAGGATTGCTGGGAATTGAGGGGGTGGAGAATCTCTAAGGGACTCAAAAGGGGAAAAAATGGGATATATTTCAAAATGTATTACTCCACCATAGTTAGAGAACATGTCTGTTTAGGTGAAATCATTTTTTCCTTTTTATGTCCTTAATTCCCACATTTCCCTTAGCTCTCTTCAAGCTGTACAGGGTTGCAAACTCAAGCATATTTGAGTTTGCCCCCTCCAAAAGGTCACTGACATACAGAGAGACAGGGATTAGGGCTGTCACTCACTCCTGTCAGAATTCCCAGTATGCCTATATGAAGGCAAAATTCCAGGTTAGATAGTGGGAGTATTCAGCTTTGAGTTTCAATCAACCCAGAAAATTAGTCAGTTTGTTCATCATTCAGATTCAAGGTGACTGGGTTCAAGTTTCTTCCTTATTTAAGCCCAGAATGACAAGCTGCCTCTGGCTTCTCACCTTTCCTCTTCACAGTCTGTGGGCTTAGTTAAAATTGGTTTCTTCAAAGTGAAAAGAATAAAGAAACCTTGGATGAGGCTGTTAGAATATTGATCCTAAACTTTAGGAGACAAGTAAGGATAAATGTAAAAGCCTATTAAATTCCAACATCTCTTCCCCAGGTAATTCAAGGTCTTTGTTTTTAGAGAATTTTTTTTAATTCCTGTTCTTCATCTGTAGTGGAAAGAAATAATACAGAACTATGTTTCGTGTCTGATGTCATGAAATAAGACAGAACCAAAGAACGACCTATCTTATGCATATTTCATCTACAGTCTCTTGGTTCCATTGTAGCTAAAACACTGGACAATTGCTTTGGACTTCTCAGCATCCAATCATTCCTATCTGGAATGAATTTCAAGATGGAGAAGCACGTCCAACATTCTACACTGGAAGCTGAAGTCTGGGCAGCTGTTCTGTCTTGACGATCATGTGGCAGCTAGGAAGGTGGACATGAGACCTAGACTCAGCCAATCTGATGCTACATTATGGACTTTGAGTCTTGAAGAGTAACACAAAGAATAGGGGTGTCTTCTTGTGGTGACTGTGATGGATCTAGGGTTCTACAATGTGGCTGAAAGTGTGGGGAGGGGCACAGCCCAGCAGCAGCAGTTCTGAGTGTCCAGTGACCCTATCAAGCTCTTTCTGTGGTATGACTTTTAGTAAATTTTGTCTCTTTGTATGGTTGCCTTGTTGCCAAACCTCCCTATCAATTTTAAAATTTTTGGATCTCCTTATAATAAATTACTTATCTGTTTAAATAAGCAGAGTTAATATAGGTGGTTGCAACTAAGAAGTCTGGCAGGTGCAGAGAAAATAAGCCCAGGGTAAAATCCACCTCTCCGCTCATCTTCCTCTTTCAGGGACCTGATGTCTGCACACAGCAGCCTGGCATCCTAGCCGTTCAGACAGGTAATTGACGCTTAGTTCTTCCAAACATGTCTTAAGCAGTACATGTGATCACTATGTAAAGTTGTTAGGGATGTTGGAGGGTCTGCAAACCAGAGAGTCTGAAGTAGCTAGGAATATTGCAGAAGAGATTTCTGTCTATGAGGCTACAGCCCACAATTTCTCCCATACACTCCTTTGTCTCTCACAGTTTCCATTTCTCAAGGTCGTCAATCTGCTAGATGCCACAGAGAAAATGACGCCCCAGGCTGGGCACGCTGGCTCACGCCTGTAATTCCAGCATTGGGGAGGCCGAGGCAGGCGGATCACCTGAGGTAGGGAGTTTGAGACCAGCCTGACCTACGTAGAGAAACCCCATCTCTACTAAAAATTCAAAAAGTTAGCCTGGTGTGGTGGCGTGCACCTGTAGTCCCAGCTACTCGGGAGGCTGAGGCAAGAGAATTGCTTGAAACCGGGAGGTGGAGGTTGCAGTGAGCTGAGATCACACCATTGCACTCCAGCCTGGGCAACAAGAGTGAAACTCCGTCTCAACAACAAAAAAAACAAAGAGAGAGAGAGAGAAAGAGAAAGAGAAAGAGAGAAAGAAGGAAGGAAGGGAGGGAGGGAGGAAGGGAGGAAGGGAGGGACATCACGCAAAAAAATGCACCTTAAGGGACCAATAGATATCAGCTTCCCTGTGACCCCATCTAGGGTGGTATTTACGTTTTGAATAAGAGAGCAATCTGATGATGATAGAATAATGTCAATCCAAGGCTGGAAATTCTGTCCATGCAGCGAGTGAGCATGGAGGCTTTCTTTATGCCTTTTGGACCTATCCATCCATATCCATTTCTAGGGTCTAGGTTCCCCTTGGGTCTGTTTCTGTGGATAGTTTAAACACTATGATAAATTTTTCTAGCCGGTATCGGGAAAACTGAAAGGTAATTACTTCTTGATGGCTAAACAAAAGAATTCGAGTGCTGTTTATCTCAGTGTTCTTCTCTTTTTTCTTGCCAAAAATTCAAACAACCCACCGTTAGGTACTGTTACCAGAAAAAGCATTTGTTACTCTCAAGTGTTTTGTTTGTCCCCTGATGAGAAAAAGGACTATTACTTTAAACTGTTGCTCTTTTTTTGTAGAGGTTGTATTGTAAGTAACCGGAAAAAGGGTCCAGCTGTCTACTGTTTGCAGAGAGAAGTCAGAAATAACAATGAGTTGTAGTAAGAGCAAGAAAGATTTTATTATTCATGCTAGCAGGGGAAGAGCAGAAAAAAGTTCCACTCTCCAATTTGTGGAGGGAACATGAGTTTTTAAAGACAGGGTTTGAAATGCAGAAGAAGGAAAGTGGGCAGAGGGTGCCAGGTGGCATGACTTGCTCTGTGGTCCTCTTAAATTATTGTCGCAATTGATGAAGGGGCTGGCACCATCATGGATTCTGCCAGGTTATAAATTAGTCACTCTTCAGCCAGGTGTGGGTTCCATCCTCAAAGTAATCTTTTGTTGAAGAAAGAATTCCAGAGGCGACTGATCCCTATCCGAATCTGACTGCTGAGCTTCTAAGGAAATATATGAGCAGGTAAGAGAACATGGGCCGGGCCGGGCGTGGTGGCTCACGCCTGTAATCCCAACACTTTTGGAGGCCAAGGCAGACGGATCACTTAAGATCAGGAGTTTGAGACCAGCATGGTTAACATGGTGAAACCCCATCTCTACTAAAAGTATAAAAATTTATCTGGGTGTGGTGTTGTGCACCTGTAATCCCAGCTAGTCAGGAGACTGAGGCAGAAAAATCGCTTGAACCTGGGTGGCGGAGGTTGCAGTGAGCTGAGATTGTGCCTGGACAACAGAGCGAGACTCCATCTCAAAAAAAAAAAAAAAGAGAGAGAGAGAGAGAGGGCATGGTATGTGCTTAGCAAGCACGTAGGTGAATAAATGTGCATAAGGCAAGGGAGTATAGCATGAGAAAGGAAAGGGAGTAGAGGTTCACAGCCCATTCTGAGGCTGTACTTTAAGATGAGCGGTAACATACATGCAGTTTGTCTCAAAGTTATATCTTGAGACCGGGAGGAGGAAGAGGAAAAAGGAAAGAAGAAAAAATAGTTTAAAATGCAGTTTGAGGCTTAGCTGCTAAGCTGCTGGTTACAGTATTGAAGAACCTTTACATGTGGTTCCTCATCGTTATCTGATTCTCCAAATGACTCCTGGGTAAGTGGCACTTACAGCGTGGCCACAGACACCACATAAGCATATTCCCCCTAGTGTTACGTGAGGGTATCTCATCTAATTGTTGAGTTTGGTTCTGGTAACAAGTAAGCAAGGGTCATAGTCATAAAATTGTCAGAGGCATTTGAAACAGAGCAACTCCATGTTGAATAGGATCTGCGTAAAATAAGGCTGAGACCTACAGGGCTGCATTCCCAGATGGTTAAGGCATTCTAAGTCACAGGATGAGATAGGAGGTCGGTACAAGATACAGGTCATAAAGACCTTGCTGATAAAACAGGCTGTGGTAAAGAAGCCAGCCAAAACCCACCAAAACCAAGATGGCAAAGAAAGTGACCTCTGGTGGTCCTCACTGCTCATTTTATGCTAATTATAATGCATTAGCATGCCAGTACTAAAATACTTTATAAAGTTATTATCATCTGGAAACCATCAAGATGACTTCATACGGCATAATTCAAACATCTGTAAAAACCATGATTTCCAAGGTCATATAACACTTGAGTTAAAAAAGATGGATGGCTGCTGGGAAACAGAATAATTGGTCGAACAAGTTTGTAGGAATAAGCTGTTCTGTAAATGCTAGAAGACACTCCCATCAGTGCCAGGACACTTTATAGATGCCATGGCAAAACCAGGAAGTTATCCTATATGGTCTAAAAAGGGGAGGAACCAGGCGGCGCAGTGGCTCATGCCTGTAATCCCAGCACTTTGGGAGGCGGAGGCAGGCGGATCCCGAGGTCAGGAGATCGAGACCATCCTGGCTAACACGGTGAAACCCCATCTCTACTGAAAATACAAAAAATTAGCCGGTCACGGTGGCGGGCGCCTGCAGTCCCAGCTACTCGGGAGGCTGAGGCAGGAGAATGGCATGAACCCGGGAGGCGGAGCTTGCAGTGAACCGAGATTGCACCACTGCACTCCAGCCTGGGCGATAGAGTGAGACTCCGTCTCAAAAAAAAAAAAAAAAAAAGAGGAACCCTCAGTTCTGGGAATTTCCCATTCCTTTCCCAGAAAACTCATGAATAATCTACCCCCTCTTTAGCATATAATCAATAAATAACTCAAAGTGTCCTTAGTCCAGCAGCCTAAGCTGCTGCCCTGCCTATGGAGTAGCCATTCTTCCATTCCTTGACTTTCTTAATAAACTTGCTTTCACTTTACTCTGTGGACTCGCCCGAAGTGTTTCTTGCACAAGATCTAAGAACCCTCTTTGGGGGTCTGGATCGACACCCCTTTCTGATAACAAAATTAGAACTACTAATAAGGATCTGATCCTCTCCCCTGGCAGTTTAGTTTTAACTTCTCTCCCTCTCCAAGAGGCTATCAGAAGAAAAGATAATTAGATAACTAAGATAAAATATTTCTGATGTCTGTAGCACTGGGCTGTTGTCTTCTTTGTCTAAGGTGGTTTAAAATTGTTCTTAGAAGAAATACAAAATTAGGAAATAAGAGTTAAAAGAGACTTTAGTTAAGGGTACTATGATCTCACTCCCTAATTTAACGTTTCTAAAAAGTAAGAACCCAAATGAAGGAGTAATATGATGTGAATAACATTGAATACTCTTAGTCTGGTGCTCTCCCCACTATATCAAGCAGCCAGAACCACTGTGTTGTTTACATATGTTTACAGAAATACTTATGTACTTGTAAATGGATAAATACAAGTATTCAAAGGAGAAAGATAAGCAAGACAACATTCACAAGAAAATGTGACGTCTTCAGGACCCATCAACCCAGTACTAAAATGCTTTATAAACTTATTATCATCTGGAAACCATCAAGATAACTTCATAAGGCATAACTCAAACATCTGTAAAAACCATGATTTCCAACGTCATATAACACTTGAGTTAAAAAAGATGGATGGCTGCTGGGAAACAGAATAATTGGTCCAACAAGATTGTTGGAATAAGCTGTTCTGTAAATGCAGATTATTTCCTCTGATTTTCAAACTGCTGGATGAGGCTTCGTTTTTTTCAACTATATCTACTGACATCTAGTGTTATGCTTAGTTGGTTGCAGGTACATATCTAGGAAATCTGCACTGGAGAGCTGGGTATTAAACACTTACCCATGAAATGACATTGTGAGTATCAGCTTTCCATTACCCAGATTTCTCTACACTTGTTTACACTGGGTGAAAGTTATCCTTGTTCTATTTGCCTTTCTCTGTTTTGTAAATAACGTCTGACAAAAGGATTTAGAGAAAGCAGTGATATTGTGCCTTGATTTGTTTTGCTGATGAAGAATTCCCTTTTGAATACACTTCAAGCTTAGTTTTCCAGTGTCGATGATCTCAGGTAGCACATGTTATCCTTCTTTTTCCCACAGCCTCCTTCTGATTTATGTGGCATTGTTCGTTCAAATATGAGTCCTTTTCATTCTGTTATCTCTTTAGTGAAGGGACAAGAAATCACTGAAATATAGAACTAGAAAGAGTTTAGAATCATGGTGTCCAGTTCCCCTCATTAGTGGAAAAATCAAACTCTGTAAAAATATTTTAAAGAGGTTTATTCTAAGCCAATGCATGACTGCAGCCCAGGGAAAACACAAACCCAAGAATCCTTGAGTAAGTGGTCCCGAAGAGGTGGGGTTACAGTTTGGTTCTATACATTTTGGGAGACGGGAGTTGCAGGCAATGACATAAACCAGTACATAGAAGGGATACATTGGTTCAGCCTGAAATGGCAGAACATCTCAAACCAGGGGTCTTAAAAGTCATAGGTGTGTTGAATATAAAAATGTTCTAGGGATAAATGCTTGGTGCCGCAAAGTGAAACCAGCACTCAGGCAAAAGTTTTCTCAGCAAGGTAGTTTTTTTCTGCAGAAAGGTGCCACTCATGTCAATCAAGATCGCAAGAGCACACTGAACAAAGGAGAGCAGGGTGTGTTTATCTCTAACGTGTAGTCCTTACCTCTGTGTCATTCCCTCATGGACTGGGGTCGGACTGCACAATTTGAGCTGAGCCGATTGACTACTTGCAAATATTTTTCTAAATATGGAAGGGAAGGGGGACATGAGGTACAGTGGTGAAGTTTCGGGGGAACAATGGGTGCAGGTAATCAAGGCAACAGATGTGAGTTATTGATTAGAGCTGATGGGAAGCAGGTAGGCTGTTTACAGTAACTAGGGGCAAGGAGGCATGTAGAACAAGAAAGTTGAGTTCGAGAACAAAGGACAAGGAAGTTAACAGGCTAAACCTTTGAAGAGAAACTGATTCATTGTATCTTACAGGTGGATTTTAGGGATTCTTGAGTTGACAGCCTGTTGAGAAAGTTAGGCTATTGTCTAAAGACTTGAAGTTAGTAGAAAGGAATAATTGGGTTAAGATAAGGTGGTTGTGGGGGGCAAGGCCCTTGTTATGTGGAGGAAGACTCTTAGGTGGTAGTCGTTAGAGAGAATAGACTATAAATATCTCTTTTCAAGCCTTTAAATGTGTCGGGTTCTAAGCTAATCTCTCCTAGATCCTAGATCATGGAATGACCTAGAAAGGGAAGGCCTGGCTGCATTAATGGCCCTTCTGTACAGATGCAGATTTCCCCCATAAAAGAGAACTTTGCAGGGTCATTTCAAAATATATCAAAGAAATACATTTTGGGGTAAAATATTTTTATTTCCTTCAGAGTTCGCTATCTGTCATGTGATGTTATACCAGAGTCAGGTTGGAAAGTAAGCCATATTATATCACGATAATAAAAAGCCATTTAACAAGATTTTACGGTTAGTAGGGTATGACTTGACTTTGGCTTTGCATGGCCTTAGGCCTTGTTTTTAATTTGGTATCCATTTGCCACACAGATTCTGTTTTGTGAGTCTTATTGTCAGAGGCGTTTAAACCAGAGCAACTCCATCTTGAATAGGAGCTGGGTAAAATGAGACTGAGACCTATTGAGCTACATTCCCAGATGGTTAAGGTGTTCTAAGTCCCAGGATGAGATAGGAGGTCAGCACAAGATACAGGTCATAAAGACCTTGCTAATAAAATAGGTTGCAGGAAAGAAGCTGGCCAAAGCCCATCAAAACCAAGATGGTGATGAGAGTGACTTCTAGTCGTCCCTACTGCTACACTCCCACCAGCGCCATGACAGTTTACAAATGCCATGGCAACATCAGGAAATTACCCTATATGGTCTAAAAGGGGAGGCATGAATAATCCACCCCTTGTTTAGCATGTAATCAACAAATAACCACAAAAATGAGCAACCAGCAGCCCTCAGGGCGGCTCTGTCTATGGAGTAGCCATTCTTTTATTCCTTTACTTTCCTAATGAACTTGCTTTCACTTTACCATATGGATTCACCTTAAATTCTTTCTTGTGCAAGATCCAAGAACCATCTCTCGGGGACAGGATTGGGAGCCCTTTCCGGTGACATTAGGATCTTTATGTTAACTTTAATGCTGGTCACTCATGCCTAAACTCCAAAAACGAGGGGGTATGACAAGGCATATCTGACCTCCCTTCCCATCATGGCTAGGAATTCCATTTTCAGGTTTTTCTGGTGTTCCCTTGGCCAGGAAGGGGTCTGTTCAGGCAGCTGGGTGACACAGGATTGTATTTTTGGTTTATACCCTGTCCTTTTTTGCACTGGTGGAGGCAGAGGATAAGAAAGGTTGTGGCTTTCTCAGAATTCACAGCTGATAAGACCAACCTCAGAATAAGAAATTTAAACCAGAAGAAAAATTTTTTGGTTAGTCTGACTGATGAGAAAACCTGGACCGAGAAAATATAAGTGTCTTATCCCAGCTCATTCAGCAGACTGGAGGCAAGACCCTGCCTCACATCCCCCTCTGCTGCACCACGCTGCCTCCTTCACCACCCAAGAATACAAGAGTGGAAAAAAATCACCTTTCTTACTTCTGAATGTTAGGCAAAGGAAGACATTGGAATGGGCAAGTTGTGACATGCTAAAACCTATGCAATATTTTATGCTCTGGGGTTTTCATATCCTCAGGTGGGCTTGCAGTTAATTAGAATATCCTTCTCTGTGAGTACAGGCATACCTTGTTTTACTGCACTTTATTGCACTTCACAGATACTGCATTTTTTTACAAATTGAAGGTACGTGGCAACCCTATGATGAGCAAGTCTATCAGCACCATTTTTCCAATAGCGCATGCTCATTCTGTGTCTCTGTTTCAGGATTTTTTTTAGCAATAAGGTATTTTTAAATTAAGGTATGTATTTTTTTAGATATAGTGCTCTTGGACACTTCATAGACTACCATACACTGTAAACATAAATGTATATGCACTGGGAAAACAAAAAAAAATTGTCTGATTTGCTTTATTGCAGTATTCACTTTATTGCAGTGTTCTAGAACCGAACCTGAAATATCGCCGAGGTATTCCTGCACAGAGTAATTGATTTCCCATCACTTGTGGAGTGTTTCTGCAGTCACACAGTGGATGTATTTAGCTTGTTCCTGGCTTTCATTTGAAAGCCTTTAGTATTACCAATCTGCAAGCTTTTAAAGGTTATCAAGAAAGAACTATGGTCAATTATCCCTCAAAAGATTTTTCCCTAACTTTTAGCAGTTATGTGTAGTAATTGTACTTCAACTAAAAAGAAAAGAAAGAAAAACTTAAAACATAACAACAGAAAAAAAAGGCTGAAACTGCATTACTGTCTTCCTGAATATTTTTCGTTGGTGTTTCTTCTCTTTTGTACCAGATCTTGAAGGCTACCAGGAGTCACTGGTTGCTTTGAACAACAAAAAAAAAAAACAAAAAGTTTCTCTCACCTCCTCTGTGCCACTAGGTGGTTTCTGGTTTATACATGGAAGCCTCTCTGCATCTGTGAGCTCTCACTTTGCCCTTTCATTTGCCTGGGCTTGAAAACTCAGAATTCATTAATCACTCCACTTGATCTGGTAATAGCTTTAAAAACAGAAGGCTAGAGAAATGGTTTTCCAGAAAAATGAAAAGGTTGCAATTCCAACAGAGAATGGGAAGGGTTCCCTGCCTCAGAGAGGAGAGAAGGTGTACAGCAGTATTACTAAGCAACAAGTCACTAGATGGCAGCTACCCTTTACTATTTAAAGAACCAGAGTGAGTATGTTCTATTTTAGAAAGTGGATTTTTTGCCTATCTGAGGAAGGCATCATAGCATCTAGCACTGGATGGGCAAGGGCAAAAATGAAGCTTCTTGTCATTGTGCTTATCATACATCTAGTACTCCTTTTCCTTCACCCGTGGCTCGGTACAGCTTTATTTTCAGGTGCTCTGGTTAATTTAACGTTTTTATTGACTGGTTATTTGCTTTTTTAACTCCATAGAGGTTACTGATTTTCAAAGGATTAGGAGATACATTAAACAAGAAAACTGTTGGATATGTTTTCTCTTTTAGGAGATTCTTGAAGATCTTGCCATATGTTTTTGAATGATGACTCTGAACTTTCGTATGAGAGAAAGAGAGTGTGCTGTACTTTAAGAATACTGCGAGTCTCTGTTGATATACTTGCTAGTTTGTGGCTCATTTATGTAACCAGTGAGTATGCACTTATACGTTAAACATGAGGGGCACATAGAAATGAATCAAACCTTGTTATTTAGTTATTTATAAACTATTTGGGCAGTCTCACCTTTTAACTAATTCACTTTTCTGTCAGTTATCGTGAGTCAAACATAAAGGAACAAGACATGTAGACTACAGAGGGAAAAATAATAATTGGGAACTGGAGGACATCTTGGAGGATGGCATGTAAGATCATATCTGTTTAAGAATGACATAAGGGTGGCTCAGTCCTATAAGCCCAGCACTGGGAGGCCAAGGCGGGCAGATCACCTGAGGTCAAGAGTTCAAGACCAGCCTGGCCAACATGGCGAGAGCCCCATCTCTAATAAAAATACAAAAATTAGCTGGGCATGGTGGCACACACCTGTAATCCCAGCTACTCAGGAGGCTGAGGCAGGAGAATCACTTGAACCCAGGAAGCAGAGGTTGCAGTGAGCCAAGATCACACCACTGCACTCCAGCCTGGGCAGCAAGAGCAAAACTCCATCTCAAAAAAAAAAGAATGATATAAATGGCAGTGGCATCCTAAGATGTGACTGGACAATAGAGCACATAGGGACATATAGATAAGGGAAAATATAAATAAATCTCTAAAAAGATAAAATAGAAAGTTGAAAATATTCTTTGTTCTCACTGGATCATAGACCTTAAGGGAAGGCAACTGATATGTCATTTTTAAGGGTTCAAACCTTGTGTTTTATCAGTCATTTTAATAAAGTTAAATAAAAAATGTTTTTGAAAAATAGAAAATCATAAACGTGCTTTGGCCATTTACATGTGGGCTTATGTGAATTATAATTAAATGAAATATGGTGCAGTGGATGGCATCTGACTTCATTGCCCCATTCTTTTTGTTTTTTTGTGTTTTGAGGGGGAGGGTTTGAGACAGAGTTCTGCTCTTGTTGACCAGGCTGGAGCTGGTGCATTCTCAGCTCACTGTAACCTCCGCCTCCCAGGTTGAAGTGGAGCGATTCTCCTGCCTCAGCCTCCAGAGTAGCCAGGATTACAGGGGCCCGCCACTATGCCTGGCTAATTTTTGTATTTTTAGTAGAGACGGGGTTTCACCATGTTGGCCAGGCTGGTCTTGAACTTGTGACCTCAGGTGATCCACCCGCCTCGGCCTCCCACCCCAAAGGGATTACAGGCATGAGCCACCACACCTGGCCCTCACTGCTCCATTCTTATCTTGAAACAACATTTTCCTACCTGCAGTCACCCCAAAACTCTCTCCCCCTATAAAAGATACATATTTATATTGTTTTTATTGCCATGAATTTTCTCTTATGCATATCTACCTAAATTACCTCTTTTTAACTATTTACTCCTGTCTCTCAGGCTAGGTAAAGTCTGCCATTTTGCCCAAGCCTGGGTAATTTATAAAGGAAAGAGGTTTAGTGGACTCACAGTTCAGCCTGACTAGAGTGGCCTCAGGAAACTTACAATCACGGCAGAAGGGGAAGCAAACATGTCCTTCTTCAGTTGGGCCTGTTGGCATTTGTAAACAGAAATATCTCACAGTACATTGGGAGACCTCGACCAGGGACAACTTGGCTGAAAGTTCCTTGTCCTATGTCCGGGGACTAAGGGAAAGACTAGGCTTACAATTTGTGCTGAGCAACTCTTCATAACTCTGAATTATTCGAGTGACCTTTCAAGAACTGAAATTAAACCCCATTTACAAAAATTAAACACTCCCTTTTCCATCTAAAAAAAGGAATGTGCATTCTGGAGATACTCGTTGCCTAGCAACAAAATGCATACTTCCTTCTCCTTCAGGGAGCTGCCAAAAAAGATATAAATGCTAGGAAGAAAATTGGCCATGAAAGAGAGTCAATAAAATAGATCTGGTGATTCTTAGAGTAGGAGGAAAGCAGATTTACAAAATTTGCATGTTTGTGTGTATGTGTGTGTGTGTTTCTGTGTGTGTGTGTGCTCATGGACTGGGTAGATGGACAGCATGAGATAGAAACAAAACAGTCTACAGGATGAATTTGTTTATTCATTCTATTGTGGAATGAATGGAAATAGACAGGTGCAAGAGGAGGGTTCCTGCTTTAGGGAAGCGTAGTGTTAACCATCTGTATTAGTCCGTTCTCATGCTGCAAATAAAGACACGCCCAAGCCTGGGTAATTTATAAAGGAGGGAGGTTTAACGGACTCACAGTTCAGCATGACTAGAGTGGCCTCAGGAAACTTACAATCATGGCAGAAGGGGAAGCAAACATGTCCTTCTTCGCATGGTGGCAGCAAGGGGAAGTGCCGAGCAAAAGGGGTAAAAGCCCCTTATAAAGCCATCAGATCTCATGAGAACTCACTCACTATCATGAGAACAGCATCAAGGTAACCCACCCATGACTAAATTTCCTCCCACTTGCTCTCCTCCCACAACACGTGGGGATTATGCAAACTAAAATTTAAGTTGCGATTTGGGTGGGGACACAGCCAAACCCTATCACCATGCTCCCAAACCACTAACTGTGCAATCATTTGAGGGAATAAGGGGGAAAAGACAAGAGTAACAATGATGGAAAAATATGACCCTTTTTATTTGTATTGTTTAAGAAACTAAAGCATGGAGAAGTTTACCTACTTGCAAAAAGTCAGATAACTGATAAATGGTACAGCTGGTTACTCTCTCTCTTACTTAAAGAGTACTTTTAATGTTTCAACAGTCACATGTACACCCCTCCACCCTTCTACACCTCCTTTTTCCCCTGGAGAAAACTAGGTTCCCTTGACTGTATCTCATATACACTTTTTTATTGTGGTAAATTATACATAACATACAGTTTACCATTTTAACTATTTTTAGTCTACAGTTCAGTGACACTAAGAACATTCACATTGTTAAGCAATCATCATCACTTTCCATCTCCAGAACTTTTTCATCTTCCCCAAATGAAACTCGTACCCATTGAAAAACAACTCCTGCCATTCTTCCCAGCTCCCCAGCCCCTGGAAACTACTATTCTATCGTCTGCCTCTATAAACTTGACTGCTCTAGGTACCTTATAGAAGTGGAATTATACAATATTTGTCCTTTTGTGCCTGGCATATTTTCACTTACCATAATGTCTTCATTATGCACCACATCTTGAAGGCTGCCAGGAGTCATTGCTTGCTTTATCCATGTCAGATCTTCAAAGTTTATCCATATCAGAATTTCCTTTCATTTTATCTGTGTACCACATTTTGCTTATCCATTCACTCATCTACAGACACTTTGGTTGTTTTCACCTCTTGGTTATTGTGAATAGTGCTGTTATAAACATAGGTGTAATAGTATCACTTCAAAAATCCTGCTTTCAAGTCTTTTTTATTTATACACAGAAGTGGAATTGCTGAATCCTATGGTAATTATATAAAAATATCTATGTTTTAGGAACTGCAATACTGTTTTCCACAGTGACTTCACCATTTTCTATCCCCACCAACACCGCACAGGGTCCCACTTTCTCTATGTCTTTATGAATATTTGTTATTTTCTGTTTTTGATAATAGCCATCTATCTTTTTTTATCTTTTTGTAGTTTTATCTTTTTGTGGTTTTGATTTGCATTTCCCTGATGATTAGTGATGCTTAGCATCTTTTCATGTGCTTGTTGACAGTTTGTATATCATCTGCAGAAATAACTGTTCAAATCCATTGCTCATTTTTGAATCAGGTTGTTTTATATTGTTGTTGCTTATAGGAGTTCTCTAAATGATAGGGACAAGAGGGAGAGAAATTCTGGGAGGGCAGATCCCCGATGAGGGTCCCACCCTCGAGCCTGAAACTGCAGCACAAAGTGAGAACTTACATCCCTGGTTTCCTGCTCAAATGTTACCTTTTCCACAACCATCCTTGGCCAGCCCTGCCCCCAATCCTGTGCCCATAAAAACCCCAGGCTCAGCCAGCAGATGGAAAAGAAGCATGATAATCTCTAATGAATCTTTGTATTTCTGTGGTCTCAGTTATTACATCTCCTTATTTGTTTCTGATTTTACTTATCTGAGTCCTCTCTCTTTTTTTTCTTAGTCTAGTTCAAGGTTTGTCCATTTTGTTTATTTTTTTAAAAAGCCAACTTTTCAGTTTTCTTGATTTTTAAATTTTGTTGTCTCAATTTCAGTTATTTCTGCTCTGATCTTTATTATGTCTTTCTTTCTACTAATTTTCGGTTTGGTTTTAGCTTGCATTTCTAGCTACTTTGGGTGCATTGTTAAGTTGTTTATTTAAAGTCTTTCTACTTTTCAGTGTAGGAGTTTATTGCCATAAACTCCTCTCTTAGTATTGTTTTTGCTATAGCCCATAGATTTTGGTATGTAGTGTTTCCACTTTTATTTATATAAATAAATTTTCAATTTTCTTCTTAATTTCTTCATTGATTTATTCATCATTCAGGAGATGTTTAATTTCCATGTGTTTGTGTAGTTTCCAAGATTCTTCTTTTTATTGATTTCTAATGGTATTCGTCTTTTAAAAATTTGTTGAGACTTGTCTTGTGGCTCAAAATATGGTCTATTCTGAAGAATGTTCTATGTGCTGATGAGAGGAGTGTGTATTCTGCAGCAGTCAGATAAAATGGTCTACAAATGTCAGTTAGGCCCATTTGGTCTAATTTTGGTTTCACTTTGATGTTTCTTTATTATTTTTCTGTCTGGGTGAACTCTTCATTATTGAGTCTGAGGTGTTGAAGTCCCCTACTGTTATTGAATTACAGTCCATCTCTCCCTTTAGGGCTATTGATGCTTGCTTTATGCGTTTTGGTATTCCAGCATTGAGTGCACAAGTATTTAGAATTGTTATATCCTCTTGCTGAACAGACCTCTTTAACATTATATATTGATCTTCTTTATGGTTTTGTGTTTTTTTCACGGTCTCTGACTTGTAGTCTATTTTATCTGATATAACTTTATCTACTCCTGCTTTTTTTTGGTTTCTGTTTGCATGGGATATATTTTTCCATATTTTCCCTTTCAGTCTGTATATGTCTTTATAGGTGAAGTGGTTTTCCATTAGGCAGCATGTAGTTGGGTCATGTTTCTTCATCCATTCAGCCACTCTATGTTTTTTTTTTTTAATTTCAATTGGTTTTGGGGGAACAGGTGGTGTTTGGTTACATGAGTATGTTCTTTAGTGGTGATTTCTGAGATTCTGGTGCGCCCATCACCTGAGCAGTGTACACTGTGGTCTTTAATCCCTCACTACCCCACACCCTTTCCCCCCAAGTCCCCAAAGTCCAATATATCATTCTTGTGCCTTTGTGTCCTCATAGCTTAGCTCCCACATATGAGTGAGAACATACGATGTTTGGTTTTCCATTCTTCAGTTACTTCACTTAGAATAATAGTCTCCAGTTCCATTCAGGTTGCTGCGAATGCCGTTATTTTGTTCCTTTTTATGTCAGAGTAGTATTCCATGGTATATGTAAACCATATTTTTTAATACACTTGTTCATTGGTGGGCATTTAGGCTGTTTCCATATTTTTGCAATTGCAAATTGTGCTGCTATAAACATGTGTGTGCAAATACCTTTTTTGTACAAGGACTTATTTTCCTCTGGGTAGAAACCTAACAGTGGGATTGCTGGATCAAACGGTAGATCCACTTTTAGTTCTTTAAGCAATCTCCACACTGTTTTCCACAGTGGTTGTACTACTTTACATTCCCACCAACGGTGTAAAAGTGTCCCCATTTCACCACATCCATGCCAACATCTACTATTTTTTTATTTTCTGATTATGGCCATTCTTGCAAGAGTGAGGCAGTATCGCATTGTGGTTTTGATTTGCATTTCCTGATAATTAGTGATGTTGAACATTTTTTCATATGCTTGTTGGCCATTTGTATATCTTCTTGTGAGAGTTATCTATTCATGTCCTTAGCCCACTTTTTGTTTTGTTCTTGCTGATTTGAGTTCTTTGTTGATTCTAGATATTAGTCCTTTGTCAGATGTATAGATTTTGAAGATTTTCTCCCACTCTGTTGGTTGTCTGTTAACTCTGATAATTATTTATTTGGCTGTGCAGGAGCTTTTTAGTTTTTATTATACTAAAATTATATATTATACTGAAATTCTATATTTATAATAACTTTTGTTATTATTGATGGGTAACAACTTACTACTGACATTTTGTTATTTGTTTTCTGGTTGTTTTATAATTCCTCTCTTCTATTCTTCCTTTCTTCCTTGTGGTTAAGTGATTTTCTATGGTCATGTTTCAATTCTTTGCTTTTTATTTTTAGTGTGTCTATTATATGGTCTTGCTTTGTGGTTACCATGAGATCTAACAAGTTTTTTGGTTTTTGTAGTTTTTTTGAGATGGAGTCTTACTCTGTCACTGAGACTGGAGTGCAATGGCACAATCTCAGGTCACTGCAACCTCTGCTGCCCGGGGTTCAGGTGATTCTCCTGCCTCAGCCTCCCAAGTATCTGGGATTACAGGCACCCACCACCTTGCCTGGCTAAGTTTTGTATTTTTAGTAGAGATGGGGTTTCATCATGTTGCCCAGGCTGGTCTCAAACTCCTCACCTCAGGTGATTCACTCACCTCAGGCTCCCAAAGTGCTGGGATTACAGGCATGAGCCACCATGCCCAGCCAATTAGTTATTTTAAACAGATAAGAATTTATCGTCTATCATAAAGAAAATAATAGAAACAAAGGAAAAACTGAAAAGAAAACTCTACACTAACTTAACCCCCACACACACATTTTGCTTTTTTTGTCTCAATATATATATTTTTATATTGCCTGTGTTATAATAAGTCACTGTAGCTATTATATTTTTGATAGATTTGTCTTTTAGTCATCATAATACAGTAAATCTTGAATTATACGCTGCAATTACGGTATTAGAGTATTCTGACTTTGTCTGTGTACTTACTTTTACCAATGAGTTTTATACCTTCAAATGTTTTCTTCTTGCACATTAGTGGTATTTTTTTCTTTCAGATTTACAAACTCCCTTTAGTATTTCTTGTAAAACATGTCTGGCGGTGATTAATTCCTTAGCTTTGGTTTATCTGTGCAAGACTTATCTCTCCTTGATATTTAAAGGGTATCTCAGTTGACAGCGTTCCCCCCACTCCCTTCATCATTTTGAATATGTCATCTCACTCCTTTCTGACCTCTGCGGTTCCTGTTGAGAAGTCTGTTGACAGATGAATTGGAGCGCCGTTATTTGTTATTTGCCTCATTTCTCTTGCTGCTTTTAAGGTCTTCTCTTTGTCCTTTACTTTTGAGAGTTTGACTATTACTTGCCTTGAGTTAGTTTTATTTGGGTTAAATTTGTTTGGTTAGCTTTGACCTCCTTATACCTGGACATTTCTATCTTTCTCAAGCTTTGGAAAGTTTTTTTTAATTATTTATTTAAATAAGATTTCTAAACCTGCCTCTCTTCCTACTTCCTCTTTAAGGCCAATAAATCTTAGATTTACCCTTTTAAGGCTATCTTTTCAATCTTATAAGTGTTCATCATTCTTTTCTATTATTTCTTTCGTCCTTACTGTGCATTTTCAAATAGCCTGTCTTCTGCTCACTAATTCTTTCTTTTGTTTGATCAGTTCTGCTGTTGAGACACCCTGAAGCATTTTTCAGTTTGTTAATTATATTTTCCCACCGCAGGATTTCTGTTTCATTCTTTTTCGTTGTCTCAATTTCTTTGTTAAGTTTCTCTGATAAATTTTTTAAATTCCTTCTCTGTGTTTTGTTGAAGTTCATTGAGCTTCCTCAAAATAGTTATTTTGAATTCTCTGTCTGAGGCGTAACATAACTCTTGTCACTCCAGGGTTGGTCACTGGGATCTTATTTAGTCCGTTCGTTGAGGTCATGCTTTCCTGGATGTTCTTGATGCTTGTGGATATTCATTGATGTCTGGGCATTGAAAAGTTGGGTGTTTATTCCAGTAATTGGTGTCTGGCTTTATTTTTACTCATCCTTCCTCACAGGGCCTTCCAAGCATTCAAAGGGGACAAAGAGTTGGGTTCCCTAAGCCTGCATGGTCACTGCAGACATTCAAGCACTACAGAACACCTTAAGCTCAGGTATCCTGCAACTCTTGCAGACTCCTATATACCTAGCCCTGATGGACTTGAGGAAAATAAAAAAGAATTCCCTGTGTTCCCAAGTAAAGTTTCTCACTCTCTTCCCTCTTATTTTCCACATGGAATGGTGCTGGACTATTTGGAGCTGCGGAAGGGGTGATGCAAACACTCTCATGGCTACCATAGCTGGCACTGTGCTGGGTCACACTCGAAGTGCACAGTGTCCCAGACCAGTACAGTACCTGGGCATACCCAAGGCTCACATCTGCTACTGCCTGACTCCCACTGATGTTTATTCAACGCCCAAGGTCACTTTATTCAGCAGGTGGTGAAGCTTTCCAGGACATGGGTTTGGCCCAGCAAGACAGCAGATTCCCTTCTGGGTCTGGAAGCACCATCCAGGAGCAATGGCCTGGAGTCAGGAGCTGTGGGACTCTGCCCAGAGCTTTGTTTTACTGTGGCTGCGCTGCTACCCAATTGCAAGACAATATTCCCTGTACTCTTTTCTCTCATTTTCCAAGTAGAAGGGGTCTCTCTCCACCCTGCTCTGCCTAGAGTCAGGAGAAGGGTGACACGGGCAATCCCATGGCTGCCATACCTGGTGTGATGCTGGGTCACACTCCAAGCCTACAATCTTTGAGACCAGTACCAGAGTTCGCCCAAGCTCCACAGTGCTATGGCCTTGCTGCCACTCATATTTATTCAGGGCTTGAGGCCACTTCAGCTAGCTGGTGGCAGAGCAAGTTGGATCTTGGGTACCTTCTGTTGGGGCAATGGATTACTCTTTGGCACAGAACTGGTCTAATTTCTTGCTTTGTGGGCACTGGTAAAATTCTACAGAATGCTGTGTTCCACTGTGATGGGGTGGCACTTTGTGGCACTTCTCTCTCTCTCTCTCTCTCTTTTCATGCTGTACTGCCTGGGTCTAGAGGAGGGTAGTGTAGGCAATATGAAACTGTCCTTCCTACACCCTTCAATGTTTCTTCTCTTGCTATAATGCAAAAATCAGGTACTATGTGACCTCTCACCCAGTTTTTTTTGTTCTTATGAAGGTGTATTACTGTATGAGTAGTTGTTTAATTTGATGTTCCTGTGGGGGTGGGGGTAAGGAGGACAATTGTTCAAGGGTTCCATTTGACCATTTTGCTCTACCTGTCTCCAAAGAGCATATTTGTGACTGTTAATTCATTGACTGAAAGAAAAACAATGGTATATTCCATTATGTCAGTGGCTCCAAACATTTTCTGGATTACAGATATCTTTGAAAAATAGTTGGACATGCACATATGCTCTTGAAAGTGCCTGCTTATACATGCATGCGTAAACACCTCCCTACACAGGAAAACACATGTCATTTTAGGACTTTCTTTTAACCCGTCCAGTGTCTATTGGCAAGCCTCTGTCCTGATGCGCAACATCAAATGCCTTGTGAATGCCACGAGTTGCTTTCTGGCCTCATCTCTTCCTTTGCTTTTCCTTATTCCTCACAGAGAAGCCTCCATCTAACAGCCATAATTTTTTCTGTCGTCACATATGAGCTGGGCTCCAGGCAAAAGGTAAATAAAAGCATAAACTGACTACTAGGCAAATGTATAGACCACGTTCATTCAGTGGTGGCTCTGATTAACTTGTAACCTAAGCGATTGGTATAAATACAGAGATAAAGGCTGTAGTTTCCAGAACAGAAATAAAACCTACATACTGATGTAGCTTATGCATAATGAGTTGGAGAAAGTTGGCACTGAAAGGCACAGCAGTGCTCTATTGCCTAACACTCCCCACTTCACACACGAAGATCCAAACAAGCAGAGTGACTTACTCCTGGTGAAACAGCTAGTTAGTGGCAGAGTGAGGACTAGAACCTGTTCTGCTGGTTACTGATTGAGAGATTTAATACATAAGCCATCAAATATGTGACTAACCTTCTGATATACTTAATGGTTTATGAAAAACACAAGATGTCATGAGCATGTATAAAGATTTAATTTTCTTTAAAGATACAGGTCACCATTTTAATTTGCACTTACTGGGGATTCACTAGAGTTATACAGAGAGTTATCCTACAGTTACAAGGGAGATTTAAAAAAATAGCAAGTCACAGTAACAGCATAGGGTGCTGACACATGTCTAACAGAAATAACACTGTGGTTGTCCCTTGAACAATGCAGAGATTAGGGGCACCGAACCCCCAGACAGTCGAGACCCTGTATATAACTTTTGACTCCACCACAGTGTAGCTATTAAGAGCCCACTGTTAACCATAAGCCTTACCAATAACATAAACAGTTGATTAACACATATTTTGTGTGTGTATAGTATACTGTATTGTTACAATAAAATAAGCTAGAGAAAAGAAAATATTATTTCAAACATCATGAGGAAGAGAAAATTTACTATTTACTATTCATTAAGTGAAGTGGACCATCATGAAGGTCTTCATCCTTGTCATCTTCATGTTGAGTAGGATGAGGAGGAAGAGAAAGAAGAGAGTTGGGTCTTGCTGTCTTGCGGGGGGTCTTGCTGTCTAGGGGTGGCAGAGACAGAAGAAAATCCACATGTAAGTGTGCTCGTGCAGTTTAAGGCCACGTTAAATATCTTTTATACAGTTGTATTTAGAGTGTACAATAAACAATAAAGTGCTGAACAATGTTTCATCGAAATAACACTATCCTTATTCATTCACCCAACCAGAGCTACTACAAGCATATTTACATACAATGTAGGCCATAGAAATTACACTATACTGATTTATTGAGCCACATAAGATTGTTACAAATGTCATTTATGTATTTGTATTTCCAGTGTATAACATGGCACAGAGAGAGCAGTACATATGGTTTCATGAAAATAACATTGGTTCATTACACAATTATCTCTTAACAAAACACAATTTACATGTGTCTCTTTACAGAGATTATACAATACAGTTCAGAATGCTGCGAATAGTGTTTCATAGATATGACAGTATATTGATTCATTCACACAACCAGCACGCTTAGAAACATCTTTTACCCATAAAATGTTATGAAGTGTAGAACGTTCAGCAATAGTCCTGAACAATGAGGTTTACAGAAACAACGTTATGCTGGTTTATGCACACAAATAGCAGTCTTAGCAACATCTTTTACACGTGTGTCATAAAGAATGCACACCGTGCAGCGAGTGCTGAACTCAGTGCTTCATAGAAATAAAACTGATTCATCCACACAAGTTGACCTGTTAGAAATTCCTTTACACATGTGTCTTTGGAGAGTGTAAAACATGCGGCACAGGGAACGGAACAAAATGCTTCGTTAAGTAACATGGGACTTATTTATTTATTCAATTGACACTCTTAGAAACACATTTACACAGCTCCTTAAAAAGTGTATAATGGGGCCAGGCATGGTGGCTCACACCTGTAATCCTAGCACTTTGGGAGGCCAAGGCGGGCGGGTCACCTGAGATCAGGAGTTCGAGACCAGCCTGGCCAACATGGTGAAACCCTGTCTCTACTAAAAATAAAAATAAAAAATTAGCCAGGCGTGGTATGGCGGCGGGCACCTATAGTCCCAGCTACTCAGGAGACTGAGGCAGGAGAATTGCTTGAACCTGGGAGGCAGAGTTTGCAGTGAACCAAGACGTCACCACTGCACTCCAGCCTGAGCAACAGAGACAGAATCCATCTCAAAAAAAAAAAAAAAAAAGTGTGTAATGGGCAGAAGAGTGCTGAATGCATGATTCTATGAAATAAAATTCTTCTGATTCAGTCACATAACTATATTTCTTATGGTTTGGATATTTGTCTCCTCCAAATCTCATGTTGAAATGGGATCCCCAATGTTGGAGGTCGGGCCTGATGGGGAGTGTCTGGGTCACGGGGGCAGATGCCTCATGAGTGGCTTGGTGCTATCCTCATGATAAATGACTGAGTCCTTGTGTTGCGGTCACATGAGATCTGGTTGTTTAAAAGAGCTTGGCCCCTTCTCCCTCTCTCTCCTGCTCCCACCCTCACCTTGGGATGTGCTGTTCCCCCTTCATCTCTGGCCATGACTGTAAGCTTCCTGAGGCCCCTCACCAGAAACTGAATAGATGGTAGTGCCATGCTTGCACAGCCTGCAGAACCGTGAGCCTGTTAAACCTCTTTGCCTGGCGAAACCCCGTCTCTACTAAAAATATAAAAACTAGCTGGGCATGGTGGCGCACGCCTGTAATCCTAACTACTTGGGAGGTTGAGGCAGAAGATTCACTGGAACTTAGGAGGCAGAGTTTGCAGTGAGCAGAGATTGAGCCACTGAACTCCAGCCTGGGCGACAGAACAAGACTCTGTCTCAAAAGAAAAAAAAAAAGAAAAGAAAAGAAAAGAAAAAAACTCTCTTTGCTTTATAAATTACCCAGCGTCAGGTATTTCTTTATAGTAGTGCCAAAATGGCCTAGCACAGTACACTTCAAAATATTTTTTTTTTGGGATCTCCGCAGTTTATCCACTAGTGTCTTTTTTTAAATTTTATTATTATTATACTTTAAGTTTTAGGGTACATGTGCACAACGTGCAGGTTTGTTACATCTTCAAAATATTTTTACGCATCTATCTGTTGCGAATGTATAGCCTGCAGCATGGAATCCTAAATGCCGTGCTTCACAGTAATACCAGCATACTAATCCATTCCTACCACCGGCACTCTAAGTGTCTTTCATACATGTGCCCTCGCATATATAACATGAAGCACAGATTATCAAATACAGTATTTCAGATGTAAAATGGCCCTGATTTACTTAAAATGAGTACTTTAGAAAATACTGAACACATGGCTCTTTAAAGAATGTATAGCAGGCAGCACGGAGTGGTGAACACAGTGGTTCAAACACATTACAGTATCTGATTCATTCAGGTAAGTAGAAATCTTAGAAACATCTTTTAAACATGTTTGTTTAGAGAATGTATCACATGTAGCAAAGAGTCTTCCAGACACTTCACGGTACTGATTCATTCATACAACTAGCGCTCTTAGAAATACCATCATACAGCCGGGTGCGGTGGATCACGCCTGTAATCCCAGCACTTTGGGAGGTTGAGGTGGGCGGATAACAAGGTCAAGAGATCGAGACCGTCCTGGCTAACACAGTGAAACCCCATCTCTACTAAAAATAAAAATAAACAAAAAAAATCAGCTGGGCATGGTGGCGTGCACCTGTAGTCCCAGCTACTCAGGAGGCTGAGGCAGGAGAATCACTTGAAACCGGGAGGTGGAGGTTGCAGTGAGCCGAGATCGTGCCACTGCACTCCAGCCTGGCGACAGAGCAAGACTCCATCTCAAAAAAAAAAAAAAAAAAAAAAGAAAAGAAAAAGAATTACCATCGTACACATGTCTTTTGCTTTTTTTAAAAACAGGTCTCACTCTGTCACCCAGGCTGGAGTGCAGTGTTATGATCTTGGCTCACTATAGCCTCCACCTCCCAGGCTCAGGTGATCCTCCCACGTCAGCCTCCCAAGTCACTGGGACTATAGGCGTGCACCACCACACCTGGCTAAATTTTGTATTTTTTGTAGAGATGGGGTTTCACCACATTGCCCAGGCTGGTCTCAAACTCCTGGACTCAGGCAATCCACCCACCTCAGCCTCCCAAAGTGCTGGGATTACAGGTATGAACATGCGTCCTTACACACTATTCAGCCCATACTGAACAGAGTGTGTCACATCAAAACACTTGATTCATGTTTGGTCCCCACAGCAAGCATTCTCATAAACGTGATTTATGCATGTCTCTTTAGAGTACATAACAGGCACAACAGATGGAAATACGGTGTGTTATGGGCTCAATTGTGCACCCCCACAAAATTCATATGAAGTCCCAAGCCCCAGGGGATCAGGATGTAACCATATTTAGATGTAACCATACTGGCTGGGCGTGGTGGCTCATGCCTGTAATGCTAGCACTTTGGGAGGCCGATGCAGGCAGATTACCTGAGGTCAGGAATTCGAGACCAGCCTGGCCCACATGGCGAAACCCCGTCTCTACTAAAATACAAAAATTAGCTGGGCGTGGTGGTGGGTGCCTGTAATCCAAGCTACTTGAGAGGCTGAGGCAGGAGAATTGCTTGAACCTGGGAGGTGGAGGTTGCAGTGAGCAGAGATGGTGCCACTGCACTCCAGCCTGGGCTACAGAGTAAGACTCTATCTCAAAAAAAAAAAAAAAAAAAAAAAAACAATCAACAACAACAAAAAACGGTATAACCATATTTAGAAATAAGTTTGTAAACAGATGATTAAGTTAAAACGAGGCAGCCAGGCCTGGTGGCACATGCTTATGGTCTCAGCTACTTGGGCCGTTGAGGTAGGAAGATTGCTGGAGCCCATGAGGTCGAGGCTGCTGTGAGCCATGATCTCACCACTGCACTCTATCCTGGGTGACCGAGCAGGACCCTGTCACAAAAAAAAAAAAAGCAATGAGGGTAGAGCCCTAATCCAATAGGACAGATGTCCTTATCAGAACAGAAAGAGACACCAGGAGTTAGCATGTACAGAAAAGGAGCCATGTGGGGACAGAATGATAAAGTGGCCATCTGCAAGCAAGGAAAAGAGGACTCAGGAGAAACCAAATATGTCAGCACCTTTATCTTAGACTTCCAGGCTCCAGAACTGTCAAAAATGAACTTCTGCTGTTTAAGCCTCCCAGGGTATGGTGTTTTGTTAAAGTGACCCTGGCAAACTTGTGCTGATTTTGGTACTGGGAGGCAGAGTGCGGCTGTAACAAAGTTCTAAAAATGTGGAAGTAGCTTTGAAACTGGGTAATGGGTGGGGGTTAGAAGAGTTTTGAGGTACCTGCTAGAAAGCGCAGATTACCCTGAAGAGATTGCTGGTAGAAATGTGGATGGTAAAAACCATTCTGATGAGACCTCAAGTGGAAAAGATGAGTATCTTGCTGGAGAATAAAGGCCAACCTTGTTACATAAAGTGGTGAAGGCTTGGTTGAATTGTGCCCTAGCATTTTGTGGAAGGTAGAATTTGTGATAAACTTGGATATTTAGCTGACTTAGGAGATTTCTGAGCAAAGTATTAGAAGTCTGGCTTGATTTCTCCTTCCTGCTTATAATAAAATGTGGGAGAAAATAGATAAATTGAAGGTATTATTAAGCAAAAAGGAACTAGAAATTGAAGACTTGGAATATTATGAGACTACTCATATTTCAGAAAAAAAATAAAGTGATTTCTGAAAAGAACACCAAGAATGTTGCTGGAAAATCGCCCAGTAATGAGATTAAGAGTGTGACTCATAGATCTGCTTAGCCATCTCAGCCAAAGCAGGAGAGGGATGGGGCTATACCAGCAGATACACTGACAGCTTGGACCAAAGAGGACAGAGATGGTACACAATGAAAGACGAATGTCAGAGTTCTGGGATTGTACAGGAGGGAACGCTAGAGTTGTGAACATGTGTTATCCTTCAAGCAAAGAAAGGAATGACTCTGAAAGTGATTCTGAGATTGGCAGGGCTTCAACTACCATCACAAGCAAAGAGAGCACAGAACAAGGGGTTGAGGTTGTCACCTCCTTGGGTTCAGCAGTCCAGGTCACCACCATCTAGGTCCTCAGGGCAGGGCTGCCATTCAGGCTTTGGGGTTGGGGGCGTTGCTCGGGGCTCTCCTGGAAGGGTTGCCAACCAGGGTGACGGGAGCAAGATTGCTGCCCATTGTCACAGAGGCAAAGCTTTCTCCCCACTGGGCCAGAAAGGTGGGACTGCAACCACAGTGTGCTCAGAAGACACAAGATCAAACCAAAGATAATTATTCTTGAGTCTTAAAAGCTAACGACATTTTCTGACAGGTTTTGGAGTTGCTTGAGACCCTTGGCCTCTCTCTTCCTTCCAATTTCTGTCTTTTGGAATGGGAATGTCTGTCTTATGCCTGTCCCAGCACTGTATGTTGAAGGCAGATAACCTGTCTGATTTCACAGGTTTATACCTGGAAAGGAATTTCTCCTCAGGAGACATCATCCACACCAGATTTAGATATTCTGAGTGAGTCTCACCCATGCTAGATTTAGATATTCTGATAAGATTTTGGACATAGATTTGATGTTGAAATGGGCTGATACTTTGGGGTTTTGAAATGAGGTAAATTTATTTTGCATATGATCAGACCATAAATTTGGGTGCCCAGTAGGTAGAATGTTATGGAATGAATTGTGTCTCCATACAATGTCTATGTTGAGATCCCCAAACCCCAGTACCTCAGGGTGTAACTGAATTTTGAAGATAAGGTCTTTAAAGGGGTGAACAAGTTAAAATGATGCCATAGAAGCCTAATCTATTTGGTGTCCTTATAGAAGAAGAGATACCACGGGTGCACCTGCACAGAGGAAAGGCCACATGAGGACACGGTGATAACACAGCCATCTGCAAGCCCGTAAGAGAAGACTCAGGAGAAATCAGACCTGCCAACACTTGAACCTCCATCCTCCTGACCTGTGAGAATATTAATTTCTCTTGTGTAAGTCTCCCAGTAAATTATATTTTGTTATGTCAGCCCTAGAAAACTAATACATGGTGTTTTGCAGAAATAATATTATCCTCATTAATTTAAGCAAATAGCATTGTTAGAAATATGCTTATATATGTGTCTTTAAAGCGTGTGTGACATGTGGCAGGTGCTGAACACAGTGTTTCACATATATAACTACCTTAATTCTTTCATGCAATCAGCAGCTTTAGAAACATTTTTTTAACAAGAGTGTATAAATGCAGCACAGACTAGGAAACCCAGTGTTAGGCAGACAAAACAGTATATTCTGACTGACTCCGGGAAAAAGAGCTCTTAGAATCATCATTCACACTTATGTCTATGGAGAGAATATAATGTGCAGAACAGCGTGCTGAACAGAGTGCTTCACAGATTATCCTCATTCATTAATGCAAACAGAACACTTTGAAAAATCTTTTAAATGACTCAATAGATATTGGATAACCTATGGTATAGACTGCTGAACAAAGCAATTCACTAAAAACACAATTGTGATTCATTCACACAAGTTTTCTTATATTTTGTACGTACGTGTCTCTTTGGAGAGCATGTAACATGCTGCATAGACTGGTGAACCCAAGGATAGACAGAAGAAACATTATCCTAATTTATTCAGGTAAGAAGAGCTTTTAAAATCATATTCACGCTATGTATATAGAGAGTCTATAACATGTAGGGCAGAGTGGTGGACAATGTGTTCACAGAAATACCACAGTAACACTGTCTTGATTCATTCATGCCACTAGCGCTCTTAGAAATAGCTTTTATACATGGCTTTTAGAGGGCATATAGCACAGAGTGCTTGATATGCTTTGGATCTATGTCTGTATTAGTCCATTCTTACACTGCTATAAAGATACTACCTGAGACTGAGTAATTTAAAAAGAAAGGAGGTTTACACCATGGCCTGTGTATACCTTTGTAACAAACCTGCACGTTCTGTACGTGTATCCCAGAATTTAAAGTATAATAATTAAAAAAAAAAAAAAAAGCAAGAAAGAAGCAAGGAACAAAGCCCAAAGAAACAGCACTGGATTTCTGGGACTCTGAGATTTCACACTGAGAGATGGTGCCTGAAAGTGAAGGAATTAATACTGTCTATAGAGTCCATTCACAATAACACACTCATCCCTTCTTAGACTTTCAGTGAAAATTCTGCAACTGTCTGGATTTGCACATTCAGTTTCCTGTATTCAAAGAATAGATATGTGTGTAGCCTTGGAAAAAATTTATTTTTCCCCAGACTTCAACATTGTTTAAATGATACTGATAATGGAAAGATTTTCTCAACATATTCATTTCTGGAATACCAGAAACATTCTCTCTTTTGAGAAATAATAATGAAAAAGGAGAGAATGGTCTTCCTAAGGTGTTAGTAATCTAAACTCTGGTAAAAGTGATTTCTAAGTAACTGATTAACAGTAATAAAATGGTTTCATTGGCTTAAAAAAAAGAAAAGAAAGGAGGCTTAATGGACACACAGTTCTGTATGGCTCTAGAGGTCTCAGGAAACTTACAATCACGGCGGAAGGTGAAGGTAAAGCAAGGCATGTCTTACGTGGTGGCAGGAGAGAGAGTGAGAAGGGAGAGGTGCCACTTATCAGCCTGATCTCGTGAGAACTCTGTCACAAGAACAGCATGGCAGAAACAATCCTCATGACTGAATCACCTCCCACCAGGATCCTCCCTTGACATATGGGGATTATAAATCGAGATGAGATTTCGGTGGGGACACAGAGCCAAACCATATCAGTGTCTCCACCAAATCTCATGTCGAATTATAATCCCCAGTGTTGGAGGCGGGGTCTGCAGCACTGATTTGTTGAACACAGTGTTTCACAGAAATAACCCTGTCCTCATTCATCCACAGAGCAAGCATTCTTATAAACATCTTTTTAAAGAAGGAATAACATGCAACTCAGGGTGCTGGACATAGCAATTCTAGGAAATGAGACTAATCTGATTCATTCAGGCCAGTAGCCTTCTTACAATCATCTTTTACATTTGAAGTACAAATCGGTGAATGTAGGGTTTCACGAAAATACCACTATCCTGATTCGTTCACATAACTAGCAATCTTAGAAACAACTTTTATATATCTCTCTCTCTAAGCACAGAATGTCCTCAGTATTACACAGAACAGTATCCTGATTCATTAAGGAAAAAGAATTCTTACAAACATATGTTATACATGTTTCTTTACAGAAAAACATGTATTTTTAATATGTGCATGTATAACATACATCACAGGTGGTAAACATTGTGTTTCACACAAATAACACTATCTTGATTTATCTGATTCATTTATACAAGTAACAGGAATAAAACTATCCTGATTTTAGAGTAGTGTTACTAAACACTGTTAGAAATATATTTTAAACATGTCTGTTTACAGAACATATAACATGCACCTCTGAGTGCTAAAGAGAGTGATTCACACAAGTGACACTATCTTGACTCATTCGGGAGCCAACATTCTTATAAACATCTTTTGCTCATGTCTCTTTAGGGAGTGTATATCATACAGCAGAGTGGTGAACCCAGTATTATACAGAAAGAACGGTGTCTTGATTGGTTCATGTAAAAGGAAACCTTATGGCTGGGCGTGGTGGCTCACGCCTGTAATCCCAGCACTTTGGGAGGCCAAGGCAGATGGATCACCTGAGGTCAGGAGTTCAAGACAAGCCTGGCCAACATGGCGAAACCCTGTCTCCACTAAAAATACAAAAAATTAGCTCAGTGTGGTGGTGGGGATTTTGGTGGGTGCCTGTAATCCCAGCTTCTTGGGAGGCTGAGGCAGGGAGAATTGCTTGAACCCAGGAGGTAGAGGTTGCAGCGAGCCAAGATTGTGCCACTGCACTCCAGCCTGGGTGACAAAACGAGACTCCATCTCAAAAAAGAAAACCTTAGAATCGTCTCTCACACATCTATGGGGAGTGTATACATGCAGTAGAGATTGGTGAGTACAAATCTTTCAGACAAAAAATAATATGCTGATTAATTAGCATATTAGACGCATCTTTATATTGGTGAATATAGGGTTTCACAAAAATAGATGTGTCTAATATGCTACACACAACTAGCATATTAGACATATCTTTAACAGATGTCTCTTTTAGAAAATACATAACATGCAGCACAGTGTGATAAACATAGTATTTCACAAAATAACGATAACGGGCCAGGCACGGTGGCTCACGCCTGTAATCCCAGCACTTTGGGAGGCTGAGGTGGGCGGATCACTTGAGGTCAGGAGTTCAAAACCAGCCTGGCCAATGTAGTGAAACCCCATTTCTACTAAAAATACAAAAAAATTAGCCAGGCATGGTGGTGCACACCTGTAATCCCAGTTACTCACGAGGCTGAGGCAGGAGAATCGCTTGAACCCGGGAGGTGGAGGTGGCAGTGAGCCAAGATCGTGCCACTGTACTCCAGCTTGGGGGACAGAGTAAGACTCTATCTCAAAAACAAAACAAAACGAAACAAAACACAACACTATCTTCATGCAGTCACATAATTACATTTAGAAACCTCACTTAGGGCCGGGCGCAGTGGCTCACACCTGTAATCCCAGCACTTTGGGAGGCCGAGGCAGGCAGATCACGAGGTCAGGAGATCGAGACAATCCTGGCTAACACAGTGAAATCCCGTCTCTACTAAAAATACAAAAAATTACCCGGGCGTGGTGGCTGGCGCCTGTAGTTCCAGCTACTCGAGAGGCTGAGGCAGGAGAATGGCATGAACCCAGGAGGCGGAGCTTGCAGTGAGCCGAGATTGCGCCACTGCATTTCAGCCTGGGTGACAGAGCAAGCCTCTGTCTCAAAAAAAAAAAAAAAAAAAAAAAAAAAAAGAAACCTCACTTAGAGCACTCTTGGAGATGTGTTTATACATGTCATTATGTCATTAGACTGTCTGTAACCCGAGGCACAGTGTTTCAGAGCATTTGCACATCCTGACTGATATTCACATCAAGAATTCGTATTCACAACTTTCACACATAGCTTATTAGCATGTAGAGCACGCAGCACAGAGTGCCCAATATGGTTTTCCCGGAAATAACCTGATCTTGATTCATTCTTGCAAATCACATTCTAAGACTCTTCTTTTATACATCTATATTGACAGAGCAGATACCATGAAGCACAGATCTATGAAAACAGTGTTACAAAGCAACAACTGAAACCTGATCTTTTCACACAAGTGGCACTGTTAGAAATATCCTGATACAAATATCTTTAGGGAGGGGGTGGATAGTTTGATGAGCTGGGGATCTGGAGATCTGGCTAAGCTGACGCAGCACTTTAGGTGCAGGTGCAGATGGGTCTGGCAGAAGTGAGCTGCACATGCATGAGTCTCCTGAAGATTGGCAGTGATGCTCAGAAAACCTAGGGCCTAGGACCCAGGTCCACGGCCAGCACTGGTCCTGGTGATCAGTGCAGGCCTTCGAGTTGCCAGGCTCAGGTGAAGATCTACAGTGCCTGCAGAAAGCACGGTTTCACCACTTACAAAGAGGATAAACAAATATGCAGGCTGGGCGCGGTGGCTCACGCCTGTATATCCCAGCACTTGGGGAGGCCGAGACAGGCAGATCACATGAGGTCAGGAGTTCGAGACCAGCCTGGCCAACACGACAAAACCCCATCTCTGCTAAAAATACAAAAATTAGTTGGGTGTAGTGGCATGCGCCTGTAATCCCAGCTACTTGGGAGGCTGAGGCAGGAGAATCGCTTGAACCTGGGAGATGGAGGTTGCAGTGAGCTGAGATAGCACCACTGCACTCCAGCCTGGGCAACAGAGTGAGACTTCATCTCAAAAAAAAAAAAGAGTGCATATGCACATAACACACACATGCCAGGGGCCAATGGGTCCTCCTGATGGGCCGGCAGGGATAGTGGCAGATAATGCCTCAAGAAGATACTTTTGCAGTTCCTAGGACCCCTGCCTCAGGTGACTGTCAAACCATGGAAGTGCCTTCTTCTCCTGCCAAACCTACTTTGACCACCCTTTGGTAGAGTAGATGTCCCATCTACCAAAGCCCCCCCATCAGGTACTGTCTTCTTTTGTCGCTGTCAGGGGCAATATTCTGGTTGGGATGGATGGCTGGGCGGGGGGTGCAAAAATCAATGGGAAGGGCTGTATAAAATATTAATGTCTAAAAAATGTATTCCTCCAATTAGCATTCTTAGAAATATCTTTTATACATGTGTATTTCGACAGTGTGAAACAGGCAGCAGAGTCAACACAGTATTTTATTGAAACAACACTGTCTTGATTCATACCCACAAGTAACATGCTTAGAAACTTATTTTATACATTTGTCTTTGGAGAGTTTATAACATACAGAACAGAAAGGTGAAGAAAGGTGAACATAGCATTCCATTGAAATAACAAAACCATGATTACTATTTGCAACGGCCACTCTAAGAAATATCTTTTACATGTCTGTCTTTGGTGAGTGTATGATACACAGGACAGAGTTTTGAGCATGTGTTTCAATGAAACAACATGAACTAGATTCATGTGTGTTGTACAATTTGGGGGACCAAGTGTCATCTGAACCATTAGGCATCTATATTCAAGGGAAAACAAGGAAGAAAGAAAACAAAATAAACACTGTAACTTCTAATGCATCAGCTGTCAAGACACTATTTTTGGGAATTGGGGGTATAGGGGTTACCTAAGAACTTTGACATTCAATTTAGGAACTCATTCCTCCCACATTTCTCTGTTAGAGGCCAAAAAAAAAAAAACAATTTCTAATGAAGAATATGACTGAGACCTCATGGGCGACCCAGTCTAATCTTTGGGCAACTCAATGTGCCTGTAGGGGGAATCAGCAAATAAATATTTGATCTGCTGAGAAAACAACAAAAGCCTCACAAGTTAAAGATGAAATATCCAGCCTGGGCAACATAGCAAAACCTCATCTCTACAAAAATTAGCCAGGCGTGGTGGCACACTCCTGTAGTCTCAGCCACCTGGGAGGCTGAGGTGGGAGGATTGCTTGAGCCCAGAAAGTGGACGCTGCAGTGGGCTATAATCATGCCACACACTCCAGCCCGGGCAACAGAGCAAGACCAACCCTGTCTCAAAAAACAAAAGATGAAATTTGATTTGCATACGTTTTTCAAATTCTGTTAAATAGAAAGACAAACATTGCATGTTCTTACCAATTTGTAGAACCTAAAAATCAAAATAATTTAACTTACGGAGATAGAGAATAGAAGGATGGTTACCAGAGGCTGGGAAAGGTAGCGAGGGGCAGGAGGGAGGTAGGAATGGTTAACGGGTAAACCCTGAAGACTCATTCAGAAAGCTCCTAGAAATGGTAAATGAATTCAGTGAAGTTTCAGGATACAAAATTAATGTACACAAATCAGCAGCTCTGCTATATACTAGCAGTGACCAAGCTGAGAATCAAATTGAGAACTCAGCCACTTTTACAAATAAAAAAATACTTAGGAATATACTTAACCAAGAAGGCGAAAGACCTCTACAAGGAAAACTACAAAACACTGCTTCAGGAAATCAGATGACACAAACAAATGGAAACACATCCAATGCTCGTAGATGGGTGGAATCAATATTGTGAAAATGACCATACTGCCAAAAGCAATCTATCAATTCAATGCAATTCCCACCAAAATACCACCATCATTCTTCTGCCTGACTTCAGAATAATATGCTACAAAATCACAGTAACCAAAAATCATGGTCCCTGTTTAAAAACAGACAAATGCACCAATGCAACAGATTAGAGAGCTCAGAAATATATCCATGCATTTACGGCCAAGTGATTTTCAACAAAGGACCAAAGAAGACATAATAATATTCTATTGTATGTATATATATTTAGGGTTTTCTAGATATACAGTCAAACAGTGATAGTTTGACTTCCTCTTTACTGATTTGGATGCCTTTTATTTCTTTCTCTTGTCTGATTGATGTATATACATACCTATGTACAAATGTAAGACTCAAAATGATAAAACTATCAGAAGAAAACACAGGAGAGATGCTTCAGGACATTGGTCTGGAAAAAAGATTTTATAAGACCTCAAAAGCACAGGCAAGCCTGGGCGTGGTGGCTCATGCCTGTAATCCCAACACTTTGGGAGGCCGAGGCAGGCGGATCACCAGAGGTCGGGAGTTCAAGACCAGCCTGACCAACATGGAGAAACCCTGTCTCTACTAAAAATACAAAATTAGCCAGGCATGGTGGCGCATGCCTGTAGTCCCAGCTACTCGGGAGGTTGAGGCAGGAGAACCCGGGAGACAGAGGTTGCAGTGAGCCGAGATGGCGACATTGCACTCCAGCCTGGGCAACAAGAGCGAAACTCCATCTTTAAAAAAAAAAAAAATGCACAGGCAAAAAAGCAAAAATAAACAAATGGATTATAGCAAACTAAAAAGCCTCTCTACACAGCAAAGGAAATAGTTGACAAAATGAAAAGACAACACACAGGATGGGAGAAAATATTTGCAAAGTACTCATCTGACAGGAGACTAATATCCAGAATATACAAGGAACTCAAGCATTTAAACAGCAAATAAATAATCTGGTTTAAAAATCAGCAAATGATCTATATAGACATTTCTCAAAATAGGACCTATATATGGCCAAGAAATATATTTTTTAAATGCTCAGCAACGTCACTAATCATCAGGGAAATGCAAATCAAAACCACAATCAGATATGATCTCACCCTGGTTAGTATGGCTATTATCAAAAATACAAAAAATAAATGCTAGCAAGGGTGTAGAGAAAAGTGAATTCTTATACATTGTTGGTAGGAATGTGAATTAGCACAACCACTATGAAAAACAGTATAGAGGTTCCTTTAAAAGCTACAAATAGGGGCCAGGCACAGTGGCTCACTCCTGTAATCCCAGCACTTTGGGAGGCTGAGGCGGGTGGATCACTTGAGGTCAAGGGTTCGAGACCAGCCTGGCCAACATGGAGAAACTCCGTCTCTATTAAAAATATAAAAAATTAGCCAGACGTGGTGGTGAGCGCCTGTAATCCCATCTACTCGGGAGGCTGAGGCAGGAGAATCACTTGAACCTGGGAGGCAGAAGTTGCAGTGAGCCGAGATCGTGCCACTGCACTCCAGCCTGGGTGACAGAGCGAGACATTGTCTCAAAAAAAAAAAAAAAAAGAATTCCATATGATCCAGTTCTCTACTGGGCATTTATCCAAGAAGAAGGAAATCAGTATATCAAAAACATATCTGCACCCCCATGTGTTTCGCAGCACTAAATTCACAATAGGCAAGATATGGAATCAACCTAGGTGTCCAGCAGATGAATGGATAAAGAAAATGTGTCATATATACATAATGGAATACCATTCAGCCATAAAAAAGAATAAAATTCTGACATTCATGGCAACATGGATGAAACTGGAGGATATTATATGAAGTGGGATAAATTAGGAACAGAAAGTTAAACACCACATATTCTTACTCATATGTAGAAACTGAAAAAAAAAAGATGATCTCATAGAACAGAGGATACTAGAGGCAGAAAAGGTTAGAGGGAAGGGGGTGACATGGAGAGATCTATTAAAGGACACAAATTACAGCTAGATAAGAGGAATAGTTATTGTGTTCTATGGCATTGTAGGGTGACTATAGTTAGTTAACAATAATACACAGTTTCAAATAGCTAGAAAGAGGATATTGAATTTCCAAACACAAAGAAGTGATAAGTATGTGAGATGATGAATATGCTAATTACCTTAATCTGATCATTATACATTACATGTATTACAACATCACTTTGTACCCCATAATGAACAATTATTATGTCAATATTTTAAAACTTTAAAAAATTTTAAATATTTTAAGAAGAAAGAAAAATAGTAAGTACACAGACAAACTCAGAATACTATAACACTGTAATTGTGGTATGCAATCCACTTATAACTCTAGAATGAAGACTAAAAGACAAATCTATCAAAAATTACAATAGCTACAGTAACCTGTTAAGAGACAGGCAGTATAAACATGTAAATTGAGATGACAGAAAGTGAAAATGTTGGGGGATGGAGTTAAAGACTAGAGTTTGGAAGTTTTTTCTCTGTTTGATTGTTTTTATTCTTTTCTCTGTGATCAACAAGCAGCTGTTCAAAATAATATGTTATATCGTAAATGATTTTGTAAGCCTCATGGTAACCACAAATCAAAAACCTTCAAGAAATACACTAAAAATAAAAAATTACAAATTAAACCATACTACTAGAGAAACAAAGGTTAAGTGGTAAGAAAGGAAGAGAAGAGTTACAAAACAACGAGAAAAGAGGTAACAAAATGGCAGTAATAAGTTCTTACCTGTCAGTAATAACACTGAATGTAAATAGACTAAATTCTCCAATTAAAAGATAAAGAGTTACTGAATGGATACAGAAAGAAACCCAAGTATATGCTGTCTTAAAAAAAAAATCCTCCTCACCTATAAAGACACATAGACTGAAAGGGAGAGAATAGGAAAAGATATTCTATGTAAATCCAAACCAAGAAAGAGTAGGAGTAGCTATCCTTTCATCAGATAAGATAGACTACAAGTCGAACACTATAAGAATAGGCAAAGAAGGGTAACTATGTAATAATAAAGGCGTTGATTCATCAAAAGGTTAGAGCAATTATAAATATGCACCCAACACAGGTGCACCCCAGTATATAAAGAAAACATTAATAGATCTAAAAGGAGAGGGAGAGTGTAAAACAATAATAATAGTAGCGAATTTCAATACCCTACTCTCAGTAATGGACAGATCTTCCAGATAGAAAATTAACAAAGAAATAATCAGCATTAAATTCCACATGAGACCAAATAGGCCTGACATTTATAGAATATTTCACCCAAACACTTCAGAATACACATTCTTCTCATCAGCACATGAAACATTCTCTAGAATAGACCATTGTGAGGCCACAAAACAAGTCTCAGCAAATCCAGAAGTCAAAATCATATAAATTATCTTTTCTGACCACAATGGAATAAAACTAGAGATCAATAACAGGAGGAATCTTGGAAACTACACAAGCACATAGAAATTAAATAATATGCTCCTAAATAATAAATGGGTCAATGAAGAAATTAGAAATTATTACAAATACAAAATTACTAATAATGCAAGATACAAGAATGCAAAATACCATAATCTGTGGAATACAGCAAAAATAGTGCCAAGAGGGAAGTTTATAACAATAAACACCCACATCAAAAAAGAAGAAAGGTCGAGCGTGGTGGTTCATGCCCGTAATCCCAGCACTTTGGGTGGCCAAGGTGGGTGCATCATTTGAGGTCAAGAGTTTGAGACCAGCCTGGCCAACATGGAGAAACTCTGTCTCTACTAAAAATAAAAAAATTAACTGGACGTGGTTGCAGACGCCTGTAATCCCAGCTACTAGGGAGGCTGAGGCAGGAGAAACGCTTGAACCCTGGAGGTGGAGATTGCAGTGAGCCACCATCGTGCCACTGAACTCCAGCCTGGGTGACAGAGCAAGACTCCGTCTCAAAAAAAAAAAAAAGGAAAGACTTCAATAAACAACCTAATTATGCACTTCCCGGAACTAGAAATTCAAGAACAAACCCAACCCAAATTTATCAGAAGAAAATATTTAATAAAAATTAGAGCAGAAATAAATGAAAGTGAGGCTACAAAAATACCAAAGATCGATGAAACATAAAGTTGGTTTTTTGAAATGACAAACAAAATTGACAAACCTTTAGCTAGACCAATAGAGGGAAGAAAGAAAATAGACAAAGTCAGAAACAGAAAAGGAGACTTAACAACTAATACCTAGGAATACAAAGAAGCATTAGAGAATATTATCAACAACTACACACCAATAAATTGGGAAACCTAGAAAAAAATGGAAAACTTCCTGGACACATTCAACCAACATATACCAATATTGAACCATGAAGAAATAGAAAATATTAGGATTTCAATAATGAGTAACAAGATTAAAGCCATAATAGAAAATCTCTGATCCAGTGAAAGCCCAGGACCTGATGGCTACACTGCTCAATTCTACCAAACAGTTAAAGAATAACTAATACCAATGAGATTTTCTTTTCTATTGCATTGTCAGGCTGCAAATTTTCCAAACTTTTATGCTCTGTTTCCCTTTTGAAACTGAATACCTTTAACAGCACCCAAGTCACCGCTTGAATGCTTTGTTGCCTGGAAATTTCTTCTGCCAGATACCCTAAATCATCTCTCTCAAGTTTAAAGTTTCACAAGTCTCTAGGGCAGGGGCAAAATGCCATCAGTCTCTTTGCTAAAACATAACAAGAGTCACCTTTGCTCCAGTTCCCAACAAGTTCTTCATCTCCATCTGAGAACACCTCGGCCTGGATTTCATTGTCCATATCATTATCAGCATTTTGGTCAAAGCCATTCAGCAAGTCTCCAGGGAGTTCCAAACTTTCCCACATTTTCTTGGCTTCTTCTGAGCCCTCCAAACTGTTCCAACTTCTGCCTGTTACCCAGTTCCAAAGTCACTGCCACATTTTTGGGGATCTTTTCAGCAGTGCCCCACTCTACTGGTACCAAAACAATATCACATCCCTGAAGGGATTGTGGAGATTAGTGCCACCATCAAGGATTTAAAAGATGCGGGGGTGGTGGTTCCCACCACATCTCCGTTCAACTCTCCTATTTGGCCTGTGCAGAAGACAGATGGATCTTGGAAAATGGCAGTAGATTATTGTAAGCTTAATCAAGGGGTTACTCCAATTGCAGCTGCTGTACCAGATGCGGTTTCATTGCTTGAGCGAATTAATGCATATCCTTGTACCTTGTACGCAGCCATTGACTTGGCAAATGCCTTTTTCTCCATTCCTGTCCATAAGGCCCACCAGAAGCAATTTGCCTTCAGCTGGCAAGGCCAGCAATATACCTTGGCTGTCTTACCTCAGGGGTATATCAACTTTCCGGCTTTGTGTCGTAATCTTATTTGAAGAGAACTTGATCACGTTTTGCTTCCACAAGATATCACACTGGTCCATTACATTGATGACATTATGCTGATTGCATCCAGTGAGCAAGAAGTAGCAAACACACTGGACTTATTGGTGAGACATTTGTGTGCTAGAGGATGGGAAATAAATCCAGCTAAAATTCAGGGATCTTCTACCTCAGTAAAATTTCTGGGGGTCCAGTTGTATGGGACCTGTCAAGATATTCCTTCTGAGGTGAAGGATAAGTTGCTGCATTTGGCCCTTCTTACAACCAAGAAAGAGGCACAATGCTTAGTGGGTTAGAGGCAACACTGTCCTCATTTGGGTGTGTGACTCTGGCCCATTTATTGAGTGACCTGAAAGGCTGCCAGTTTTGAGTGGGGCAGATCAGAAGAAGGCTCTGCAACAGGTCCAGGCTATTGTGCAAGCTGCTCTGCCACTTGGGTCATATAACCCAGCAGATCCAATGGTGCTTGAGGTGTAAGGGGCAGATAGGAATGCTGTTTGGAGCCTTTGGCAGGCCCACATAGGTGAATCACAGCAGAGGCCTCTTGGATTTTGGAGCAGGGCCCTGCCATCTTCTGCAGATAACTATCTCCTTTTGAGAGACAGCTCTTGGCATGTTACTTGGTGGAAACTGAACATTTGACTATGGGTCATCAAGTCACCGTGCGACCTGAATTGCCTATCATGAACTGTGTGCTTTCTGACCCATCTAGCCATAAAGTGGGTCATGCACAGCAGCATTCCATCATCAAATGGAAGTGGTATATATGTGATCGGGCTCGAGAAGGTCCCGAAGGCACAAGTAAGTTACACGAGGAAGTGACTCCACTCCTCATCAAGTGGTGCCCATGGTCTCCCCTCCTGCCACCCTGCCCCCTCTCCCCCAGCCTGCACCGATGGCCTCATGGGGAGTTCCCTGTGATCAGTTGACAGAGGAAGAGAAGACTAGGGCCTGGTTCACAAATGGTTCTGCACGATATGCAGGCACCACCCGAGAGTGGACAGTTGCAGCACTGCAGTCACTTTCTAGGATATCCCTGAAGGACAGCAGTGAAGGGAAATCTTCCCAGTGGGCAGAACTTTGAGCCGTGCACCTGGTTGTGCACTTTGCGTGGAAGGAGCAATGGCCAAGTGTATGATTATATACTGACTCATGGGCTGTAGCCAATGGCTTGGCTGGGTGTTCAGGGACTTGGAAGAAACATGATTGGAAAATTGGTGACAAAGAAATGTGGGGAAAAGGTATGTGGATGTACCTCTCTGAGTTGCCAAAAACTGTGAAGATATTTGCATCCCATGTGAGTGCTCACTAATGGGTGACCTCAGCAGAGAAAGATTGTAATCAAGTGGATACAATGACCTGTTCTGTGGACACCGCTCAACCTCTTTTCCCAGCCACCCCTGTCATCATCCAATGGGCCCATGAACAAAGTGGCCACAGTGGCAGGGATGGAGGTTATGCATGGGCTCAGCAACATGGACTTCCACTCACCAAGGCTGACCTGGCTACAGCCATTGCTGAGTGCCCAGTTTGCCAGCAGCAGAGACTAACACTGAGCCCTCGATATGGCACCATTCCTCAAGGTAATCAGCCAGCTACCTGGTGGCACATTGATTATACTGAACCTCTTCCACCATGGAAAGGGCAGAGGTTTGTCCTCACTGGAATAGAAGCTTACTTTGGATATGGGTTTCCTTATCCTGCACGCAGTGCTTCTGTCAAGATTGACATCTGTGGACTCATGGAATGCCTTGTCCACTGTCATGGTATTACACACAGCATTGCCTCTGACCAAGGCACTGATTTTATGGCTAAAGAAGTGTAGCAGGGGCTCATGCTCATAAAATTCACTGGTCTTACTATGTTCCCCATCATCCTGAAGCAGCTGGGTTAATAGAACAGTGAAATGGCCTTTTGAAGTCACAATTACAATGCCCACTAGGTGACAATATTTTGTAGGGCTGGGGCAAAGTTCTCCAGAAGGTCATGTGAGCTCTGAATCAGCATCCAATATATGATACTGTTTCTCCCATAGCCAGGATTCACAGGTACAGGAATCGAGGGGTGGAAATGGAAGTGGCACCACTCACCATCACCCCTGGTGATCCACTAGCAAAATTTTTGCATCTTGCTCCCACATTAGGTTCTGCTGGCCTAGAGGTCTTAGTTCCAGAGGAAGGAATGCTGCCACCAGCAGACACAACAAAGATTCCATTAAACTGGAAGTTAAGATTGAGACCTACAAAACAATGGTAAGAAACATCCCTCAAAAGCATGTTTTAAACACTTGCTTAGAGAGTTCTCCTTGGGAGATAGTTCTATTCATTGAAAGAAAATAGTACATAATGCATCTCCAAAGAAGCATTTTTAGATTTAGCTTTTAAATGTATATATGGAAACCCATCAAAATTAGGTCTTAAAAACAAAGGTAAGAAACATCCTTCGAAAGTATGTTCCAAACACCTGATTACAGTTTTTTCTCTCTGAAAAACAATTCCATTCACTGAGAGAAAAAAAGCACAAGTTCCTTTAAAGAAGCTGGGAGATCAAAATTAAAAAAGCTTCTGCACAGCAAAGGAACCAACAAAACAAAAAGACAATGTACACAATGGGAGAACTTTTTCACAAACCTTATCTTGGATAAAGGGTTAATATCTAAAATATGTAAGAAACTTCTGCAACCCAATTGCAAAAAATAATAATAATAATCAGATTAAAAATGGCCAAAGGTACTGACTAGACATTTAAAGAAGTCATACAAATGGCCAACAGGTGTGTGAAAAGGTGCCTAACATCACTAATCAAGAAATACAAATTAATATCATAATGAGCCAGGTGCGGTGGCTCATGCCTGTAATCTTAGCATTTTGGGAGGTCGAGGCAGGTGGATCACCTGGGTTCAGGAGTTGGAGACCAGCCTGGCAAAAATGGTGAAAACCCATCTCTGCTAAAAATACAAAAAAAATTAGCCAGGCGTGGTGGTGGGTGCCTGTAATCCCAGCTACTCAGGAGGCTGAGGCACGAGAATCGCTTGAACCCAAGAGGCAGAGGTTGCAGTGAGCTGAGATTGTGCCACTGCACCCCAGCCTGGGTGACACGGCAAGACTGCATCTCAAAAAAAAATTAAAAATAATATAATAAAATAAAATCACAATGAGATATCACCTTGAACCTATTAGGATGACTTTAATCAATAAAAAATAAAAAGATGGCTGGGTACAGTGGCTCATGCCTATAATCCCAGCACTTTGGGAAGCTGAGGCAGGTGGACCACTTAGCCCAGGAGTTTGAGACCAGCCTGGGCAACATGGCAAAACCCGAGCTCTACAAAAAAATACAAAAATCAGGTAGGTGTGTTGGCATGCACCTGTAGTCCCAGCTACTTGGGAGGCTGAAGTAGGAGGATCAATTGAGCCCAGGAAGTCAAGGCTACAGTGAGCCATGATCACACCACTGCACTCCAGCCTGGATGACAGAGCAAGATCCTGTCTCAAAAAATACATAAAAAAATTTTTAAAAGATAATAAGTGATGAGGTTGTGGAGAAAAGGGAATCCTAGCACACTATTGGTGTAAATATATTATTGATTCAGCCACTGTGAAAAATAGTGAGGAAGTTCTTTAAAAAAAAAACAAAAAATGGAACTACATATGATCCAGCAATCCCATTTCTGGTCATATAACTAAAGGAATTGATATCAAAATCTCAAAGAGATATCTTCACTCCCATGTTCATTGCAGCATTTTTCACAATAGCCAAGATATGACAATGACCTAAATGTTCAAATGAATGACAAATGAATGGATTTAACATAATGGAATATTATTCAGCCTTAAAAAATGATGCAATCCTGCATATTTTCTACACTATGGATGAACCTTGAAGACATGCTAAGTGAAATAAGCCAGATGCAGGGGGACAAATGCTACATAATGTCATTTGTATTAGGCTGTTTTTGCATGGCTATAAAGAAATGCCCGAGACTGGGTAATTCATAAGAAAAGAAGTTTAATTGACTCACAGTTCTATGGGCTATACAGGAAGCATGGTGCGGGCATCTGCTTGGCTTCTAGGGAGGCCTCAGGAAGCTTACAGTCATGGCAGAAGGAAAGGGAGAGCAGGCATCTCATATGGTGAAAGCAGGAGCAAAAAGGAGAGAAAGTTGGGGGAAGTACCACACACTGTTAAATGACCATATCTCACAAGAACACAGTGTCATGAAGACAGCACCAAGCCATGAGGGATCCAACCTGTGATCTAAGCACCTCCCACCAGGTCCCACCTCCAGCAATGGAGATTACAATTCAACATGAGATGTGGGCAGGGCATCCAAACTATATTATTTCTTCCCTGGCCCCTCCCAAATGTCCTTCTCACATTCATTGCAAAATAGAATCATGCCATCCCAATAGTCCCCCAAAGTCTTAACTCATTTCAGCATTAACTCAAAAGTCCAAAGTCTCATCTGAGACAAAGCAAGTCCATTTTACCTATGAGACTGTAAAATCAAAGACAAGTTATTTACTTCCAAGATACAATGGAAATATCGGCACTGGGTCAACATTTCCATTCCAAAAAGGAGAAACTAGTCAAAAGAAAGGGAGTACAGGCCCCATGCAAGTTCTATACCCAGCAGGAGAGTCAATAAATCTTAAAGCTCCACAATAATCTATTTTGACTCCATATCCCACATCTAGGGCACACCGATGAAAGGGGTGGACTCCTAAGGCCTTGGGAAGCTCTGCCCCTGTGGTTTGCAGGGTTCAGCCTCCACAGCTGCTCTCATGGTTTGTTGAGTACCTGTGGATTTTCCAGGTGCAGGGTATAAGCTTCCAGTGGCTCTACCGCTCTGGGGTCTAGAGGACAGTAACCCCTTTCTAAGAGCTCCACTAGGTAGTGCCCCACTGGACACTCTGTGGAGGCTTCAGCCTCATGTTTCCCCTTGGCACTGCCCTAGTAGAAAGCTCTCTGTGAGGGCTCTGCCCCTGCAGCAGACTTCTGCCTGGGCGCCCAGGCTTTTCCATACATCCTTTGAAATCTAGGCAGAGGCTGCCATATCTCTTTTATTATTGCATTCTGTGCACCTACAAGTTTAATACTATGTGGAAGCTGCCAAGGCTTAGAGCTTGCACCCCCTGGAGCTATGGCCTGAGCTATATTTGGGCTCCTTTGAACCAAGGCTGGAGCCAGAACAGTGGGAATGTGGGGAACAGTGTCTTCAGACTGAGCAGGGAAGTGGGACCCTGGGCCTGGCCTATGAAACCATTCTTTGCTCCTTGGTTTCTAGGCCTGTGATGGGAGGGACTGCCATGAAAGTCTCTGAAATGCCTTCAAGGCCTTTTCTGCATTATCTTGGCTATTAGCACTTGGCTCCCTTTCTCTTGGTAAATTTCTCTAGCAAGCGGTTACTTCACAGCCTGCTTGAATTTCTCTCCTGAGAAAAAGCTTTTTCTTTCTGTGCCACATGTCCAGGCTGCAAATTTTCCAAACTTCTACACTGTGCTTCCCTTTTAAAATTTAAATTCCAACTTTAAATCATTTCTATGCTCCTGCATCTGAGCATAGGCTGTAAGAAGCAGCCAGACCACATTTTGAATACTTTGTTGCTTAGAAATTTCTTCCCCCAGATATCCTAAATCATCATCCTTTAGTTCAAAATTCCACAGATCCCTAGGGCATGAACAGAATACAGCCAAGTTCTTTGCTAAGGCACAACATGCATGACCTTTGCTCCAGTTCCCAATAAATTCCTTATTTCCATCTGAGACCTCATCAGCATGGACTTTACTGTCCTTATCACTATCGAGCATTTTGGTCACAACCATTTAACCAGTCTATAAGAAGTTGTAAACTTTCCCTCATCTTCCTGTCTTTTTCTGAACCCTCCGAACTCTTCCAACCTCTGCTTATTACCCAATTCCAAAGTCGCTTCCAGAATTTCAGGTATGGTATCTTTATATCAATGCCTCACTCCTTGATACCAATTTTATGTATTAGGCCATTTTTGCGTTGCTATAAGGAAATGCCTGAGACTAGGTAATTTATAAGAAAAGAGGTTTAGTTGGCTCATGGTTCTGCAGGCTGTAGAGGAAGCATAGCACCTGCAGCAGCTTCTGGGGAGGCCTTATGAGGCTTACAATAATGGCAGAAGGCAAAGGGGGAGTAGGGATCTCATATAGTGAAAGCAATAGCGAGAGGGAAAGAAAGGGGGGAGGGTGTGCAACACAGTTTTACATGACCAGATATCATGAGAACTCACTATCACAAAAAGCACCATGCCGTGAGGGATCTGGCCCCATGATCTAAACACTTCCCACAGGTCCCACCTCCAGCACTGGGGATTACAATTCAACATGAGATTTGGGCAGGACATCCAAACCATATCACATTTATATGATGAATCTAAAACAATCCGATTTATAGAAGGTGAGTAGAATGGTGGTTGCCAAAGGCTGGGAGAAGGGGAAATGGAAAGGTGTTAGTCAAAGGGTACTGATACGGTTTGGCTGTGTCCGCACACAAATCTCATCTTGAATTATAGCTCCCATAATTCCCACATGTCATATGAGGGCCCCAGTGGGAGGTAACTGAATCATAGGGACAGGTCTTTTCCATGCTATTCTCGTGATAGTGAATAAGTCTCACGAGATCTGATGGTTTTATAAAGAGGAGTTCCCCTGCACACACTCTCTTGCTTGCCACCATGTAGGATATGACTTGCTCCTCTTTGCCTTCTGCCGTGATTCTGAGGCCTCCCCAGGCATGTGGAACTGTGAGTCAAATAAACCTCTTTCCTTTATTTGGAGACAATAAAGGTATTTCTTTATTAGCAGCATGAAAATGGACTAATACAGGTACAAAATGTTGTCCATACAAGATAAATAAGTCCTAGAGATCTCCTGTACAGCATAGTGCCCATAGAAACAATACTATATTGTATGCTTAAAATTTTGCTAAAACGGTAGATCTTATATGAAGTCATCACAAAAATAATACTACTAAATAAGAGGTCAGGAGGAAACTTTTGGAGGTGACAGATAGGCTTATGGCATAGATTATAGTGATTGTGCCATGGATATATGCTAATCTCTGAACTCACCAAGTTATATACATTAATAATGTAAAGATTTTCACATGTCCAAAATAACTTTTTAAGGATTATTTTTTAAATGACATGAGGAGGCATTGAAAATACAAGCTGCATTCTGGGAGAAGATATTGGCAATACATTTAACTAGTAAAGGGTTAGTATTTATGATACATGAAGAGCAACTCTGCATGAGTTACAAAGAAAAAAAGAGCTTAATTTAAATAAATAGGCCAATAGAAACAGGTGTTTTAACAAGACAAAACATGAAAGCCCATAAAGATATAAGTAAATATTCAGCCTTATCAACAGCTGTGGACTGGTAATATTTAACAACCAGTCCTCCAATGTGAGGAAAGCCCTGGCTTGTAGTATTTGCTTATTTCTGTGTAGTAAATATCATAGACTTTTCAAGTTACTAGTGTCAAGAGCCAACTTCAATACCCAATACTTTAATAACTAGGGAACTGCAAAATAAAGCTTCAATGAGACAGCATTTGCAGTCACCAAACTGGTAAAAATTTAAAAGTCAGTTAAAACCAGAGTTGGCAAGAATAGGAAACAATGGGAACTCTCATCCATTGTTTGTGGTAGTAAGTGGGAGTCATCACTTTGGTTGATTATCTGAATATTCCACAAGTTGTAGATTCCACTTTTTTGGACTTTTGCATTTAAGTTATGGACTCAATGTTGGTATCCAAGAGTAGATTTTATCTTTCCTACATGATTCTGGTAAAAGACAGTAAAGGGTTGTGGTTGGCTTAGCTGTGCTTCCTGTATCTTTACTAGAGCAAAAACAAAAATCCAGAAACTTTAGAGCCTGGAGAATAGAGAGAAAACCTAACTCAGACATAGTCTGAGATAAAAACCTAATCCCCAAGGTATCTCACCCTTAGGTCTTTGACCTAACCCTTATTCCAGAACCCACACTTTTTCCAACGCCCATCACATTAGAGACTTTTTAAATATAGGCCGGAGAGTGAGAGTACCATTTCTATGTATATAAAGAGAGCAAGAGAGAGAAAGAAAAAAATGAAAGAAGTGTGGTTGAGTAAAGAAAAGAAAAGTCTTGTTAGAACGTGAATGCATGTTTCCACAAAGCACTGTTATTTAGACAGGTTAGTTTCTCAGTTCTAAAAATAGTCAATAAATCAATCATCAACATGTTTATTATGCACCTAAGCGATGTCAGGCATTGTGCTAGATATTGCGAATGTGGTGATAAATGACATAGACATGATCTCTGTCTTGATAGAGTTTACAGGTTATTAAGGAAGTCAGATATTAAACAATTCATAAATGATCAATCAAATAATTATAAGTGTGCGAAGTACTGAAAAGGAAAATTACAGGATATTTGAGAATTGATTAATAGGGTGAAAAACTTGGTTTGAAGAGATGTAGGCCAGGGAAGGCTTCCCTAAGGAGGACAGGAGTTAAGCTCAACTCTGAGGGATGAGTAGGAGTTATAAGTGTGAAGACTCACATAGGAGAAAATATTCCATGCATTGGAATCCTGTGAGCAGGAACATTGAGATAGGAGACAGCAGGGTGTCTTGGAGGAACTGCTTTTTGGCTGGAAGGGAATGAATGATGAAGAGTGATTAAAAAAAACAAAAGCCAGAGAGGAAGTCAGACCTAATCTGGCTTCTGAGCAGAGCCTTTGGAGCCAGGTTGAGAAGCCCATAAGAGTAAGGGGATATCATTAAAAGGCATTAAGCAGGGAAGTGATATTATCAGATTTGCATTTCTAGAAGATCATTCTGGTTGCAGTTTAGAGGACGTTTTGAACAGTGAGAGAGTCCACGTAGGAATTTACTGCAGTGGTAGAGGAAAGAAATGATGGTAGGCTAGACTAGGATGCCGGCAGGGAGGGTGGAAAGAAGATGAGAGATTTGAGAGTTGTTTAAAACAATTAACTGTCTTAATGATTAGAATTAAATGTAGGTGATAAAGGAAAGAAGGAAGTCAAGGCAACTTCTAAATTTCAGGCTTGAGCATGAAAGTAGATGGTAATGTTATCTACTGAGATGGAGGATGAGCAGATTTGAAAGGAGGGAAAACTGATGAACTCAGTTTCTGACTTGTCTCAAGTCACCTATCAAATGCCACATAAATCAGACACAGAATCTGGACACAGAAGCCTTGGGAGGGAATGAAATCACTCTGGGAGACAATGTAGACTAATACAAGTTAGATAGGACAGAGACCAAGGATTTCCAACACTAGTGTGATGTAGTAGAGGAGGAGGTGATGAAAGACTGTGGAAATGAAGTCAAGGAAGGTTGCAGAAAACCAGTAGCTGGGGCATAATGGAAGCCATAAAAGGGAGGCTTTTTAAGGAAGAGGAAGTTGTCAATTTTATCCAATGTACTGAAGGATCTAACAAAATGAAAATTATCTTTTGCCTTACAGAGCTCACTGGGTACCTCAGCAAGAGCATTTTTGGCAGAGGTTGTTGGTGCAATATCCAGATGGAGAAGTATTGGTGGGTGAGTTAGAGGTGAGGAAATAAATATAATAAAGTCAATTCAACACTTTTAAACTTAAAGCAACAGTAATAAATGCAAAATATTTTTGTATTATATAGACAGGGTAAGTTTTTATTTTGCCAAGCAGAATTTTTTTAATTCTACCTACTAGTGCCATTATTTTATTAAAAAGCATTCAATTTCAGAAAAATAAGAAGGATATAAAAGAATAATGAACACTCTTCGGGAGAAAACAGTAACCTTAATCTGACTCATATCTGTAACTTGCTATATGAGTAAACATGGACTACATTAGCTTATTTGTTTCTTATTTTGCCACAGACACCTAAAAATATCTCCCAGTGGTCTTATAGTCCATGGATCAGTATTTGGGAATTTCCAGTGTAGTTTTCTTTTGAGAACTTTGGCTATGAATGAGGGAGAGTGAGGTTAGTAACAGGATCCAAGGAAGACTTTTTCTTAACATAGGAGAGACTTGAGTATATGTAAATGTTAATATCAAGAAGCCAATAGAAAAGAAGAGGCTGAAGATGCAAGAGAGAGAAGTCTTAATTTATGGCATGGTGTTCCATAAAAGGAAGAAGAGATTGGGCTAAAACAGAAGGGGCAACCTCTCCATTGTAGCAGAAGAGAAGTAGAAAAGTATAGAGATAGATGTAGACCATATGCAGACTTGATGGCAGAAAATTGAGGCAATTCCCTTCTGAAATTAACATTTTCTCCATGAAGAAGAAGACATGGTAATCTAAGAGCAACAGAAGAAATAATAGACAAAGTTTTGAGAAGATTTCAAAGAGTTAAGAGAGATAACATGCCTGAGAATCACAGATTTGCTGCATAGTATTGAGGGCCCAGTAGATTGTCTGCCATAAATTTATAATGACATCAAGTCTGCTGAGTAGAAGTCAATAGTCCAGGTGTACGTATATAGAGGATATAGATAGTTGTATTCATCCAGGGTTGGGGTTTTACAGAATGGGCAATGAAAGAACAAAAAGGGAGAAAGTTTAATATATTGGCAAGTAAGTGGTTAAAATGGTGGCCCATGGAACCTAAGCTGCAGAGGAGAGGAGAGGAAGAAAGCAGATAAGTTGATGAAAACAGAAAAACCTACCAGAGGAGAATATTTCCCTGACCCCTTTGCAGGACTCACGACAGGGGCGCCTCATTTACTCTGCCTGCCATTCTCAACTCCTCATGGGAGGCAGCGCACCAGCAAACAAGGCAGGAACTGGAGTGCACAAGCACTGGAACCAGCCAGCTACTTTGGCACCAGCGGGATCAAACTCCACTCACTTGGACCCACTGTGTTCCACCCCACAGGAGGGAACACACAGGTGAGTAGGTACAGGAGCTAGAGCAAGCACTCTGGGGCACCAGCAGGAGCAAACTCCATACAGACCCCACAGCAACATCCCTGCAGGGTGCCTGCAACTCCTGAAGTCCCAGAGGGTGTGTTACAGTGCTCTTTCAGCTCTTCCACCCGTGGACAGCTTGAGTGTTAAAAGCTCAGTGAGCCTTCTGCTCTTTTGCATGAGGTGGCTGCCCTCCTCCGGTGAGGGCAAAGGGCCAGTGTGACAGCCTTTTGTATCGCACTGATGGTTCCTGAGCTCTTGACCGGCGTCCAGGAGAAATAAGGTCATACAAACAAATCGAAGGATAGCAAATGCAGTGTATTTTATTGCCGATGAAAGTGGCTCTCAGCAGGAAGGGGAGCTGAAAAGAGGGTGGGGCGGCAGGTAATCTTTCCCTGGAGTCCACCCATCTCTGGCTGCATTCTTCTCCAAAGTTATGTCATCAAGCTGTCCCTCTGAAGTCCGGCTGCTTCTCTCTGATGTCCAGCTGTTTCTCCCCTCTGCTGGCTGAGTCTGGGGTCTTTATAGGCACAAGATAGGGTGGGGCAGGCTATGGGTAGTTTAGGAAAAGACAACATTCAAGCAGGAAAACGGGAATATAAGTTCTCACTTTAGGCAGTGGTTTCAAGCTTTTCAGCTTTAGGGTGGTGCTTTGCCAGGGATCTTCCCATCTGCCTAGAATTTCTCTGCCTCCTGCCTCTATCACTGTATCACTATCAAAGAACAGCTATAACTGGGTGAAACATCTAGAAAGCTAAGAAGCCTATACTCTAGATACAGCTGTTTGTGTGTAAGATAGGTATCTTCCATTCTGGTCCTTCCTTTTTTTAGACTACTTTATATCTGAATTTTATGGCTTACGTAAGGTTTTATGATCTGACCTGGAAATTTAGTATAAGTGGTGAGGTACATGCCTCAAAATCAGAAAACAGGCATAGTTGCATAAGCTAAATATCAGATGTCTTATCCATAAGATGGGGATAATAACAGCACTTACTTTATATTTGTAGGAAAAATGCATATTGACTTTCCAACACCCAACTTAAAGACATCTGGAAAATAATTCATTTGCATTCTGGTAATTCATTACATTATTTCAGACACTACTTGGGTTATGATATCAATGCAGTTATTTTTTAGGTAGCTCATTTATTCAATTAATATTCATTGAGTGCTACTACATGCCAGACATTGCTCTAGCTGCTGACAATATGGCGGTAAACAAAACAAAAATCTCTGTCCTCATGGAGCTTGCATTCTAGTTAGAGGCAGACAGATGCTAAACAAATAAAAAATAAAATATGTACTACGTCAGGTGGTGACAGTGTTTGGAGTCAGGTGAAGTAGAGTAAGGAGGATAGGGAGTATGTTCTGAGTCCTACCTTATATCCATCTTATATATAATGCTATAGGAAGGCCTCACTAATAAGGGGCCACTCAAGCATTTGGGTGTGCCACATGGGTATCTGGGAAAGAACATTCCAAACAAAGGTAGCAGTAAGTGCTATGTCCCTCAAGGAGAGTATATTTGGCATGTTTGAAGTCCAGAAAGAAGGCCAGTGTGATTGGAGCACTGTGAGAAAACAGGAAAGTGGTAGTATATAAGATGGGCTGGTTGGATCAAAGTAGCCTTGTGGTCTGTGGTGAGATAATTGACTTTAGGCTGGGCATGGTGGCTCATGCCTGTAATCCCAGTACTTTGCGAGGCCAAGGTGGGTGGATCACCTGAGGTCAGGAGTTCAAGACCAGCTTGGCCAACATGGTGAAACCCCAACTCTATTAACAATATAAAAATTAGCCAGGCATTGTGCGCACCTGTAATCCCAACTACTCAGGAGGCTAAGGCAGGAGAATCGCTTGAATCTGGGAGGCGGAGGCTGCAGTGAGCTGAGATCACACTACTTACTGCACTCCAGCCTGGGTGACAGCACAAGAATCCATCTCAAAAAAAAAAAAAAAAAAGATCATTGACTTTAATTCTGAGCAGGGTGGGGAGGGCGGAGTCACTGGGGGGATTTGGGGGCCAGGAGTGACATGCTCTGATTTTTTGGAGATTAGATGGGGGTTAGGAGAAAGCAGAGATACCAGTGACAAGGTGACTACAATAATCCAGATGAGAGTAACCTGGAAGAAAGCAGAAGTGGAAAGTGGTGAGAAGTGGTCAGATTCGGGGTATCGTATATTTTGAACGTAAAGCTAATAGGATTTGCTGGTGCATTGAGTTTGTGGTAAGAAAGAGAAAAATCAAATTGACTGTAAGATTCTTTGGCCTAAGCAAACTAGAAAGATGGGATTGCCATTTACTGAGATGGGGAAGATTTGGGAAAGGGACAGTGTATATTGGGACGGAGAAAACATAAGTTCCTTTTTAGACATGACATATTAAGATGCCTATTAGGTATCCAAAGTAGATGAGGCTGAGAAGCAACTACATATAAGAATCTAAATTCAGGGGACAGGTCTGAGCTAGTGACATAAATTTGGGAGTCACTGTCTTAGTCCATTTGTGCTGCTATAACAGTACCTGAGATTGGGTGATTTATAAAGAACAGATATTTATTTTCTCAGTTTTGGAGGTTAAGTCCAAGATCAAGACCACAGCCTCTGGTGCAGCCTTCTTACTGTGTTCTCCTCTGGTAGAAGGAAGAAGAGCAAAAGATGCCAACTGTTTGGTGAAGACTTTTTATGTTTTATTTTTATTTTTAGAGGTGAAACACAATTTTATTTGTTAATTAGCCATTTATGTTTTCTCTTTTTTTAATTTTACTTTAAGTTCCAGGATACACATGCAGAATGAGGTTACATAGGTAAACATGTGCCATAGTGGTTTGCGGCACCTATCAACCCATCACCTAGGTATTAAGCCTCACATGCATTACCTATTCATCCTAATGCTCTCCCTCCCCTCACCCTACCCTGACAGGCCCCAGTGTGTGTTGTTCCCCTCCCTGTGTCCATGTTTTCTCATTGTTCAGCTCCCACTTATGAGTGAGAACATACAGTGTTTGGTTTTCTCTTCCTGTGTTAGTTTGCTGAGAATCATGGCTGCGAAGCCTTGTTCTTTTTTTTTTTTTTTTGAGATGGAATCTTGCTCTGTTAGCAGGCTGGAGTGCAGTGGCATGATCTTGGCTCACTACAACTCCCGCCTCCCAGGTTCAAGCGATTCTCCAGCCCCAGCCTCCCGAGTAGCTGGGACTACAGGTGTGTGCCACCATGCCCAGCTAATTTTTGTATTTTTAGAGACAAAATGTTTGTAATTTTAGAGACAGGGTTTCACCATATTGGGCAGGCTGGTCTCCAACTCCTGACCTTGCGATCTGCCTGCCTCGGCCTCCCAAAGTGCTGGGATTACAGGCGTGAGCCACCGTGCCCGGCCGCGAGGCCTTTTTGATAAAGGCCTTAATTCCATTCACTAGGGAGGAACCCTCATGAGGTTATCACCTTTTAAAGAAGGCACCTCTTACTACCAGCACACTGACAACACCTGAATTTTGGAGGGACACATTTAAACCATAGCTGTCATCAATATTCAGATGGAACTAAAGTCATGAGAGTGAATGAGGTCACATTAAGTGGTAAGCATAGATAAATAAGAAACAACGTCTGATGACCAGGCCCTAGGGTACTCCTACATATAGAGATCAGTTGATGAGGAGAAACCAACAGATGCTATTCAAAATGTGGCCAGTGAGTAATGGAAGAATCAAGAGAATGGTACCCCAGAAGCAAAATGATGTAAATATTCCAATGTCTAAGATATGACCATGGAACTGGGTATTTGAGGTAAAATGGCATCCAAGAACATTTTCAGAAGTCAGGAAACCAGAATATTGGAAAGATTGTCTTTGTGGATGTTGAAATCACCAAGAATGTTGCCAAGAGTCAGGTTTAAAAGAGTGACAGTGAGTCAGGTGTCAAAACCTTCAAAGAGTGAGGAGAAGCAGGGGACCCCAGAGGTCTACAGATAACTACAGTGTGATGGCAAGTCAAGTAACTGTGAATGTTCTGGAATGTTGAAATTTCTAAGTCAAGTAATTGTGAATGCTCTGGAATGTTGAAGTTTCCAAGCCAAGTAATTCTGAATGTTCTGGAATGTTGGAGTTTCCAAGTCAAGTAACTGTGAATGTTCTGGAATTTGAAGTTTCCAAGTTAAGTAATTGTGAATGTTCTGGAATGTTGAAGTTTCCAAGTCAAGTAATTGTGAATGTTTCGGGTGTTGGTAACAATTAGGTTGGCTATATGAAAGTGTTAATATTCAAATACATTTTATCTACAAAAATGGTAATTTCATATCTTCAACCAAATAGAACATGTGTAAAATATGCTTCAGTTAAAGCTGCCTTTATAAGTCTATATATATAAGGGGACTTCAAAAAGTCCATGGAAAATGCATGCTATAAAATAACTACGTATGATTTCAAAATTTGTTTGCACCAAAATAAACTCATACTATGTTACTGTAGTATGTCTCAAAGGATCTAGCTGGAGGTAATAGGAAGGATAAATCGTCAGTCAGAAAAAAGCCCCTATATAAGCAACACAAATTCTGTAAAATTGAAGCAAGAATATCAAGTTTATGGTAAAGCTTGGGTAGAAGAACAGTGAAATCACTAATGCTTTACAAAAAGTTTATGGGGACAATGCCCCAAAGAAATCAGCAGTTTACAAACAAACAAGTCAATTTAAAAAGGATGAGACAACATTGAAGATGAAACCCACAGTGCCAGATCATTACATCAAGTTGTGAGAAAAAAATTCATCATCTTCATGCCCTAATTGAAGAGGACTAACAACAGCACAAATAACAGCCAACAGCATAGACATCTCAACTTGTTCAGCTTACACAATTACAAGTGAAAAATTATAGTTGAGCAAACCTTCCCCTCAATGAATGCCAAAACCATTACATCCAGATCAGCTGCAGTCAAGAGTAGACCTTTTAAATGAACATTTTAAACAAGTGAGATCAGGATGCTGAAGCATTTATTTGAAGAACTGTAACAGGATGGCTTTACCAGTAGGATCCTGAACACAAGGCACGATTAAAGCAATGGCTTCCAAGAATTGCAAATGGTCCAGTCAAAGCAAAAGCAGACCAGGCCAGGCGCGGTGGCTTACACCTGTAATCCCAGCACTTTGGGAGGCCAGTGCAGGTGGGTCACTTCAGGCCAGGAGTTTGAGACCAGTCTGGCCAACATGGTGAAGCCTCATCTCTACTAAAAATACAAAAATAAAGCCAGGCGCCATGGCTCATACCTGTAATCTCAGCACTTTGGGAGGCCGAGGCAGGTGGATCGTTTGAGGTCAGGAGTTTGAGACCCTCCTGGTCAACACGGTGAGAGCCTGTCTCTACTAAAAATACAAAAATTAGCCGGGCGTAGCGGCATGCACCTGTAATCCCAGCTGCTCCGGAGGCTGAGGCATGAGAATCACTTGAGCCTGGGAGGCAGACGTTGCAGTGAGCCGAGATGGCACCACTGCACTCCAACCTGGGTGACAGAGCGAGACTCTGTCTCCAAGAAATAACAATAAAATAAAAATATAAATATAAATATACAAAATTAGTCAGGAGTGGTGGTGCATGTCTGTAATCTCAGCTACTCGGGAGGCTGAGGCAGGAGAATTGTTTGAACCTGGGAGGTGGAGGGTGCAGGTGCAGTGAGCCGAGATTGCACCACTGCGCTCCAGTCTGGGTGAGAGAACAAGACTCTGTCTCCAAAAACAAACAAACAAAGCAGTCAAGAGCAAAGATCATGGCAACATTTCTTTTTGATGCTCAAGGCATTTCGCTTGTTGATTTTCTGGAGGGCCAAAAAATGACAACATCTCCTTATTATTAGAGTATTTTGAGAAAGCCAAAGCCTTATCAGAAAAATGCCCAGGAGATTCACCAGAGAGTCCTTCTTCACCATGACAATGCTCCTGCCCATTCCTCTCATCAAACAAGGGCAATTTTGCAAGAGCTTCCACAGGAAATCTTTCTGACTTCTTTTTGTTTCCTAATCTTAAAAAATCTGTAAAGGGCACCCATTTTTCTTCAGTTAATAAAGACTGCATTGACATGGTTAAATTCCCAGGACCCTCTTTTTTTTAAGGATGGACTAAATGGCTGGTATCATCCCTGACAAAAGTGTCTTGACCTTGATGGTGCTTATGACAGGAGGCTGAGGCAGGAGAATGGCGTGAACCTGGGAGGGGGAGCTTGCAGTGAGCCGAGATTGCACCACTGCACTCCAGCCTGGGCGACAGAGGGAGACTCCATCTCACAAAAAAAAAAAAAAAAAGAAATAAAGTTTATACTTTTTATCCTTTAACTCCATCTTTGAACCTGGGAGGTGGAGGGTGCAGGTGAACGTTTTGAAGTCCCCTTGTATATATATTAGTGTTATATTCTTTTTCGGTTGCAAACTCCCTGAGATCTGGAATTTGTATTTCACTGCATGTGTATCTTCCATAGCACCTAGTAATCTGCTCTTCATTTAATGGTCATTTAGTACTTTCTATACACACATTATTACTATAATTGTTATTGTTGGCTTCTGTTGTCATTTCAGGGTGACTGTCATACTCCTCACCTTTCTGAGCTGGGAAACAGTTGAGAAATATACACAGGCGTTAGAAATATACACATATTAGATTCTGCTTTCTTGCTCATTAAGCTGAAATAGAGAAAACAATTTTGACCTGAGGCCAAAATGGAACTTCAACACCTTCTACTTTGGAATGAGCTTGTGTACTCAGTCTTTAGGCAAATGCAAATGACTTTTCAGGGGCACAGCCAATTTCTAACAGGAGGGGAGTGAGCTGAGGGCAGGGTGAGGATGGAGGCGCAGGGACCGGATGTGCAGGAGGTGCTTATAGGCGCTATTCCTTGACTGCCTTCTCTCTACATCTCTCAGAGCTCTCATTTTAGAGTGCTTTCTTCCAAATCTTCACAGCCATTACGTTATAACGTCATGATTTTAAAGTCTGTTGGTGACGTGCCACTTTGGGAAGATGTGGTCAAAGGCAGCAACTACTTTCACGTCCACTGTTGTCATTCAAGGCTTGCTGCAGTAGAATTACCAGTGTGGGCAGGCATATCTACTACTGTGGGGAGGCAGATCTGAATGAAAGCGCCAGAAGAGAGGCCAGGCCACGCACGTTCTGTGACCTTTTCAACTATTTACTGATTAGATACATCATACATCTCTCCTTCCCTAGGGAGACATGAATGGAGGAGACGGCAGAGAAAGGTGGACATTTTCTTCCAACAACATCTGATGCTAGATCCAGGTTTGGTGACACCTGAATCTTATGCAATTTAAGTGGTCCTCCTTAAGGAAAAGAATACAAAATTACAAGCATAAAATTTAGTAAAAGGTTGGGAAGGGGCATGAGCAAGTGAAGGTACTAAAACTTAAAGTTCATAGATTTGTTGTACATCCTTCTCAACAAAGGAGAAATGTCTATTTTCATGTGTGTATCAGTTAGGATGCTCTCAGATACAATAATTTAACTTGTAAGCAAACCAACTTGTCCAAGATTCAATAACAGAGTAGTGGCTGATGTAAATCAAGAGTCCAGTTGTTGGACAGGATCTGTGGTTGGTTGATCTAGCATCTTGACAATGTCATCAATGACCCAGTTTCTTTCCATCTTTCTACTGTGTAGTCCACAGTATCAATTTCATCTTAGGTGGCTCCCTTCAGGTTTATAGCATGCATGCCAGCAGCAATGGGGATTCCTAGCTTCCTCTTTCATATTAGAAGGGAGAAGACAAGGCCAAGCATGGTGGCTCACGCCTGTAACCCCAGCACTTTGGGAGGCTGAGGCGGGTGGATCACCTGAGGTCAGGAGTTCGAGACCAGCCTGGCTGACATGGTGAAACCTCGTCTCTACTAAAAATACAAAAAATTAGCTGGGCATGGTGGTGGGCGCCTGTAATCCCAGCTACTTGGGAGGCTGAGGCAGGAAAATTGCTTGAATCCGGGAGGCAGAGGTTGCAGTGAGCCAAGATCGGGCCACCTCACTCCAACTTGGGTGACAGAGCTAGACTCCATCTCAAAAAAAAAAAAAAAAGAATAGCATTACTGATTCCCAAATAGATGATGCTGAAGTTGTTTATACAATTGACATTCAGAAATATATTCCATGCTATCAGTTTTTTAGTTTTTATAATTCTTCAGGTGAAGTAAATAAGCAGGCACTGAGGAAAATATTATCAAATTCACAAAAAATGTGGTAGGTTGTTACAAATTCCATCGTCATTCAGATCAGATCATGACATTTAGAGAGAGGCTGCTTCACAAAAACTTGCAGGAGCATTTTTCAAACCAAGACCTGGTTTTTCTGCTATGAACACCAAGTATAATAACAGAAAGCCGCTCTACTCATCGACTGGAACATGCCTTATATAAACCTCGAAAAGGACTTTTTCACAGGGTACCTTCAGTGGTTGCCAATCTGGGCATGTCTGAACAACTAGGTTATAAAACTGTATCAGGTTCCTGTATGTCCACTGGTTTTAGCCGAGCAGTACAAACACACAGCTCTAAATTTTTTGAAGAAGATGGATCCTTAAAGGAGGTACATAAGATAAATGAAATGTATGCTTCATTGTAAGAGAAATTAAAGAGTATATGCAAAAAAGTGGAAGACAGTGAACAAGCAGTAGATAAACTAGTAAAGGATGTAAACAGATTAAAACGAGAAATTGAAAAAAGGAGATGAGCCCAGATTCCAGCAGAACGAGAGAAGAGCATCCAAAAAAGACCCTCAGGAGAACATTTTTCTTTGTCAAACATTATGGACCTTTTTTCCAGATTCTGAATTCTTCATGCATGTGTTATGTCTTTAAAAAAACAGACATGTTTCTAAAGGTAGCTCTAACAACCACCACCATCTCGATGTAGTAGACAATCTGACCTTAATGGTAGAAAACACTGACATTCCTGAAGCTAGTCCAGCTAGTACACCACAAATGGTTAAGCATAAAACCTTAGACTTAGCTGACAGATGGCAGTTCAAGAGATGACGGCGGACGGATCACGAGGTCAGGAGATCGAGACCATCCTGGCTAACACAGTGAAACCCCATCTCTAATACAAAAAAATTGGCTGGGCGCGGTGGCTCACGACTATAATCCCAGCACTTTGGGAGGCCAAGGTGGGCGGATCAGGAGGTCAGGAGACAGAGACCATCCTGGCTAACATGGTGAAACCCTGTCTCTATTAAAATACAAAAAATTAGCCCGGCGTGGTGGCAGGTGCCTGTAGTCCCAGCTGCTTGGGAGGCTGAGGCAGGAGAATGGTGTGAACCCAGAAGGCGGAGCTTGCAGTGAGCTGAGATCCTGCCACTGCACTCCAGCCTGGGCTACAGAGGAATACTTCGACTCAGGAGAAAAAAAAAAAAAAAAAAGAGTGTTCACGGCTGTTAGACACACAAGACAAACCATCTAAAACAGATACTGATAGTAGTAACCAATAAAAAAGCATCCAAAATGAGCAGCCCAGAAACAGATGAAGAGATTGAAAAGATGAAGGTTTTGGTGAATATTCACGGTCACCTACATTTTGATCCTTTTAACCTTAAAAGGAGATTTTTTTAATTTGGCTGATGGGTAAAGTCAAACATTTCCATTGTTTTTACTAGGTTGAGCTACTTGCAGTAATACAGGTAAGTTCATTTGTTTTTACTATATTCACCTCTTTGCAGTAATCCACAGATAAGTCTTAGTGCATTTATTTTACAAAGTACTTTTTCAAACATCAGATCCTTTTATTTCCAAACCTTTTTTCGCCTTTCAATAAGTTGTTGAGGGAAAGGCTTACACACATTCTTTAGAATTGGAAAAGTGAGGCCAGGCACAGTGGCTCACAGCTGTAATCCCAGCACTTAGGGAAGACAAGGCAGGAATGATTGAGGCCAGGAGTTAGAGACCAGCCTGGGCAACACAGTGAGACCCATCTCTATTAAAAAAAAAAAAAAAGTATTAGAAAAGCTAGAATAGCCTTATTTTCACAATGTGGAAAGAAATTTATATGAAATTTATCTGAGTCATTAAAATTATCCTTAGGTGATAATTTTTTAGAAGTACATTACAGCTAGTGTTGCCAGATAAAATGCTGGATCTCACGCAGTACCTTTGCAAAACATGATCTAAAATTTAAATTTGTCCTACATTTGTACTTGCTAAATCTGGCAGCCTTAATTATTACACAACTATAACGCAACACAAACAATAATCTCTCCCCTAGTTTAGAGTCCTTTGCACGAAATTTAGCAAATCCTTAATTTTGAGTACAGTACAAGCCTGGTAATCCAGTGTGTTTGGGATAGGCTGGTGGAACTCAGAACTGATACATATATACATACATGTCTATCACATTCACTGTCTATTAGGTGTAAATCATCTTTTTATGTAAAAGACACTACTGGTTTGAGGATAGAGTTGTCTAGGAATGTTTTGTCCTGCTGTGACAGCATCACTATGCATCCCAGTGTAACATTCCTACAAAGGGAAGATCTCTTAACCAGGCATACTTACATTTGCTAGTTAGAAAACCATTCTGAGCAGTTTTAACTCCATTCAGTTGAATGGTGTACTACATTGTATGAGCTATTTGTGGACCAGATATAAATGACTATCACCCAGAACCACTTTCATTCAACATATGTAAAATGTGATGAGTGTTAACATTTTAAATAAGCGATCTGCTTAATGAACACTGATTGGTATGAAGGGGAAGTGTCATTCTTTACCTCACTCCTGAAACACTTTTCTATCCAAAGGTTGGTTTGAGTCAGTATTGGCGTCATACAACCACTTACTATAAAATAAGTTTACTGGTGGTAATGTGATGGAATTTATTCCGGATATCTGATGTTATAAACTTTAGGGTCCCTGAAATATGCAGGATCCTTGTATGTAACTGGCATAAACCCTGTAAAGAGATAATTAAAGTTCTTGACAAAGCATAATGAGCAAAATTTCAGCTAGCTCAATACAGTTGTTGAGGTGCTCTTTCTTACCCATTGTTTGAGCTCTCTTAATTGCTTTTGTGATTTGTTTCTTCCCACAAAGACCTGTAAAATAAAAAGCTTCCTTATTCATAAAAAAGTCAATATTTAAAGTTAAAAAAATGTTTATTTCTCAAACTGAAACATTATTTCTCTATCTCTTGACCTTTTAGTACACGTTTTTGTATATTCGGTTTTACTAAATCAAGTCAAACCTGTTCCAGGTAATGTGATGTTATACATGATAGGTTTCATTTAGGGTGGGGTGGCTAAGTTGCAACCCTTTTAAATCAAGGCTCCACCTCAGGAACCTAGGAATGTTAGGTAGGAGATGAGGAAGTCCACAGCTTGCCAAGAACTTCAGCTATTCCATAAACAATCTGATTACATATCCCGACTCTTGCACACGAAACAGGTTATCCAAGTCTTAAACTTGATGCTTTTGTGCAGTATGAACCACCCTTTCCGTGGACATAATCATGCATTTGCACATTTAAATACCATTTTCTATGAACAGATCAGTATGCCAAAAACCACTGCAAAGTCTCCTACACACACCTTGCCTTGACTTTCTGTACATTTCTAGTATTAAAGAATGGTGTAGGCAAAATAAAGATATATGTGTAAGAAAAAAAAGACATGCATGAAATGGTTTAATTTTAGGGAACTAGATTTATATTTTATCTGAAAAGAGTATTAATAATATATAATAGACCTTTGAAAGTTAGACGCATAGTTCTGCGAAAGTGGTGCCTAAGAATAGTATGTCAATTGACAAATTTTTTCCATAAAGAATCTGATTTTGCTAGACTACCTAATCACCAATTAACATCCTCCAGTAGGGAAAAAAATATGCTTGGTGACATGTTTAAATCGCTCTCAAGAGTACTGAAGATGAATGATCTTCCAATCAAGTAGCTATTTGATTTAGTAATAACAACTAAAAGATGGGAATCCTCTTCTTCGCACACTCATTTTAAGCTCCAAGGTAATTCCATAGATTCAACATTTAACACGTATATTCAATATTACACATTTTTTTTCCGGAGTGAAATGGCTCTGAATGCCTTACAGAATTTGCCCTGCTCTCCTTAACTAAATACTTTGTCTATTAATACTTCTTTCTTCTTTTCCCCTTGTTCTTTCTGTGCCAGACCCACACACGTCTGCTGTAATTGAACATGCCAGGCACATTCTCCATTTAAAGCCTTTTAACAGCTGCTGTCTCTGCCTAGAATACTCTTACTTGGGCACACACAAAACTAGCTTCCTGGTCTCCCTCAACTGTCTGCTCAAACTTCACCTCCTTAATCATGTCTATCTGTCCCTCTTATTTAAAATTGTAACTCTACCACTTCTGATCTCCACACTTGATGCCCCTGGCCTCCCTTTTCCTCCACTGCATTTGTCACTAACATCCCGTATAATTTTCTTAGGTATTATGTTTATTGCCCATTTCTCACCGAGAACATACGCCTCAGGGTGGAAGAAGTTTGTCTTTTTGTTGTTGTTCACTGCTTATCCCCAGTGTCAGGAGACATGCTTGGCACATTGTAGGTCCGCAGTAAATATTTTTTGAATTAATAAAGAATATTTCTACCATCTGCTAGCTTACTGTTCATGCAGGAGCTCAAATGTGCTTTAAGCATGTGATATGTTTCAAAAGTCAAACTTCATCCTTAGGGAGAACACTGTCATCTTCTCCTCCTTTAAAAAAAAAAAATAGGAAAAAAAGCAAAACAAAACATCACCTTCTCATTTCCCCACCTCCAACAAAAAGAGTGTTGAGTTTTCTAAAGAAATAATACAAATGGATAAAACTGCAATTTGTTGTCCTTTCTCTCACATGCAAAAAGAAAAGAAAAAATACTGCCGAGATTTCGGCAGCGTGCTGAGCTTCATCAAAGCATTAAAACAATGCTGCTTGAGACGTCAGAGGCTCATCCAGGAAGTGCAACCCAGAGGGCAGGATTTCCTGCTGGACTTTGAAATCCAACCCGGTCACCTACCCGCGCGACTGTGTCCACGGATGGCACGAAAGCCAAGCGAGTCCCCCTGCCGAGCTACTCGCGTCCGCCTCCTCCCAAGCTGAGCTCTGCTCCGCCCACCTGAGTCCTTCGCCAGTTAGGAGGAAACACAGCCGCTTAATGAACTGCTGCATCGGGCTGGGAGAGAAAGCTCGCGGGTCCCACCGGGCCTCCTACCCAAGTCTCAGCGCGCTTTTCACCGAGGCCTCAATTCTGGGATTTGGCAGCTTTGCTGTGAAAGCCCAAGTGGGTAACCAACAGCTTGGAGGACCCGAGTGGATTCGATTCTCTCTCACTCCTCGGCCACTCAACTGCTCCTTGTCCCTGACTCCGCGGTGGGGATGAATAACTCAACTCATTTCGGGCCGCTTTTCTCAGAGGGCAAAGATGGGTCAGGGTGGGATGTTACATTAGTGTTGAGACTCTTTGGATCCGTTTCGTGGGTACCGAGGACGCCTGGGTACGCGGGACAGGCTGCACCCGCCTGCTAGAGGCGCCCCATCGAGGCGCCACGGGTGAAGCTCCCGGCCCCACCTACGGGGCGGGGCTCCGGCTCGGTCCGACTATTGCCCGCGGTGGGGGAGGGGGATGGATCACGCCACGCGCCAAAGGCGATCGCGACTCTCCTTCTGCAGGTAGCCTGGAAGGCTCTCTCTCTTTCTCTACGCCACCCTTTTCGTGGCACTGAAAAGCCCCGTCCTCTCCTCCCAGTCCCGCCTCCTCCGAGCGTTCCCCCTACTGCCTGGAATGGTGCGGTCCCAGGTCGCGGGTCACGCGGCGGAGGGGGCGTGGCCTGCCCCCGGCCCAGCCGGCTCTTCTTTGCCTCTGCTGGAGTCCGGGGAGTGGCGTTGGCTGCTAGAGCGATGCCGGGCCGGAGTTGCGTCGCCTTAGTCCTCCTGGCTGCCGCCGTCAGCTGTGCCGTCGCGCAGCACGCGCCGCCGGTGAGTGAGCTTGAGCCGAGGCGCAGAGAGGGGCGTGCAGGTGCGGGCGCGGATGGAGGCGCAGGTGTGGCGGCGCGAGCGGGTACAAGGAACACCTCGTGCTGGGCAGCTTCTTTACGGGGGTCTGTGGTTTCGTGCACAGGGGTGTGGGTGCAGAGCGGGCTGGCGAACCCCGTCCTCGGTAGATTCGGTGCTACCTGCAACTAGAACTCCTTTAAAGGAAATCCTAGTCTCTGCAGGATACCTGGGTGTGATTCGCACATTCTTAGATTTGAGTGAGTGTACTTGAATAACCAGTTCCAGGCCCTTGCATTTTGAAGTGTTTAAATAAAATGTTCCGGTGGACCTGTGTGCATTACTCAATCAAGGACAGACTGCCTGATGGTCAGGTGCTTTCTCCCGAAGAAGTTCAGGAGTTCAGCCCAGGATACTGCAGGGCCGTGGGAAACGCTGAGTGGTCCCAAGCTTGGGCGGTGCGAGCAGCCCAGAGCAGGCCCCAAAGGGCCCCCTGTGGCCTTTTGCACCCAAGTCATGGGATCGCCTGTCCCGTGGCTCTTTCCCACGAGCAAGTCACAGGGCTACGGACTTCCTAACTGCAAGAGACAGTGAGGGACGAGCGTGACTCTTTCATTTTACAGAAGAGGAAGTAGACCTAGAGTGAGAAAATATTTAGCCAGAGGTTACACTGTTGTTTACTGAACATGCGTAACGTCCGAGCCTCTTGACGCCCAGTACTCTTTCATAATTCATTTCTTTATAAAGCAATCAGACTGCGTTTGTCTTTGCCAACAGAATCGGATAAGTAGGAACCTGGCGCATCTGGCCTGAGGCTAGATGGTGATGGTCTTGAATAGTTTAGGTAGGTTATTGAAAGTGGAAGCAAGATGTGCATTGTCTTCTTTTATACCTGTAAGGAGAAATTCTTTAAAATCATGGTGGGATATGATTTAGCCATTAAAATTGATATAATGTTCAGCAGATAAAAGTAGAATCCAGAATAGTATATACAGTTTTTCCTGTAATAGGAAAATACACAGAACATGTATGTGGACACGATTAAAGGCCTTAAAATAAAATTGCTCCATTGTGGGTAGGGAATTAATTTGCTTGACGGTAGTTGGTTTTATGGGAATTGGGAGAGACTTTGATACTTTGATACTGTCAGGGCCCTTCATTGAAAGACCACCAGGAACACACCATAAGCTGAACAAATTGGGTTTAGTGTTCTTTGAGGCAAAGGAGACCACACACCATGAGCGACGGACGGTAGGTTATAGAAAAAAACCCATTACAGAATTTGAACTTCGGTTGCATGATTTGGGGTAAGACTGAGGAACCGGGCTTTGCTGTAGATAGAATGCTGTTAGAAGGTGGGGCAATTCTGACTGAGTAAAGAAGGAACAGCCATTCTGTTTAGCACGAGAAGGGGATGTTTGGTGTTTTGTGCGTTGCAGGTGCCCTTGTTTTTGTCTGTTCTTAGAGAAAATCTTCAAGTGGCATTGCTTTGTCTTGGTGTGTCATGTCTCAGAATAATCTTATCCGACGTAGGTATCTGTGGGATTGTTGATGTCCAGGAGGAAAACAGAGCTTACCTGGCTGTGAGTGTCAGATCGGCTTGTAATAATATTGAGAGATAGCTGTGGGACTCAGAGCAGTTTCAGGTGTTGGAGGCTGTTTTTTCTTCTTTCTCAATAGCTTTATTTATTCTAGCAAAAGTATTTTGATAGCTATTTTCAGAAGAAGAATTAACAACCTCTCAATGGATATAATAGTTCTTATCTAGAACAGCGATTATCAAAGTCTAGTCTGGCCACTGGTGTCACTTTGGGAAGCTGTTTTCACAGGTTTTCAATGAAACTGGAAAAATAAGAATGCAAAACTAAAATTATTAATTTAGAATGTTAATCTTTACTCTGATTGTATGGACTTCAAGTTTTCATTGTTGCAAACGTGTTCTTAAAAATAACGGCAGAGGTAGATGTTATGTGCATGGAATTTGTTTTGTTTTAACATCTCCATTTGGCAGAATAAAAATTTGGACCCTCCTGTGCCAAGGCCTCATTAATTTTTTTTTACTGGCCTGGAAAATCCTGGGATCCATGCACTGAAGGACCTTTAGAACCTTACAGAAGTTTAGTGACTTCATTCTCTGAGAAGAATAAGCAGTTTTTCAACTGGAGTCATTATATGATAAACTATAGCCTCATGGTAACAAAAGATATTTCAAAAGTACTTTCAATAAATATGAATAATGAGAAGCAGCTTTAAATTGGAAACAAGTCATTTGATTTAGAACATCTGTAAGGATTTTTTGTGTGTTTGTTTTTGAGGCTTTTCACAATATTCCTATGTGAAGGTCCTCCTGAGTTATTCTTCATTATTGAATTTTTTAGGAGTCTATTAAGAGATGATGGTGAAGACAGTGGCACAAGAAATGTCTGGAGAGATAGCGCCAGATGACATCATCCAGGGTTCTGTAGACTCTTATTAAGGATTCAGAAATTTATCCTAAAAAATGGGAGGATCTGGAACCAGCCAATGGGAGGCCATTAGATGGTTTTAGACAAGATAACATTTTCACTTTAAAAAGATGAGTCTGGATTGGAGGTCAGCAAGGGTAGATATGAGGAGACTAGTCCAGAAAAGAAAACAGGGTGCGTTGAAGGATGGTGGCGCCAGGGGTGAGGGAGAGAAGTAGATGTTCTAGAAAAAAATCAGGAGGGCGAATGAGCTGAAGGAATCGTTGGGTGAGGATGAGGGAGTGAGGTGTCAGCGTGACCTGCACATTGCTGAAGTGCTTCGCTGGGCGAATGGTGGCATCCGTTCCAGGAAACATGGGGAGGGGAAAGCTTGGGGGCTAAAGAATGAGGATCGTTTTCATTTGGGGTGTATGTTAAATTTCAGGTGGCAGAGAGGCATCCAGCAGGCCACTCGGACTGGCACTCAGAAGAGAGACACTGAGAGTCACTGGCATAATGATATTATATTTGAAGCCCTTGGAGCAGATGAACTTACCTAGAAATAGGATAGAGAAAGAGAAGAAAAGAGAACTAGGCAAAGGCTAAGTAACTTGCACATGTATGTGTCAAGAAGAGGAGAAATTGCCAAAGTTAAAACAGGACAGGCCGGGCGCGGTGGCTCATGCCTGTAATCCCAGCACTTTGGGAGGCCAAGGTGGGCAGATCACGTGAGGTCAGGAGTTTGAGACTAGCCTGGCCAACATGGAGAAACCCTGTCTCTACTAAAAATACAAAAATTAGCTGGGCATAGTGGCTCACGCCTGTAGTCCCAGCTACTCAGGAGGCTGAGGCGGGAGAATTGCTTGAACCTGGGAGGGAGAGGTTGCAGTGAGCCAAGATCCTGCCATTGCACTCCAGCCTGGACAATGAGCGAAACTTCGTCACAGAAAACAAAAACAAAAAAATAGGAGAGTAAGTGGAACAGGAAGCTCAGGGAAGAGACTGGGACAGGTTAACTATGTTGAATATTATTGAGATGTCAGTGGTATTATGATGTTGGGCAACTGGAGGTCATTGGTCACCTCGACTGGAGCAGTGTTGGGGGCAGAAAACAGCTTGCGGTAGGCTAAGTGTGATTGGCAGGAAAGGAACTAGAGGGGAGAGATGGCTGCTCTGCGTAATAAATCTGACCCACTTCATAAGATGTGCGAAGATGAAACGTAATGGCTTAGTAATTAATTGCCAAAGTAAACTTGTAAACTCATTTTTATGCATCAGCTTCTCATACTAGTTAACAGCGTATGTCAACATTGTTGACATTAGCTATTGAATCAGCTTTAGCAATGATTTTCACGCAGTTGCCAGAAATCTCATAGACCCCATCTGGCCTAGGAATTTATTGCACTTCATCTGCTTTTCCCTACTTCTCCCAAAGAGGGAACACACAGGTGTAATCCATTCACTTATTCAACAAATACTGCTTGCCTACTATGTGCCAGACTCCTAAACGCTGGGAATGCGTCAGCCAATGAGATAGATGAGGTCCTTCCTCTCATGGAGGGTTTATTCACATTCCTTTGACCTAAATATCAGTAGCTTAATAGGATGCCATCCCATCAAAGCCCAGAAGACAAGTGAAAACATTTTCAAGCTCATGTGAATTCTTGTACACGTAGGAAACATGCCTCTTTGTATTCAGTGTTTCTGCTGAGTTGTACATAAGAGGACATTATAGGAAAAACTTGTCTGCAAAATAGTTGTTGATGAATTCAAGAATTGAATGAATGAAAAATTGTCTGGCTAGAGTTGTTTGGCTTCTGGTGGGTATGAAAACTGACATGAGGTATGTAATTTTAGATTATCCTTCATTGTCTCTTTCTGAGTATTTCAATAAGACAAGCACACAAGGGCTTTCTGGACTTTTAAAATTCACTATTAGAAGCATACATTATTTCATTGAGGGTCTCCTAATTCTTTCGGGCTCAAATATTTTAAGGAGCTGTACAAGTTATGCCATTTTTTAAGGGTATGGCGCTTTCATTGAGACCTTAATGTTCTCTTTATATTTTTGTGTTTTTTTTAGAATGTTGTGTTCAGTAGCTCTGTAATTAATTTCTCTTAATGAATGGGGAGGACATTCAAAGAGGCTTAAGTTTCTATCAAATAACCAGAAAAATTAGAGAATTTTCTGACCCAAACAGTCTTTTAAAAGCACTTTCCAGAGAGTTTTTTGTTTTTTTTTTTTTTCTGAGATGGAGTCTTGCTCTGTCTCCCAGGCTGGAGTGCAGTCACACTATCTCGTCTCACTGCAACTTCCACCTCCCGGCTTCAGGCAATTCTCCTACCTCAGCCTTCCGAGTACCTAGGATTACAGGCACATGCCACCCAGCTAATTTTTGCATTGTTAGTAGTAACGGGGATTTCGCCATGTTGGCCAGGCTGGTCTTGAAGTCCTGACCTCAGGTGATCCACCCACCTCAGCCTCCCAAGGTGCTGGAATTACAGGCATGAGCCACCATGCCTGGCCCAGAGAGTTTCAAATGCATTGAAATATCAGATTTTTACCACTTATCTTCACTCTTAGGAGACCACTGAGGGGCAGGGAGAAAGGTAGGGAAGGGCAGGGAGAGAGAGAGAAAGAGAGGTACTGTGGGGAGAGGGTTAGAGAGAATTGATTCTAAGTTGGATTTTGTTTCCTGTGATAGGGTGTACATAGTATACCATCCAGACCACATAATCTCTCTTCTTATCATCTGTTTCTAATCTTTACCTATCATCTATTTAAGTTTTTACCTGCCTTAATAGAGTTGTCTGTTATTAAACTGTTTATAAACTTGGGGATAGTAAGGAACTTTAAATAACATTAAGTAAGTTCATTATAATTCTGTTTTAGGGCTACTCGTGGGTTTTGAAGCTGTGTCTCCCTGTAGAATTCTTTTTTGAGGGGGAGGAAGTAGCTCTTTTTTCCACCCTACCCCTAAAACTAACCTTTTTGCATAAACGACTTAGGCGTTCATGCCATGTGAGCCCCTGAAATACTGTAGTCTCATAGCTGCCAACTTTCTTATTTTCTGTCACACTTATCCTATTTCCTTGCAGCCAGGTTCTATGCCAATTTCACGTTTGTTTATTGCTACCAAGAGTCGTTATCAACCTCAGACTCACTCCACATGTATTGTTGCTAGCTTGCTCTTTAGTTCTTACCTCTGGGGCAGGTCACATTCTCTCCTAATACTAGACAGAGCATTTTCAACTTTGCTCACAGTTGTCTAGTAAGAAATGTGCCTGTAATTTGATGTTTATTTTGGCTTTGGAACCCAGGGCGTGCAAATGTCATTATTAGGAAGGGATAGGAGTCATTACGTTTCACTTAATTTGCCGAGTTGATTCTAGTGATCACCAGAAGCCCTGAACTACGCGCAGATTATTCTGTTAGGAATTAAATTGAGGCATTGGTTTTATTATCTCTGTGGGAAGCTGTTTGATAGAACAGGGAAAGCCATTGACTCTGATTCTGTCACCAGCTGTGTAACTTTCTACAAGTCACTAATGGAGCAGGGTCTTAAGTCCACAACATGATCATAAAATTAAGCACTTGGGTTAAGTACCCATCACAGTATTCCCAACTCATAGGAAAACAATGGTCAGATAAACAAGAAAATGTAAAGCGGAGTATCTCCTCACAGCAGAACTTATTTACAAATTTTACAAAGTAAAATTAAGTTGCAACCCCTATAAGTCTCTAAGTAGCTCATTTATTAGCAAAATAAGGAAAGCCATTTACCAATGGTGGATTACCTAAATTGTATTCGATTGTAGTAGCAGAAGTATTGTGTCCAGGGAAAATGAAATTATTTTACATGTCATTGAGAACCCTTGTCCTGGACTTTGGGAAGAACATCAATATCAATTAAAGAACAAAGCATGTGATTTTTGAGTGATTTTTCTTGACTGTCAACATACCGATAACTGATCAGTTGTTGATATTTATTAGATGATCATTGCCAAGTTTGAAGTGACTGAAGAGTTAGCCTCTGAATCATCTGTATAAAACAACTACAGGCGAGGATGTTTTCGAAGAAGCTGAGAAAATAATGATTGAGTATAACCTGGAATGGAATCTGCTAAGATCTATAAAAATTGACAGTAGTAAAAATATTTGTGAGTAGAAAAAGGCGGAGTTGAGCAAATTCACAAAACTTGTGAACATGCGAGGTGTTTAAAGCTCATGGTTATTTATTATAGTATTCCTTTTCAGATATTTTGTGGAAAATATTGGAATCTCACATGTGTTATTGAACCGGCAATATAAACCATGAGCTTCATTTGCTCTTGTGGATATAACCGTCATCATTTCTGTGAATTATCAGAAATAGAGGCCGGATATCCTGATGTCTCTTGTGACAGAGCCATTAGATAGCTTGCTAGCTGTAAAGTTTTGCAGTCTTTGAGTTCACAGTTGAGACTGAAGTTTTTCTAAACGAGCTGCCCCCAGCCACTATTACTGAACACGAATGGCTTTGGAAATTAGCTTTTGCTACAGACTTGATATTGTTTCTTAATGAATTCAACGCAAAATTACCAGACAAAGCCAGACATATGTGAGAAACTTACAGTGTGGTAAGGCAAATTTGACAGCTAATGTTTGAATCACAGGTAATGTCAACCTACTTTATATATTCCCCATGTTATCAAAAGTTAAAACAAGGTGCTAGACCTCCATTCTTACACAGCTGTCCAGCAGATACATTTTCTGTGCTCAAGCTACAGTTCCAGGAGTTTTCTGAGCTCAAGCTACAGTTCCAGGAGTTTTCTGAGCTCAAGCTACAGTTCCAAGAGTTTTCTGAGCTCAAGCTACAGTTCCAAGAGTTTTCTTACCTACTCTACTTTATCTTATTTTGGATTTGTACTTTTTTAAAACAATTATTTTACTTTCACAGAACTGGTTCTCCAGAGGAAAGGAGATAAAGACACTTGATATGTTGAATGAGTAACAAAAGAATCATAAATCTGTGTGGACTTTTTTTGATAAGTTTAGGAGAAGGTTCCATTTTGCCACTAAGCTTGGACAACTTCCCCTAAAAGAGTCTGTTCATTCCTTGTCTCAGGCAGTGACGTCAGTGTTGGGGGCCGTCCTCACCTCAAGGAGCGCAGAGTCTGGTATTGACAAGGAACGCAAACAGATGATTATAAAGCAGTGTCATAAACATGTTGATGAGAGTGTGCACAAATGCTGTGGGAGGAAAGGAGGGTATGAATATTTTCATATGGAAGATAGATGAAGACTTCACAAGAAAGAAAATGCTTGAACTGAATCTTGGAAGTTAGAACCAGCAGTTCACCAGGTGGGGAAAAGGCATTCTAGCAAGAGGGAATAGCACAGACACAGGCATGGAAGGGTGAGAGATGATAGGAAGTGCCTGCGTATGGCTATAAATACTAAGGGGAGTGTCAGGAGATGAGGCTGGGATGGTAAGTTACCATGGAAAGATGATGAAGGGCCCTGTGCTGTGTGCCCTGAAAATCTGGTTTGGGAGGCAAATCCCAGGACAGGTTGCAACACACATGGCTGGTAAGTGCAGATAATACATCCTATCAGGTCATTTACTTTTAGTGCTAAGTCAGCCTCTCTAACATAAATATTTTCCATCTACTTTGTTACATTTGTTCGTTACTCAATATATTTGAAATATTAGAGCCAAATTATAACACCTAGCACTTTTACAAATTGAATTGAAACTGAAAATCCACTTAATGGTTTAGGATTTTAGAAGTTTTCTTGGAAAGAAAAGACTTATTTTAAGAGGCATTGAAACGTATAAAAGAGCAATATCAGACTTGATGTTGTCTTCACAGATTAACTACTTTTGAAATTGCTTATTCCGTTGGCAAGCATTTGTTATTTTCTGAAACTTAATTTTCTTTGCTTTTCAGTGGACAGAGGACTGCAGAAAATCAACCTATCCTCCTTCAGGACCAACGTGAGTAAACATCAGATGATCAAAACTCCCTTTGACCTTTGTGAAGTTTTTTCTGTATGTAATAATTGCTCATAAACGAACGATAGTGAATAAAATCTTAAGTCATGTTTCCCATTCCGAGACAGAGGTTTGTTTCTCAGATTTGTTTATTATGCATTTGGCTGAGATCTTGGACAAATATGAAAATATCTTCCGATTCAAATGCCCGTCGCTAGACTATCAAAATCATCGGAAAGAAAAGGATTTTCAGCCAGACGCGGTGGCTCACGCCTGTAATCCCAGCACTTTGGGAGGCCGAGGCGGGTAAATCATAAGGTCAGGAGATCGAGACCATGCTGGCTAACAGTGAAACCCCGTCTCTACTAAAAATACAAAAAATTAGCCAGGCGTGGTGGCGGGCGCCTGTAGTCCCAGCTACTCTGGAGGCTGAGGCAGGAGAATGGCGTGAACCCGGGAGGCGGAGCTTGCAGTGAGCCGAGATCGCACCACTGCACTCCAGTCTGGGCGACAGAGTGAGACTCTGTCTCAAAAAAAAAAAGGAAAGGATTTTCATTCTCCACTCAATTCTCCTGTCTACCATGAAGGGTTTTTCTCATCTTTGACAAATGTAAGGGCTGTATTTGAAATGACCTGTGATTCTCTATGGTGCCTGGATATAAACCACCAAATTATATTGTAACAAAAAAGCATAGGCCCTCATATGTGAAACGTTCTCAAAATAAACCTTGGCACAACAAAGCTGTCGAGGACAAAACAGGATTGGAACACCTAAGAGGAGGACCAATGTCATGATTCAGTGTGTTTAACATTAATATTTTTAGTCTAGATTTTGGTCTTTCCAAATCCTCAGTGTTTAAATGGGCCTGTGAGAAAGCCATAATAACAGCTCACAGACCCCTCAGAGTGTACAGAACAGAGAAAAGAAGGAACAGGTATAGGGGGTGGTGATCTTTTTCTCCTACACTGCCCTTTCGCTGAAAGTAGCCTGCTGTTTGTAGGGGGAAACAGTACAACTCTATCTAGTGATATCAAGATGACATTTTCAGTTCGTGCAACATTCCAAATTACTTACGTTGTACTGTTGTTGTCTAAACGATGTATTTTAAATAGCCTCTGTCCCAGATAGCGTGAAACTGTAATAAACTAAGTTCTTTTGACTTACTCGCCTTTATGTAGAAAGAGGCCAGTATTTGGCAGGAAGCAATTTAGAGGTAACCAGTTTGGATGTTGTTTGGGGCCAGTGTTCATTCCAGCTCTTTCTTCAATGGCCTGCTGTCTGAAAGTCTTCCTTTCTGTCATCACTGGCATCATTCTGGCCTTCAGTGACATGTCTGCCTTACTGATTGATTATGTCTCTCTGTTGGTCTCACTGCCCCAATTCATTGAACATTTAATGAGGTGCCTTCCATGTTTGAGGCCGTTTCTACTCCCTTTTAGGTGCACTTTACATGTGTCTATAAATTGAATGCCCTGCAAACCATAAACCTTTCCTGATTAGGCATTTTACTGACTCTTATTGCCATGTGCATGTGAGTGTGTGTCTACCTATGTGCATACATACCTACATGTATACATACATATGTACTCCAAAACACATACACGTGTATACATGGACATAACTTGTATGTTTCTTTCCTTGCCTTCATTTTTTCGCTAGCTTTCTTTTTATCTCACTAGCCTGCTTTCCTACACAAAAAGCCTCGGCTTTGCTCTTATCCTTCTCTTCTCTCAACTCTATCAATGGATCTTGAGATTTAGGAGATAACTGTGGTATTTATGTACCTTTGAATGACAAACAGACGTTCTGTTCCTTTGAGATCATCCTTTTCAATTAAGTGCGTAGATTTGGGCAGCATCCATGGGCAGATATGAGGGAAGAAAAAGATAACCTGTTTGGCCAGCATGACTAGTCAAATCAATGCTGAAGATAAAGGAACTGATAGCCAGATCACCCCTGAGTCCATCTGAGTCCCATTCAGCATTTCTTTCCCACTGCTCACGGGATGCCTAGCACTTGCTCTCTTATTTGTATATGTGTGTGTTGTGTCACTTGGACTAGTTTCCATGCCACCTAGGTAGCCATGTGGGTTCAGGTGATGTTGCTGATATTATGAATGGCATGGACATTGCAAACACTAAGTCTCAAAAATGATGAAATGATATTTCTTGTTTGCAGTGAAGTAGGAAAATAAATTGTGATGACTACTGTTGATTGAATACCAATGCTGCTAAGTGTTTTTTTTATTTTTGCATTTTTCATATAGTGTCTTCCCTGCTGTTATAAGGTGGATACTCTTTTATTCTTATGGGGAAATGGAGGCGCACAAGTTAAATACTGAAATGTTTTAGAAAACTGTTTAACGAGAGGTAAAATGTGCAATTATGGCTAAGCTTTAGTCATTAAAATAATTTGGTTTATTAGATTAACCAGTTCTCTCAAATTCTAATTAGTGCAGGTTTGATGGTAGAGAGGTTTGTGGGGTCTCATCATCCCCACTTCATTGTAATCCCTTCATTGTCCGTTGTGTTGTGTTCATCCCCTCTCATCGCGTCTCTGAGATCCATGAACCTACCCAGGACTCTAGGCTGAAAAAGAATCAGGAATTTATGGCGGGTATAGAGGCATGATTTGGGATTGGTTGGATGTTATGAGGTGAGGAGCAGCTGATTGGAGTTCATAGGGATGAGATGCATATCTCCAACAGGCCACTGAGTTATCTTTGCTACTAGACATAGAAATCTAAATGCACAGTTGAAGGGAGAGGGGAGACTAGTAATACCTGCCCATAATATGGGGAACAATAATTACTTACTGAATTGTGGGACAAAATTTTACATGTGAAATTATGGTCTGTCAGAAATGGAATTAATTTGTTGTGATGAAAAGTTTTTTTCTAGAATATAAGTATTGTAGCATTTCATGTAGATATCAGCTCCTAAGAAAATGGGGAACTTGAAAATGCTTTGAGAAGAACAAAATTCGTTCACTATGATTTTGTTTAAATGTACATTTCCAAAATCGAATATACTTTTCTGTCTAAATCACAACCTGAATGTCTGCTAGTTAACAGTTTCATAAAACCTCATACATATACCAGGGCCCCAAGTTACACAGCATTATTTAGAGAACCAAGTAATTATTTATGATAGTGGAAATATAAATAGAACCACAGTTCATGACTTAGGTAATAACCCATCCCCAGCTATGGACATAAGTCTAGATAACATTTCTATTTAGGAGACTGGTATCATTGTGGCACATACCAGAGTCACCCTGCCAGTCTCAGGAGCAGATCAGTGGAACAGATGATGGTTATTTTTAGGCATAGGTTTATACTGATAAACCACTAACTGGCACACCCTTAAAAGCTATTTCAGTTTAGTAACCAGGGCCAGAAAATAATGTTCCTATAGCAACAAAAATAGTTGTAGAATTCATCCACCAGAAATATGGCCCAGCTTCACTGATAAGTGACTGGATGTTGCTATATCCTCAGAAATTGCTGCACGTAAGTTAAAGAGTAGGAAGTTGGAGGATATGACAGAATACAGCTTGGGCTTGGACTTTGTCCAGGAAAATGAGAAGAGAAGAGGTATATAGTAGGGAAGATTAGGATGGCTGACAGAATCATGAAGGTTCTTGAAGCTGATCGTGGGAAGATAATACATGTTGCCATCTGGGGCTTAAAAGGTGATCTTCCTGAAGGCAACACTGGAGACATTGGTTTGGCAATAGTGTTACACTCTCTGAGAGAGAATTCTGAAACTGGAAACCAATTGGAGAATTGTCTAGAGCCCAGACTAAATCTTTGCAGATATTTAGGAGAAAAAAAAAATGGCAGGTATTTCCCGTCAGTGATAATCAGGTTAGAGCTCTTAAGCCATAGTTGATTTTTTCATAGAAAACCAATTCACATGAACCTTCCCTACTAGATCATTCTATTCCAGGATTTCTGTGACCGCTTATGATTGTGTTCTCAACCTAGAAGCACTAGGTAGAGAATGAACTTTCTTTCCAAATTTTGGTTTGGGTAACCAAATTCTACACTGCTGTTAAGACTTTGCCTCTCATATATTCTTATAGATGTATCTAACTGACCCTCACAAAAAACCCTTTCATCATTTCAAGATGATACACCTCTCATTACAGGTACAGAGGTGCAGTTCCATGGTACACCATAAATCTTGACTTACCACCCTACAAAAGATGGCATGAATTGATGCTTGACAAGGCACCAGTGGTATGCTATGATGCTTAAATCTTTTATTTCTTTATTTTTATTTTTTATTTTATTTCTTTATTTTTATTTATTGATTGATTTTTTTTTTGTTTTGAGACAGAGTCTCACTCTGTCACCCAGGCTGGAATGCAGTGGCACGATCTCAGCTCGCCGCAACCTCCGCCTCCTGGGTTCTAGCAATTTCCCTGCCTCAGCTTCCCGAGTAGCTGGAATTACAGGCACCTGCCACCATGCCGGCTAATTTTTGTATTTTTAGTAGAGACAAGATTTTGCCATGTTGTCCAAGCTGATCTCAAACTCCTGACCTCGAGTGATCCTCCCACCTCAGCCTCCCAAAGTGCTGGGATTATAGGCATGAGCCGCCATGCCCGGCCATATTTCTTATTTTATTTATTTATTTTCCCCCCAAGGACCGTGGAGATTCTATATTAAATCTTTTATTTCTAACTTTATTAAATATTATTGTATTTTTAAAAGAACACTTCATGAAATTACCCACAGAATAGTTTAAAATTGTGCTTTTGATACCTTTCTGCCCTATACGTTAAGTGACAGCAGAGGAAAAGAGGTCATTCCTCTGTAGCCTTTGTTCTTTTTTGTAAACTTTACCTTTGTTTCTTTCCCTTTATGTCATCTCCCTTCATGTAAATAATTAAGAATCAAATTCACTTTAAAGATAAAATTAGACTTACTGTATTAATGTATTAATCGAGGCCAGGCACGGTGGCTCATGCCTGTAATCAATCCCAGTACTTTGGGAGGCTGAGGCAGGCGGATCACCTGAGATCAGAAGTTCAAGACCAGCCTGGCCAACATGGTGAAACCCTGTCTCTATTAAAAATACAAAAATTAGGCCAGGCGCGGTGGCTCATGCCTGTAATCCCAGCACTTTGGGAGGCCGAGGCGGGTGGATCACGAGGTCAGGAGTTCGAGACCAGCCTGGCCAAGATGGTGAAACCCCGTCTCTACTAAAAATACAAAAATTAGCCAGGCATGGTGGTGCATGCCTGTAGTCCCAGCTACTTGGGAGGCTGAGGCAAGAGAATCGCTTGAACCCGGGAGGCAGAGGTTGCGGTGAGCAGAGATCGTGCCATTGCACTCCGGCCTGGGCGACAAGAGCAAAACTCCGTCTTAAAAAAAAAAATACAAAAATTAGCTGGGAATGGTGATGCACACTTGTAATCTCAGCTACTTGGGAGGCTGAGGCAGGAGAATCGCTTGAACCTGGGAGGCAGAGATTGCAGTGAGCCGAGATGGTGCTACTGCACTCCAGCCTGGGTGACAGAGCGAGATGCTGTTTTAAAAAATATATATATAAATTGTCAAATAGCACTCTCTTTTAGCTACATATGGGTAAGCCAAAAGGTAATCTTGACAGCATTTCATTATGTCTTTTAGTAAGCATTTTATTTATTTTTCAGCTAAAGGTTATAGTGAATTCTCTGAAGAATATGATAAATACATTCGTGCCAAGTGGAAAAATTATGCAGGTGGTGGATGAAAAATTGGTAAGAGATATTATTTCTCACAATAAATGTTAAGCACATAGAAAATGCGCTGTTATTTATTTAAAGGCATAATTCAGCAACCTCTTCGCAGGGACTTGGGCAAATCTGCATGAATCTAGCTCACTGTCAGAACTTCAGAGGGACTTAAATTTGGGGAATTGGTAATATTAGGGTTACAGCATAGCAAATTATGGTTTCGTAAAAGGGGATGGGACTACATTACGACATTGGGCAAATAACCATATTTCATCTGGGAGTGTGGTATTTCCTTCCCTTTATGTAGTGAGTTCACTATTGAAGACTTGGTTTTTTTTCTTAAGTGTCTCAGGGACATCCAGAGATTTTTTTTTTGTAGATATGAGCAAATGACATACTCAGCCTGGCCCCTTATTCTGTAGAGTTCCTCAGTAGCTCTGACCCTGAAACTCATTTGGGCTGAGTGTTTCTGTGCAATCACCAAACCATTTCATTTTCATCCTCATCATGCAGGAAGACTCCATTTCTCAGCCCCGTTTTTGTTGACGCAGAACCAATGAAACACCTAGGGCCTGGCCCCTAGAACTGTTAAAGGGATCCTCATTGCTCTTGATGGCAGATTTTGGGCATTAATGACATTTGGGGTTGGGCAGCTTTTTTTTTTTTTTTTTTTTTGAGACCTCATCTCACTCTGTAGCCCAGGCTGGAGTGCACTGGCATGATCATAGCTCACAGCTGCCTTGATCTCCCAGGCTCAAGGGATCCTTCTGCCTCAGCCTCCTGAGTAGCTGGGACTACAGTCACGTGCCGCCACACCCAGCTACTTTTCTGAATTTTTAGTAGAGACGGAGGCTTGCTGTGTCACCCAGGCTGGTCTCCCAACTCCTGGGCTCAGGCGATCTTCCCGCCTCAACCTCCCAAAGTGTTCTCCCAAAGTGTTGGGATCGTAGGTGTGAACCGCCATGCCCGGCCTGGGTTGGATATTTCTTTGTCGTGGGCTTGTCTACATTCCAGGATGCCCGGCCTGGGGTGGGTGTCTCTTTTTTGTGGGGCTGTCATGTGCATTGCAGGATGTTTAGCAGCTCAGGATGCCCGGCCTGGGGTGGGTGTCTCTTTTTTGTGGGGCTGTCATGTGCATTGCAGGATGTTTAGCAGTGTCCCTGGCCCTTACCCACTGGATGCTGGTAACACCCCCTCAGTTGTGACAACCAAAAATGTCCTTAGATGTTACCAAATCTCCCGTGGTCGAGAATCATTGCCCTAGCGGCTGAGTGCTGTGGCCACATCCTCCCTATGACACTTGTACCTGCCAAGCACCAAACCCATTATCCCTCACGTGCATGCTCTCGGAGCTTTTGTTTCAGGCTATCCTTTATGTTCATACTTACCGGACTTCCTCAAAACAAAAAAATGCTGGCAGGAGCAAAAGAGGATGAGGCCCCCACGTTCCCCGTATGCCTTAATCTCCCCTCTACTCTGAATGTTATCAGGGAGGGCAACATTGCAGAGAGTTTTTGTGCCACGCCTTGGAATCGGACAATACTGGGTTTTAAGGCTGGATCAGTCACATACTAGCCTTGTGTCCTAGGGAAAGTTTCTTAACCTATGAAACCTCAGTTTTCTCATCAGGGAGAATAATAATTACTAATATATATTTCATATGGTGGTTGTAAGGGTTAAATGACATACTGTGTATAAAGCATAGTGCTTGGATGTAATAAGTGTTTAATAAATACCCATTACGTCACATTTGTTTGTTAAATGGCTGGAACATTCCACTTGGGGAATGCTTTGAGTTCCTAGGGAGAAAAAAAATATGTTTAGGTGACATTACATGTAATTACCAAGTTGGTTAAAAAAGTGAGATTCGTGAATTTTAAGCAGATTATCTCAGCAAAAGGCCGTGAACTTAAGTTGTGATCTGGATGTTAGTAGTTGCCATTGAGAATAAATATATGATGTCCACCACTGAATTTGCTCAATGTCTCTGGTTTGCTAAAAGAATGCAGTTACTTCATCTTAGCTGAAGATCAGCCATTAACCATGACACAGGGCTATGGATAGAATAGTGCAGGTTTATCTCTGTGAGTGTGGGAAGGAAATGGTAAGAACGGTATATGCCAGTGGCTAGAGGGTGAATTCGTGCAGAGAGATAAGGAGTGCTTGTTATGATGTTTTTGTGGTGTGGGTCAGGTTAGGTCATCCAAGTGGAATTACTCTCGTTCCTGCCTTCTCTGGAGAATGATGGAAAAATAAGGCAGGAAAAACAATCTGAGAATCTGGTCTCTGTATAGGGGCCCAATATTCAGTATTACATAGAATCTTTTTATAACTACATGATGTAAAAATGCTTTAAAAAATAATTCCTATCACTTATTATGATAGCAGTATCTAGAAAAAATTATATGTCCAAGAACTAGATTTCAAAGCATGCTTTTATTATATTTGTTTATATTATATTATATATTTTTTATTGTTATTATGTTAAATGCTTTTATTAATATATTTGTTTTCCAGCCTGGCCTACTTGGCAACTTTCCTGGCCCTTTTGAAGAGGAAATGAAGGGTATTGCCGCTGTTACTGATATACCTTTAGGTAAAGTTCACTTAGAAGCTTTAAAAAAAAAAGTAATTAAATTCTTTTACAAGTTTCCATTGAGGTGTGATATACATACAGCACAGGTGCTGTATGTCTTAGATATACAGCACAGGTGCACAGGTCTTAGATATACAGCTCAGTGAAGCTTCAGAAATGCATGCATGCATGTAGCCATGACTCAGATCAAGATACGGAAGAGCCCAGCACTCCACGATGCTCCATCATGCCCCTTTGCAGAAAATACTGCCTCCTCCAGTAAACACTATTCTGATGTCACTATAGATTAGTTTTGCCTCTTCGTGAACTTTGTATAAATAGAACTGAACAATATGAACTGTCCTGTGTGATTTCTTGTATTTCATTATGGGTGGTGTGCTATTGTATCAACAGGGTATTTGGGTGGTTTTCAGATTTGTGATATTAACAATAAAGGAATTATAAATATTGTAGTACATTTTGGGGGTGTCTGGGTACTCATTTTCTGGATATATACCTAGGAAGTGAACTGTTGTGTTATAGAGTAATTGTGTGTTTAGCCTTATAGATTCTGCCAAACAGTTTTCCAAAGTGATTCCAGCAGTTGACAATCAGCAGAGTATGAGAGTTTCAGTTTTCTCCTCTTGATAATTCTCCTCTCGATAGTGTCAGTCTTTTTTTTTCCTTTTTTTTTGTTAGTGTCAATCTTTATTTGAGCCTTTTTGTTGAGTGTCGCAGTATCGCATTTTAGTTTCAATTTGCATTTCCTTGATGATTAATGAGATTGAACAGTTTATTGACTTTTTTTTTTTTTTTTTGGTTTTCTTTGTTTCTTTTGGAGAAGGGCTTGTGAAGGTCTTTTGCCCTTTTAAAAATTAGATTGAAGGAATTTTTTACATACTTTGAATATAAGCCCTTTGTCAGATATATGGATTCTGAATATCTGCTCCCAGTCTATGACCTTCATTTTTATTCTCTTACTTTTGTCTTTTGATGAACAGAAATTTTTAATTTTAGTGAAGTCTAATATCTCAGTCTTCTCTTTTATGAGTAGTGCCTTTTGTATCCATTTAAGGAATCTTGGCCTACCCCAAAGTCATATATATATGCTTATATATTTTCTTCTAGATGTTTAATGTTTACTTTTTACATTTAGGCCTATCATCTATTTTGAATTATTTTTGTATATGCTATGACTTATGGGTCAAGCTTCAGGTTTTTCTCATGTGGTATATCCAGTTAGTTAAACAGCATCAATTCAAAAGGCTATCCTTTCCTCAGCAAATTGCAGTGGTGTCTTTGATATAAATATACAATACATATATATATACACACACACACACACACACACACACACAATGTGTATCTGTATATACAATCAGGTGATTGTATATATGTTGTTTTGTTTGGGGAATTAAGTTTCATTTACATATTTGTCTTTTTGTCTTCCCTTATATCAATACTATTTCACCTCAGTTACTAAAGCTTTATAGTAAGTCTTCAAATTAGGTGGTATAATTCTTCCAACTTTGTTTTTCTCAATATTTATTTAAGTTACTGATTTCTCTGAGCAGTATCTTTTATTTTCAGGGAGAAGACCTCACATGCCATTCGTTAAAATTATTCTTAGATATTGATGGTTTGGGAAGCTATTTTTAAAATTTCAATTTAAGCTTTATGGCATGTAACGAAAAATATTTTCCCCACGACCCCAAAAGTTTTATCTTTAAGCTAGCAAAGCAGTAGTGTCATTATTTTAAATAGCCAACAGTACCTTCATTTTATGAGATGATTGAGAATTTGTGAAAATCAGTAGTATTTATCAACAAAAGTGGCTAGTTTTGTGTGCTGCTTCTTTAAAAAACTCATTTAAAAGATAGCATACTGGAAATATGTACTTGCTGCCTTTATGGAAAGCAAGTCTAATTCCTTTATTATGTAAAGAACTCTAGCAACTCAATACCAAATAGAAATACCTTATGGATTAAGAAGAATAACATGATGTATAAGTGGTGTAAATTTATATAATTATTATAAATTATTATAAATGTATAATAAAATAACTAGAATTTCACCAAATTAGAAATTTAATGGAAATAAAATACACATTGGATTTGGGTGAAAAAAACATGTTGAGCTTAACATGTTAATGTTAAATGGGACAGAAATACAATGTGCTGCCTACTTTTGAATTAAATGCTAAATAGCAGTATTATACATTTTGGGAAAATATTCAAAAAATAAAATACCCTAGAATGGAGTTTCTTGGCAGCTCTGTACTAATTTTAATAGTTCTTGAATCTCCTTTTTCACCTTAGAAATTTTAGTCACACTTTAAAAATCTGGGCAAAATATATGTCCAGCAAACAGCCAAGAGCCAGATGTATTAAATGATCATATTTACGCTCCCAAAAGAAAATTCAAAATGAAGCATGTTGATAAACATTTTGGATGTGATGTTGGAGAACAATTGCAACCTGCCCAGATGTTCAGCTCGCCCGAAGGCTGCCTCCTTGGTGACTTGTTTCATCTTGAGTCTAGAGAGTCCAGGCTGGGGAAGAAAACCACCTCCAGCCGGCCGTTCCAGCACAGCCCCACTGGCCAAAGCACACACTCACACAATGAAAACACTGAAACTTTTTCTTAAAACAAATTTTTCTCCCATTGTCATGGTTCTGTATATTAACACAAAATTTTCTTTTCTCATAGGAGAGATTATTTCATTCAATATTTTTTATGAATTATTTACCATTTGTACTTCAATAGTAGCAGAAGACAAAAAAGGTAATTGTGCGCTGAGGGAGGGTGGGCAGCATGAAGCACTACATAAAGAAAAATCTTCTAAATGAAATTAGAACTTCTGAAATTTGGGCTTGCTATGTAAATTCTGTGTATGTTGCATACAGCTTTTTATTTCTTGGTAAAATTTTGTGATTGTACTGAAAATTTTCCTTATTTTCAGACTACTGTACTGCCTATTAAAGTTGATTTCAGACATGCAAAAAACCTGGAAGAAATGTTGCAGGGCTAGAAACATTCTTCTCTTCCTCATAGTTTACTTCTACCCATCTACATGCTTTGATGGAAGTGCTCGCAGGAGGTGCTTCCTTATCTTCGTGTATGTCATGACATCTGTCCTTTTCTTGAGGCCCAGAACACACATTCTCCCATCCTTTCCCAGCCAGGCAACCCAATGGATACCAGCCTCACTTTCCCGTATTTTTCCTGACTGGTTCCCAGAGTACAAAGCACAGGACAACTTCGCTAACTCACCCTGATCTTTGACCTATACTCTGGGTATAAATCTGCCTGTACCTTACCCTTGAGATGTCCTGCTCTAGGGGATGATGCCTGAAGGGAAACATTTGATGAATCACAGTAATTGAGGCTCCGATTTCTGTGTCCTGGTAGAACCATGTGATAGTGAACCAAAACATGACCATTGATTCCTTTTCCCATATTCTGATCTTACCTGGAAACCCGTGCTCTCAGATTTTGTGGGGTTATCTGGCAGATAGACGGTGACAACAGTCCCATCTGGTGAAGGCTTAGGATATTAGGATGTTTCTTACTTCTTATTGTTTGAAGAAACAGTTGTGAATAAAAATTAATCAAAATTAGAGGCCAGGCACAGTGGCTTACACCTGTAATGCCAGCACTTTGCGAGGCCGAGGCGGGCGAATCATCTGAGGTTGGGAGTTTGACACCAGACTGGCCAACATGGTAAAACCCCTTCTCTACTAAAAGAAAAATACAAAAAAAAAAAAAAAGTAGCCAGGTGCGGTCGCACATGTCTGTAATCCCAACTACGTGGAAGGCTGAGGCACAAGAATTGCTTGAACCTGGGAGGCAGAGGTCGCAGTGAGCTGAGATCGCACCACTGCACTCCAGTCTGGCCAACAGAACGAGACTCTGTCTCAAAAATAAATTAATTAATCAAAATTAATTGTCCAGCTTTGATTTAGAATCTTAACTGCTATTACACGTCTCTTCTGTCTACCTTCAAATAGGTCATCTAATACATGGGAGAAACATGGATTTTGGAGTATTTCTTGGGTAAGTAAAGAACAAAGGGTCAGGCATGGTGGTTCACGCCTGTAATCCCAGCTTTTTGGGAGGCTGACACGGGTGGATCACGAGGTCAGGAGTTCAAGACCAGCCTGGCCAAGATGGTGAAACCCCGTCTCTACTAAAAACATAAAAATTAGCCAGGCATGGTGGTGGGCATCTGTAATCCCGGCTACTTGGGAGCCTGAGGCAGAGACTTTTTTGAACCTGCGAGGCGGAGGTTGCAGTGAGCCGAGATCGCGCCACTGCACTGCAGCTTGGGATACAGAGCCAGACTCCATCTCAAAAAAAAAAAAAAAAAAAAGAACACAGAACTGTTTTGGTCTGTAGGAAGAGTAGGTTGTGTTATATTGATGATAAGTAAGTCCCAAGTCACACCCAAAATGTGATCATAAGTGAAGATAAATGGATTGCTTGAGTGCTGAGACAAGAGGGACATGCTCTTCTATTTTATGTGTCCATCTTGACCTTTCTGAAAAAATAAGAATATTGTAATTAGCATTCTATGTTTGAATCTGAGGCTCACTATTTATAAGCTGTGTGATATTGAGAGAGTTACCTGACTTCTCTGAACCTCAATTTTATCATTTGGAAAACAGAATAAATATACCATATTGTAAAGGTCTTGTTAGGATTGATCGTGGTGACTCGGTAAATAAAGCTCCTAGTGTAATGCCTGGCCCTCATCATCATGTTGATCATTACTATCACTGTGTTTCTGAAATGTCACTGAAACATGTCTTTTATAGGTGGAACATAAATAATGATACCTGGGTCATAACTGAGCAACTAAAACCTTTAACAGTGAATTTGGATTTCCAAAGAAACAACAAAACTGTCTTCAAGGCTTCAAGCTTTGCTGGCTATGTGGGCATGTTAACAGGATTCAAACCAGTAAGGAGTCTGTTGTTACATAATTATACAGGTAGCCTTCTGTCCTGTTACCGTTATGTAAAAGTTGAAATCTAAGAATATGAGGACCTAAAGGGAATATGAAGCCCCATTTCACCCCCTTGTACTTCTTGTCACTTCATAGGTATGAGATCTCGTGGTAGAGAAGAGTAGAAAGGAAACGGAGGTTTCTGAGCCTCTTCTGGGATAAAGAGCATGTGGCTGGGTGTCAAGGGCTGGGAGTCACAATCTGATTTCTAGTCCTGGGTCTTCCGCTCACTTAGGCAAGTCAGGCGTTCATTCTCTGCCCTTCAGTTTCCTGTCCAAAAAGCGTTGCCAGTGATACCCCACCTACTTATCTCACATACTAGAATCAAAAATGCTTTGAACTTTTTAAAAAGCCTTTTATGGTTTTGATTTATTTTTGCCTTCCCCATTACCCAAGCTAGGCCTTTATATCCCACTCTGAAGTACAGTGAGCGACAGGGCCTTAAAGCGCATGGTTGATGTTTCTGACTTCGTTGCTTTGTCTTTTTCTCAGGGACTGTTCAGTCTTACACTGAATGAACGTTTCAGTATAAATGGTGGTTATCTGGGTAAGTAGAGCATTCTCAAGTGAAATGGGAATCTCAGAGCTTTTTTATGAGGAAGGCTGGACTGTGCCTTCTGGTTACAAAGTCCAACCTCTTCCGGTTCCCGACTGGTTACAAAGTCTAACCTCTTCTGGTTCCTGACTGGTTATATAGTCCAGCCTCTTCCGGGTCCTGACTGGTTACATAGTGTCACCTCTTCCGGTTCCTGACATTGTGTTCATCTCTTCCAGGTATTCTAGAATGGATTCTGGGAAAGAAAGATGTCATGTGGATAGGGTTCCTCACTAGAACAGTTCTGGAAAATAGCACAAGGTAAAGTGTTTCGTTGCTTTACTATTAAATATTTATTTTAAATTACTCATATTAAAAAATAAAAATATTTGTCAAGCTCCAGCTTAATCCTTTGAGGAACTATTGCAGAATTTCTTAGGTGAACCTCTGACACTCATGTGGAATTACTCATGTTTTCTTCGTGCAGACTGTGTGTTTTATAGCAAATAAATGAATTACTTAAAAAGCACTAGGGATACTGACATTATGAAAGGCACCTATGAATATTTTTGGTGTACAGAAAAAAAATGACCCACACACAAAAGAACAGTCATACAGTAAAATCTTCATTTAAATGGTAGTACAGACCAGGCACAGTGGCTTATGCCTGTAATCCTCACGCTTTGGGTGGCTGAGATAGACAGATGACTTGCACCCAGGGGTTTGAGACCAGTCTGAGCAACATGGCGAAACCCCGTCTCTATAAAAAATACAAAAATTAGCCAGGCATGGTGACACGTGCCTGCCTGTAGTCCCAGCTACTCAGGAGGCTGAGGTGGGAGGATCACCTGAGCCCAAGGAGGTCGAGACTGCAGTGAGCTGGGATCAGTCCACTGCACTTCACCCTGAGTGATAGAGTGAGACTCTGTCTTAAAAAAACAAAATAAATAAATACAAAATGTACTACATATTAACCTGTAAGTTATATCTTGCCTTGGTATAGAAATCTTACAATAGCAAAACTGCCTTTCCTTCATTCAGCCAGCACTGCGTCCAAATAAATGGGCATCAATCCTATTTTTAATACTTCCCAGGGAATAAGATTTAATGTTAGTAGTGTTCTTTGATAACCCACTTCAATTTTTAATAGTCCTAATTTTCAAGAAGGTTTACTTTCTGTTCTCTAAGTCCTACATACTGTAATATTATTTCCCTTTGTTCTGTTGTTGAGTGAAAGGCATGGACAGTAAGGGTGGAAGATGATCTCTTGAGGCCACTTTGTTTCTCCTTCAGATTAGAGGGGCTTCCTAAGATTCCCGCTTCCCATCTCAGTGTTCACCATACAGGGTCAGGGATTGCTTTTCCCAGAGGCATTGCTCACCATCCTTTTTTAGAAAACACATTGTGGCTGGCCATGGTGGCTCATGCCTGTAATCCCAGTACTTTGGGAGGCGAAGGCAAGAGTATCGCTTGTGCCAAGGAGTTCGAGACCAGCCTGGGCAACAGAGTGAGAGCCCATCTCTAAAAATAGAAATAAATAAATAACACATTCCTTAGATACTTGTTTTTCTTTAGTTTCTACAGAGCTAAACATTTCCGTTCTAAGTCATCTAAAAATGTTTCCCACCATCATCCTCAGCAAACTAACACAGGAACAGAAAACCGAACACTGCATGTTCTCACTCATAAGTGAGAGCTGAACAAAGAGAACACGTGAACACAGGGAGGGGAACATCACGCACCAGGGCCTGTCAGGGGGTGGGGTGAAAGGGGAGGGAGAGCATTAGGACAAATACCTAATGCATGTAGGGCTTGAAACTTAGATGATGGGTTGATGGGTGCAGCAAACCACCATGGCACGTGTGTACCTATGTAACAAACCTGCACGTTCAGCACATGTGTCCCAGAACTTAAAGTAAAATTTAAAAATAAATGAAGTTATTTACTAAAATTAAAAAAAAGTTTCATTTTTCTTTTTAAATGTTTCTATATAGTTATGAAGAAGCCAAGAATTTATTGACCAAGACCAAGATATTGGCCCCAGCCTACTTTATCCTGGGAGGCAACCAGTCTGGGGAAGGTTGTGTGATTACACGAGACAGAAAGGAATCATTGGATGTATATGAGTAAGTAGGTTTGTTAAAGCAAAAGAAGTAGAAACAAAAGCATACACTGATATACTTTGAGTTTTAAGGCATGTAGCCTAAGAGGGAATCTCTCCTTTTGTATCTAGACTCGATGCTAAGCAGGGTAGATGGTATGTGGTACAAACAAATTATGACCGTTGGAAACATCCCTTCTTCCTTGATGATCGCAGAACGCCTGCAAAGATGTGTCTGAACCGCACCAGCCAAGAGGTACCTTTGCAGGGTCATCTATAGAAAGAAACTGTTGCCATTAAAGATTCCCTTGGTTCTGGCATTTTTCTTTGGCCTTCAAGTAATTTATAAACGTCCTATTTTTCATAGTATCTCTAGCCACTCTCCACTGATTTTTTTGTTTCGTTTTCTTAACTTAAAGAGCAAAATTGTGCTGTACTTTCCTTTTCTGGTTCTAATGCTGGATACCACTCTGAAGTTGAATAACAAACAGGCAAGAATTTAAAAAAGGGGAAGGAGAGAGAGGAAAGTAATCCATTAAAACTGTTACCTGTGTTTCTAACAGTGACTCCCACAGAAACTCCACTGCGGGGATGGAGGGGAGGTTGATTAAAGAATGTCTTGGTTTCTGGTGGCCCATGTGTGTAGATAAGGCTGTTGGCTTCTGTATTTAACTTACTGAACAAAACTATTTTCTTGTGTTTTAGAATATCTCATTTGAAACCATGTATGATGTCCTGTCAACAAAACCTGTCCTCAACAAGGTATTTTAAATGTTATATGTATATTTGCCTTTTAGGGAAAGAATTTGGCCCTATGTTTTATCTTTCTCTGTTATCTTTGATCAGTTTGAGCACAAAAGGTGTGTTCAGCTTAGGACTGATTTTTTATTAAAAAATGTTTTTGTGTGGCTAAAACTGTATTTTGGAATACAAGAAAGAAATTGATCACTGAGGCTTGATAGGTCAGAATATTGTTTATAGCTTTATTTACATAGCATTTGAATTAAGGCTAGCATTTTACTCTTATTGGTATCTATTAAAAATCTCACACTATATAACTAACACCTAAATGTCAACAAAACAAAGTCTGCAGTCCATTTTCAGACAGAGCTCTGTGTCTTGGTGGGTTCGGGTTTCCCTTAAACTTTACTACATCTGTTTATCTTTTCCCTACACTGTAGTTTTAAAAAAATGCAAAAAGTTTCCTATCATCCCACCACTCGCTAACAATCATTCCCTGAACGTTCTGAATATGCCCCCCTAATTTTCCCATTTGTTCCTTCTTTTCTTGGTCCTTCTCCACAGCTCTCCCTAAAGTAAACATGCCGCCTTTACCCTGCCAGGACAAATCCCTCCGGCCTTTAGCATCCAGGTCACCCTGGCTCTCACAGGAAGCCTGCCTTCAGTTCACGGGCCCTGCCATACTTGCGTTTTGCCTATACCATCTTTGAGCAAGTCACAATCTCGTGACTTGTGTTTGGGTGTGTGCCTTGTGATCTGGGTGCCTGCAGTTTCCCCCACTGTATTGGAAATGCTTTAAGGATAGGGATAGCCAAAGCTCCACGGTTTTTACTCCATAGGACACCGGCAGGTCTCCCAGGACTGCCAGCTGTGCGTCAAGGAGGGTTAAGGCAGTCTTAAAGCATTGGGGGTGGAGCAATGTGCTGTCAGGAATAAGCTCCTATAAGGAGCTGGAGATTCTTTCCTGAGCCTGTTTATATTCATTACCTGAAACAGTGATCCTGTTGAAGTTGTTTGCTTTAGTTATTTGGTGAGACTTTAGCTAATTTTATATGATTATACTATATTAATATAAATATATACATTATATAACATGCTTTGCATATATTAAGTTATATTATTTAATATTAAATAACTTCTAAAGCAAATTCTACAAGTATAGAAATGCTAATATATATCAGAACATCTCTGAATTGAAAACGTCCTTAAAGTAAAAATAACTTTTCTTTCAGCTGACCGTATACACAACCTTGATAGATGTTACCAAAGGTCAATTCGAAACTTACCTGCGGGACTGCCCTGACCCTTGTATAGGTTGGTGAGCACACGTCTGGCCTACAGAATGCGGCCTCTGAGACATGAAGACACCATCTCCATGTGACCGAACACTGCAGCTGTCTGACCTTCCAAAGACTAAGACTCGCGGCAGGTTCTCTTTGAGTCAATAGCTTGTCTTCGTCCATCTGTTGACAAATGACAGATCTTTTTTTTTTCCCCCTATCAGTTGATTTTTCTTATTTACAGATAACTTCTTTAGGGGAAGTAAAACAGTCATCTAGAATTCACTGAGTTTTGTTTCACTTTGACATTTGGGGATCTGGTGGGCAGTCGAACCATGGTGAACTCCACCTCCGTGGAATAAATGGAGATTCAGCGTGGGTGTTGAATCCAGCACGTCTGTGTGAGTAACGGGACAGTAAACACTCCACATTCTTCAGTTTTTCACTTCTACCTACATATTTGTATGTTTTTCTGTATAACAGCCTTTTCCTTCTGGTTCTAACTGCTGTTAAAATTAATATATCATTATCTTTGCTGTTATTGACAGCGATATAATTTTATTACATATGATTAGAGGGATGAGACAGACATTCACCTGTATATTTCTTTTAATGGGCACAAAATGGGCCCTTGCCTCTAAATAGCACTTTTTGGGGTTCAAGAAGTAATCAGTATGCAAAGCAATCTTTTATACAATAATTGAAGTGTTCCCTTTTTCATAATTACTCTACTTCCCAGTAACCCTAAGGAAGTTGCTAACTTAAAAAACTGCATCCCACGTTCTGTTAATTTAGTAAATAAACAAGTCAAAGACTTGTGGAAAATAGGAAGTGAACCCATATTTTAAATTCTCATAAGTAGCATTCATGTAATAAACAGGTTTTTAGTTTGTTCTTCAGATTGATAGGGAGTTTTAAAGAAATTTTAGTAGTTACTAAAATTATGTTACTGTATTTTTCAGAAATCAAACTGCTTATGAAAAGTACTAATAGAACTTGTTAACCTTTCTAACCTTCACGATTAACTGTGAAATGTACGTCATTTGTGCAAGACCGTTTGTCCACTTCATTTTGTATAATCACAGTTGTGTTCCTGACACTCAATAAACAGTCACTGGAAAGAGTGCCAGTCAGCAGTCATGCACGCTGATTGGGTGTGTACATCTGTGTTGGTTTGGAGGAGGGGGGTTATTATCAAGAAATACAAGCTGAACATCGTATCTGAATTAAATAACAAGGGTTATGTAAGTGGGTTATTAAATATGACTAAACGGTCACAATCTTACTCTTACATGACTGATACCACCTCTTAACCAGATACTATCAACCCAATTTGCAGGTGTTTAAAGGCAGTTTTTCCCCCAGATAGGTGGTGCTTCCACAAAACTTTAGTGATTCCAAGATTACTTTAGTGAAACGAGGAATTATAAGAGGATTTACATTAAAATAGGATTTAATTAATGAAAAAAAAACTTTACTCAGATTTTCTACCTCTTACATAAATGAAGTCAGGTCAACTTGATGTATTTTTTTGTTAATGTAATAACCTTTGATATGCCTGATAGTAAAGAGGTGAGATGCTAATTGTTTCAGACCGATTTCTCCGGAGTAAATCAAAGTTTACAAGAAATAACAGGTATTAAGATTTTAGGAAGTAATTGTTTAGTGGTAAAGCAGTTTTAAAATAGGATATACAGGATGAGCCTGTTTATATAACACTTTATATATGTACTTATGCATAACTAGATACACATCTAGAATATCAAAAGATGACTGGGAGGATATTAACCAAAATGCTGACTGTAGTTCCTACTGGATAATGGCAAGTGCTATTTTAATTTTGAGAGGACAAAACTTAGTAGCCATTGGACATTAATGAGACTCTATTTTTAGAAATACTATAAAAAAATAAGGTCCAGGTTGGATCCAAACCATGGGCTCCATCTAATTTCCCTGCCAAGTTTTCGGGAGTTTGATTGTGAATGGAAGGCTGAATCCTACCTGTATTCCTTCACACATCGAGCTCCTCAGTCACTCATCTTAATTAGAGCTCTTGCTTATCCATTTATGTACCAGGCCTTGTGATTGATAAGGTGCTTGACCTAGATTACCTCCTCAGCAAACCCCGGTATCACTTGTAATCACACTTGCCAGCCATGGAAGTAACTTGCTGAAAGTTGCATTAACAGAAGGGCTTAGAGCCAGGGTTTTAGCCAGGTCTGTCCAACTCCTGCGCTCTTATGACACCCGAATTCTTGACTTTACAAGTAGGATTGAGAAACAGCTCTGTCCTATGAGACCCACACTTCTGCTGCCATGGACCAGGCCACCCTGCTGAGCCTGGACACCACTGTGTCACTGCCTTCTACTTGTTCTGTGTCAATTATTAATGTTCCCATAGGGATCAGAAACCCTTTGGTGTTAGGAGCTGACAGGTCACCTGTTTTTGACTACCCTGAGTCTGAATCGTGCTCAGCTTGTGGGGAATGCGTTAAGAGCTCCTCAGTCTTTCTGTGGCTGTGACCCAGGAGTACGTGAAAAATATGAATAGTTCAGAAATTTATAAAAAGTCACTATAAAACCTCACACAGTCATTATTGAAGTTAGTCTCACAAAGTGAAGCATAGTTTTTGTTTATTGGTGACAATTTACAAAATACTTGCCAGCTTAGCCTCACATATGACAGATGTGACCAGCAGGCTCCAGACCACACCGAGCTGCATGCTGGCCCCGTCTACAAGCCTGGGGAAGTGTGGCTGGGCTCCTCAACCTTCACAACTTGGGGAGGTTGCTCAGCTCACATGAAAATCAGTCCTCTCTTTTTCCCTAGGGCACTCTGTCCCTCTTATGTTGATAAAGTGGGTTTCCCAGCCAGGTGGCACAGGGGATGCTAGACTGGTGTGCGTTGGGCAATTCTCTGTGGCAGTTCTGGACATCTTCAAGGATGCTTGTCTAGGCAGAGGACAGATTTGTTTCCTGACTACGGTAATAAAGATCATCATCTACCTGTAGGGCAAAGGTTGGATGAGTTGATTGGAGAAGCAGCCCATCTTATAACTCGAGGGGTTTCCTGAGCTTGGGGTTCCTCAGCTGTGATACAGATGATACATCATAAATTGGGTTGTCACACATCACCTCCTTGGGGGACTTGGGGTGGGGGGCAAATGGCATTCCCAGAGCAATACAGTCCTTTGCCTTTGGCCCAGGAGTCTGCCAGCATCCAGGAAGCTGTGGCAGGCTAGGTCATTAGCTTGCAAGCAGGGTAAAATCTCAGGCCCTTCACAGGGCCGCAGCTTTGGGGCAGCTGGGCAGGGTCTAGGCATACCAGCCTCCAGGCTGCCTCCCACAGCCCGGGCTTCCTCTGGGGCTCCTTGAAGGGCAGACTGGGACAGTGATACGGTTTGGGCCTGTGTCCTCACCCAAATCTCATCTCGATTTGTCAAGGGAGGGACCAGGTGGAGTTGATTGGAGCATGGGGGTGGTTTCCCCCATGCTGTTCTCGTGATAGCTAGTGAGCTCTCACGAGAGCTGATGGTTTTAAAGTGTGGTGCTTCCTGGTTCTCCGACTTGCTTCTCTCCTGCCTTGTGAAGGCGTCGTCTCCCGCCCTCTTGCCTTCTGCCACGATTGTCAGTTTCCTGAGGCCTCCCCAGCCATGCGGAACTGTGAGTCGATTAAACCTCTTTACTTTATAACTTAGCAGTGCGAAAACGGACTAATACAGACAGAGTGGGATAGACTGCATCCCTCTGTGTTCTCACAGGCTGGGAAGGGAGGTGTGGGGCATGCAAGGTATGGAGAAAGTTAGTAAAAATCACTGGCCCTGTGGACCAGAAGAGACCTGGGCCAACTAGGTTTTGCCTCTGTCAAATACAAAATCCTCATAAGGAAACTTAACCATTCAGCCCTCACTGGGGGCCCCCCCAATTGTTTTTCACCAAGACCCAAACTTGGCTTGGTCGTCCCGGTCGTCAGTGGCAGCAATAACACCTGGAACTTGTTGCTCCCATTGCAAGGTTGAGCAATAGCAGCTGGCCTGCAGATCTCACAGACAAGCGGCCTGTGGCACAACTGGAGTTTATGTTCCAGGTGCGCAGAATGCCGCACACAGCCCTGCTGCAGAGGTGGGAGGGAGGCGCATAGGCACTGCGGTCTCCTGGTGGATTCAGCTCCAGGCAGCATCCCAAACATTCACTTCACATGTATCTGATTACTGTGTCCATTTGTAGCTGACAGGCCAATTTGGAGGCATCTCAGCTGGCTGCCTATGACTGTTGTTAACAATTCAAGTGCTTTCTGCAAAATAGGGCATTGTTATTTTAAAATACTTCATTGGAATTTTTTGTTTTGTTTTGTTTTGTTTTGTTTTTTTGAGACAGAGTCATGCTCTGTTGCCCAGGCTGGAGTGGTCCAGTGGCGCCATCTCGCCTCACGGCAGCCTCCACCTCCCAGGTGCAAGCAATTCTCCTGCTTCATCCTCCAGAGTAGCTGGGATTACAGGTACCCACCACCACGCCCAGCTAAATTTTGTATTTTTAGTAGAGACGGAGTTTCACCGTGTTGGCCAGGCTGATCTCGAACTCCTGACTTCAAGTGAGCCGCCCGCCTTAGCCTCCCAAAGTGCTGGGGTTACAGGCGTGAGCCACCATGCTTGGCCGATATGGCAATTTTGATTGAATTCAAAACTCTTCCCAAGATAATTTAGTAGTACATGTATCAATGAAAGTTAAATAAAAATTAGTTTTCAAATATAATTCCAATTTCTGTAAATTCTTGAATGCTTGTACAACACTGCTTTAAATTTATCACTCAATTAGGCATACAAATTGATCCTTAATGATTTTTCAAAAATTTGAGGAGATCATAAAGTCTCGGCCAAGAATTGTGTATAACAATTTCAAATAGAAAATAGGTTATAAAAACACGTTAAGAAAATGGCCGGGCTCTGTGACTCACGCCTATAATCCTAGCACTTTGGGAGGCAGAGACGGGTGGATTGCCTGAACTCGGGAGTTCAAGACAAGCTTGGGTAACATGGTGAAACCCTGTCTCTACTAAAATACAAAAAATCAGCTTGGCAAGGTGCCGGGCGTCCGTAATCCCAGCTACTCAGGAGGCTGAGGCACGAGAATTGCTTGAACCCAGGAGGCGGAAGTTGCAGTGAGCCAAGATCATGCCACTCCACTCCAGCCTGGGCAAGAAAGTGAAACTCTGTCCAAAAAAAAAAAAAAAAAAGTCTATAGTTTTGCATTTTTATGTGTAATATCTCCCCTGATGCTTTATCTTCTGTTCATTACTTAGACATTTCATAATTAATATAAAGAAAATGTAATGAATTTTTCACCAAGTCCATATATCCCCTCTCGTTTACAAACACTATCCTTTTCAGTATGTACTGGGACATACAAACAGGCCAAAAGGTAACAAATCTCACATTGTTTCCATTGCTTCATCACCAGCCTGGGTGACCAGCGACACATGACTTAACTCCTTGCATCCCCATATCTGCCTTTGTAAAATGAGGGTTTAGATCCAATTTTCTCTAAGGATTCCTCTAGCTTGATAAATCTAGATTTAAATTGTGTCTCAGTTGCGCAGGGAATCCAGTAGCAGCCGACACCCAGGTGTGGTTGGACTCGTCAGAACCATTGTAGTCTTTGTTAGTCATACACATGCATGGGTGAAATCTAGTCAAAACTTTCATATCAAGTATTTCAAAATGATGCTCTACTTGGCAGAAAGCACATGCAGTTTGGGCAGTCACGGGCAGGTAGCCAAGATGCCTCCAAAGTGGCCTGTGAGCTGCAAATGACAGTTTCTACATGTATAACATATACAAAATATGATGTATATTTTAGTAGAGATGGAGTTTCATACATATATACAATTTATATATACACATATATATATAATTTGTACACACACACACAGATTTACAGTAAATATGTTTAAATTTGAAACCATAGTACCTGAGTTCAATGCCAACCCTCACTGAATGTCAGAAAAACATAGTAAGGCTGTGCATGGTGGCTCACACCTGTAATCCCAGCTCTTTGGGAGGCCAAGGCAGGAGCATCACGTGAGGCCAGAAGTTTGAGACCAGCCTGGGCAACATAGTGAGACTTGATGTATACTAAAAATCAAAAAATAACTAGCTAGGCTTTGCAGCATGCACCTGTGTCCCAGCTACTCAGGAGGCTGAGGCGGGAGGAGCACTTGAGCCTGGGAGATGGAGGCTGCGGTGAGCTGTGATCGCGCCACTGCACTCAAGCCTGGGTGACAGAGCAAGATTCTGTCTCAATTAAAAAGAAAAAAAAAGACATTTACATTATGCTCTATGATAGTCTAGTGGCCTACACAAATTCTGCTCTTCCCATGTTGTGGATATGAAATAATGAGGCAGGGTTGATAGCATTATTTCAAAATATTATAAGAAGTAGCAGTTCTAAGAAGTCAACTGCAAGGCTATGCATGTCCAAGGCTGTGTGTGGGTGAGTGAAATCGCCTTATGCCAAGGAGCCATAACCAAGGGGAAATTACTTGATGCATACACCAGTTCTTGCTTTTCACCTGCTCGGTACAATGGACCATACATATTACCAAATGGAATAAGTAAGACTTTTCATCTTAGTTACTGAGAAAAAGTATTCCTTGGTAAAGCAAACACCCAGTGATTGGCTCTGTTATTAAAGAATTAAGTTTACTGTCTTACTATAGAAAATCAAGTTTCAGTAGTTGAGTTTCATTACATTTTTGTTTCTGATTGTTACAGTTGCTGGGTGGGAACAATGTGTAAAGTTTTCACTTGTTTGCTTTCAAGGGTACTGACTTCATAATATATAGACATATACACACACACACATATACACACACACATATTCATGTGTGTGTGTGTATATGTCTCTGTCAAAGACACATATGCAGTAGTTTTTAAGTTATTACATTCATTGCCAATGAGCAATGGTGTATATAGGGGAAGATGAACTTGAGACTTGTTCTGGTGTTGTCTCTGGCACTCAGTTTTCCTATATTTAAAATGTGAAGGAAGTAAGGCACTATGAAAGATCTTTGATATCTGCAAAATTTTTAGGGCTGTCAAAGACAAGGGACTGTGAAAAGTTGACAGCCCTTTGTTGTTTGACTGGGTTTTTTAACCAAAAGAATATAGAAATCTATAGCGATCATATTAATATGTATTGAATAATACTACTGTCTTATAGACCAGATAAAAATTAATATTTTTAAAATCATTCTCCATGTGGAAAATCTGCTATAGCCAAAATAATCTAATAATATTAAAAATATTTCCCTATCATCTCCTTAAGTTCTCAATATGCTAAAAGCTAATATGATGGATTTTTAAAAATCTTAAGTGGTTGTTTAGGAAAAGTTATTATAGTTCTTATTTTTTTTAATCATATAATTGATAGACTGTTCTTCTGGATCCAAGATTTCAAGGGCTGAGTACAGGTGCTTAGTTAACTTGCATTTCTTTTTTCAACTTAGCTACGTAAGAACAGTGACAAATCTAGCATTAAAAATATACAAGAGCGGCCAAGCATGGTGGCTCACGCCTGTAATCCTAACTTTGGCAGGCCGAGGCAGGTGGATCGCCTGAGCTCAGGAGTTCGAGACCAGCCTGGGCAACGCGGAGAAACCCCATGTCTACTAAAATACAAATATTAGCTTGGCGTGGTGGCGGGCACCTGTAATCCCAGCTACTGGGGAGGCTGAGGCAAGAGAATCGCTTGAACCCAGGTGGCAGAGGTTGCAGTGAGCCAAGATTGTGCCACTGCACTCCAGCCTGGGCAACAGAGCGAGACTGTGTCTCAAAAAAATAAAATATACACAAGCTAATAAAAAAATTAAAGTGGATTATTAGAATCATGACCAAAGCAATTGTTATTTGGTGTATCATTCTGTATAAAATACTTTAAAATTTTAAAATATCTGTAGATGTGCCAAAATAGTGATAATACAAGTGTAAGGTTTTTTTAATTTTAATTTTGTTTTTCCATAAATTATTGCGGTACAGGTGGTATTTGGTTACATAAGTTTTTAGTGGTGAATTGAGAGATATTGGTGCACCCATCACCCGAGCAGTATATACTGCACTGTATTTGTTGTCTCTTATCCCTCGCCCCCCTCCCACTCTTCCCCCCAAGTCCCCAAAGTCCATTGTATCATTCTTATGCCTTTGCATCCTCATAGCTTAGCTATCACATATCAGCGAGAACATATGATGTTTGGTTTTCCATTCCTGAGTTACTTCACTTAGAATAATAGTCTCCAATCTCATCCAGGTCACTGCAAATGCTGTTAACTCATTCATTTTTATGGCTGAGTAGTATTCCATCATATGTGTGTGTGTGTGTGTGTGTGTGTGTATATATATATATACACACACACACACACACACACACACATACCACAGTTTCTTTATCCAATTGTTGATTGATGGGCATGTGGGTTGGTTCCACGATTTTGCGATTGTGAAATGTGCTGCTATAAACGTGTGTGCAAGTATCTATTTCGAATATGACTTCTTTTCCTCTGAGTAGATACCCAGTAGTGGGATTGCTGGATCAAATGGTGGTTCTACTTTTAGCTCTTTAAGGAATCTCCACACTGTTTTCCATAGTGGCTGTACTAGTTTACATTCCCACCAGTAGTGTAGAAGTGTTTTCTGCTCACTGCATCCATGCCAACATCTACCATTTTTGATTCTTTGATTATGACCATTCTTGCAGGAGTAAGGTGGTATCGCATTGTGGTTTTGATTTGCATTTCCCTAATCTTTAGTGATGTTGAGTATTTTTTCATATGTTTGTTGGCCGTGTGTATATCTTCTTTTGAGAATTGTCTATTCATGTCCTTAGCCCACTTTTTGACAGGATTGTTCTTTTCTTACTGATTTGTTTGGGTTGGTTGGAGATTCTGGATATTAGTCCACTGTCAGATGTATAGATTGTGAAGATTTTCTCCCACTCTGTGTGTTGTCTGTTTACTCTGCTGACTGTTCCTTTTGCTGTGCAAAAGCTCTTTAGTTTAATTAGGTCCCAGCTATTTATCTTTGTTTTTATTGCAATTGTTTTTGGGTTTTTGATCATGAAATCCTGGCCTAAGCCAGTGTCGAGAAGGGTTTTTCCAATGTTGTCTTCTAGAATTTTTATAGTTTCAGGTTTTAGGTTTAAGTCGTTAATCCAACTTGAGTTGATTTTTCTATCAGGTGAGAGATGAGGATCCAGTTTCATTCTCATACATGTGGCTAGCCAATTATCCCAGCACCATTTGTTGAAAAGGGTGTCCTTTCCCCACTGTGTTTTTGTTTGCTTTGTTGAAGATCAGTTGGCTGTAAGTATTTGAGTTTATTTCTGGGTTCTCTATTCTATTCCTTTGGTCTATGTGCCTATGACAAATTTATTTAGAAGAAATATTTTCTTATCTTTTCATGCTTTGCTTTAGATATTGCTACAAACTTTATTTAATAGTAATTTTAAATTTTGACTAGTAAAGTTATGTGAACCATGTACGGCAAAATAAAGGATTTCACTTAGACTTGTTTGCAGAGATAGCACCTTAAGCTTCCATTAGATCTGTTTTTATCAGCTCATCTTATCTCTGAGCTACCTGACACTTTATCTGTCTCATCAGGTACAATCATTTAAAAACCACTGAGCTAGGTTATCTTAAAATTTTCTTTAAAATATGCAAATAATATATTTATCTTTTTTGATAAAACATTTAACAAACAGAAGTCTCCCCTTTACTTCACTCTTCGAAATTCCACTCCCCTCCCCAGAGGTAACCTCTTACCCATATTCTCTGTTTGGCTCTGCGTTCATGTTTGTTTGTGTTTGAGATGGAGTCTCACTTTGTCACCTACGCTGGAGTCTCACTCTGTCACCTAGGCTGGAGTGCAGTGGCACGATCTGGGCTCATTGCAACCTCCGCCTCCCCAGTTCAAGCGATTCTCTTGCCTCAGCCTCCCAAGTAACTGAGATTACAGGCACCTGCCGCCACGCCCAACTAATTTTTGTATTTTTAGTAGAGATGGGGTTTCACCATGTTGGCCAGCCTGGTCTTGAATTCCTGACCTCAGGTGATCCATCCACCTCAGCCTCCCAAAGCGCTAAGATTACAGGCGTAAGCCACTGCACCCGGGCTGTTTGTTTTGAGAAAGGGTCTCACTCTGTCACCCAGGCTGGAATGCAGTGGCACAATCATGGCTCACTGCAGCCTCAACATCCTGGGGGCAAGCAGTCCTCTCACCTCAGCCTTCTGAGTTGCTGGGGCTACAGGAATGCACCACCATGCGCTGCTTCTTTTTATTTTTTTGTAGAGACAAGGTCTCATCATTTTGCCCAGGCGGGTCTCGAACTCCTAGGGTCAAGTGATCCTCCCACCTCAGCTTCCCAAAGTGTTGGGATTACAGGCATGTGCCACTACACGTAGCTTTTGTTTTTCATTCAACAGTATGGAGCTCTTTGCATGTGACTGTTTATAATTTTTCTCATCTTTTTTAAGTGCTTTGAAGGATTCCAAAGTATATCGATGGACATTTAGTTTGTTTTCAGAGCTTTGTAGTTATAAGTAATGCTGCAGTGAACATCATATGTTTACATATCTAACAGTTTATATAATAGATAACAGATACACAATAAAGAATAGATGTGGTAGGTGCACATTTATTTTGTAAGATACTACTGAAGTGCTTTCCAAAATGTCTGAATCACTGCACACTCCCAGCAGTGGGGAGAATGCGTTTTTCCCCAGACACTCAGAAACAGTAATTACCATAGCTAATGAATCTATGACATCAGTGAACACACTTGGAAGAGTGAGAGGATTACTCTATTCCCATCACCGCGTTCATTTTCACAGATTCCTAGGGCACCCTGCAAAAGACATTCCTGGGGAGATGGGGCCGACAGGGCTCCAACCCTAATCTGACAAAGGGTCCATTGTGACTACTGATGCACAGGTGCCTGTGTCAGGGCAAGTGAAAGGAGAAGGCACATCAGAACAGAGAACCCTCTAACCTGGGAAATCTGATCTGAAAGGGTAGCAAAAAAGAATGTGATTGTGACTCCCATGTTAAATACAAAAGACTCTTAGCAGTTGCCCTGTGTTCCAAGCCACTATTTTTGACCAAGATCAAATCAATAGCCTGTAACCCACATACTTCATGTAGAATTCAACCAGCTCACCACTGAGTGAAAACCACGGCAGGCACTGTACTGGGCTGGCTAAGAAACAGCCCCTTCCCTGAAGGATCATACAGCCCAAGATGGTAGTTAGGAGAGTAAATCACTCAGTGGGATTGGCCATGATGGGAGTTGGCACAGGGTAAACACAGAAATGAGAAACTGCAGCCCAAAAGGGAGGGCTGGAGAAGAACAAGGCCTTGAAGAATGAGCAGGAGTTCCATGGATAAAGAAGGAAATAAGTGGTTTCACTGACAGAGAAAAAGAGTGTATATGAAGCATGGAAGCATGAAACAGTATGACCAGTTTGGAGAACTACAAGTTGTCAAGTGCTTGCAGCAACGCAAGGTTAGAGAGGTCAACAGATGGGTCCAGGGATCTATAATTGCCATTTTGTAAATCAAATCATGTTGGAAAAATAAATTTACTTAACATTCACACTACCCTCTTGGTTGCTGAGTCACTGAATTCCAGAAGCCTCTGGGGACAACAACTCATTGTAGCAGAGGAAGAGAAAAAAGATGCTACTCTGTCCTCAACGTTACTGGTTAGAGACAGAACCAGGCTGAAGCGACCCAGTGGTCTTATTCATAAGGGCAAGATGAGGTTCTGCGAACAGTTCTCCATGTAGTGGTCTTTGAATGCCATCCTAACCACGTATCCAGGGGACTGCTTTTAACATGATTGCAATCTTATAAGTACAAATGGGCCAGCACCCTTCTTCCTATCCTTTCTAACCACCTGCAACTCAGTAAAGAAACGAACTCTGCAACTCCCATTTATTCATTCAACAAAATATATAGGCAGGAAAATGTCATTACAACGTATGCTTCTAGGCAGGATGAAATAACAGGAGTCAGATTCACCTTCTACCTGATACCACAGAAAAAACAGACAAAATATATGAAATGAAGATTTTTAAGACATTGGATATGAGATATCTGAAAGGTGGGAAACAAGGAGAGCCCTGCTTGCCCCAGCCTACTGCCATGCCATGGAGAGTTTGCATGCCATGGAGCAGAAAGAGGGAGCAACGGTAGAGCCTGGGGTATCTCTGAAGTGTGATAGAGCTGGGTGTAAGTAGCAGAGGCAGCTAAAGATTACAGGGCAAGGGCTGAGTGTGGAGAATAGCTATAGGAATACAAAAATATCCACACCCAATAATGTAAAATATACAATATCTGACATCCAATGAAAAGTTGCCAGGCATACAAAGCAGCAGACAAAGATGGTTCCTAATGAGGGAAAAAATGAATTAATGAAAATCAGCCAGAAATAACACAGATGATAGAATTAGCAGACAAAGATGTTATAACAGTTACTCTAATTGTACTCCAGTGCTCAAGAAGGTAGAGGAAAGATTAAGTTATAGAAACATGGTAGATATGGAAAATACTCAAACCTGATAAGGGGCAAATATGAAAGCCATACAGCTAATATCATACTTAATGGTAAAATACATTTCTCCTAAGATTGAGAACAAGGGATTGTTGCCCACTCTTACTACTTCTATCAACATTGTACTGGTTGTTTCAGCCAGTGCAACCAGGCAAGATAAAGAAGTAAAAGGCATCCAGATTGAAAAGGAAGATGTAAAATTGTTTTTTTTTTTTTTGAAGATGACATGATTGTCTATGTAGGAAACCTTTGGAATCTACAAAAAATTTTAAAAATTACTAGAATCAATAAGTGAGTTTAACAAGGTTGCACGATGCAAGATCTCTGTATAAAATCAATTATATTTCTATCTTCTAGCAATGAATAACCAGAAATTGAATTTCAAAACAATACCATCAGTGATGCAGGAAACTCTGTGAGTTTGCAAGAGGCAGAATAATGACCCCCAAATACGCCCATGTCCTAATCCCCAGAACTTGAGCATATGTTACCCTACGTGGCAAATGGAACTTTGCAGATGTGATTAAGGACCTGCAGTGAAGGAGATTTATCCAAGTGGACCTAATCTAATCACATGGATAGCAGATAATTTTTTTCTGCTCTGTCAGAGGTGTGACTACTGAAGAAGGGTTGCAGTGAGATGCAATTCTGCTGACTTTGAAGATGGAAAAAGGAAGCCGTGATCCCAGGAATGTGTGTGGCCTCCAGAAGCTGGAATGTGCAAGGAAATGGGTTGTCTCCTTGGGGCCCTAGAAAGGAAGGCAGACCTGCTGACACCTTGATGTCAGCCCATGTGATCTATGCTGTAATTCTAATCTATAGAGAACTGTAAGATAATACATTTGTTGTTTTAAACCACTAAGCCTGTGGTGATTTTTTATGGCAGCAGTAGCAATCTGTATAGGATAAATCTGCAAATTATCAGTAAATCCTACACACTGAATACTGTAAAACATAGCTGAGAGGAATTAGACAAAACTTAGAGCTATCATGTTCATGGAAGACTTGATGTTGTTAAGATGAAAATTCTCAAATTGACCTATAGATTCAAACCAATCCCAAACAAAATTCCAGCAGATTTTCTAGTAGAAATTGTTGATTCTCAGGTTCATATAGAAATGCAAAGGACCTAGAATAGTTGAAGAAATCTTGGAAGTTGAAAAGTTGGAGGACTTATACTACCTGATTTATTATAATAAAGTTATAGTGAGGAAAACAGTGTGCTAATGGTATAAAGACAGACAAATATATCAGCAGAATTGAAAAGAGTCCAAAATTAGATCTGCACACATAATACAGTCAATTGATTTTCAACAAAGGTGCAAATGGAATTCAGTAGAGAAAGGATAAGCATTTTCAACTGTGATGCTGGGGCAACTGGATGTTCAAATGCAAATACATGAACATTAATGAAAACCTCACACATATACAAAAACTAATTCATAATTGATCAGGCTGGGCACTGTGGCCCACACTTGTAATCCCAGCACTTTGGGAAGCCAAGGCAGGCAGCTTGCTTGAGCCCAGGAGTTCAAGACCTGCCTGGGCAACATGGCAAGACCCTGTCTCTACAAAAAATTAGCCAGGCATGGTGGTGCATGCTTATGGTCCCAACTACTTGGGAAGCTGAGGTGGGAGGATCACTTGAGTCCAGGGAGGTTGATACGGTTTTGCTCTGTGTCCCTACCCAAATCTCATCTTGAATTGTACTCTCATAATTCCCACATGTTGTGGGAGGGATCCAGTAGGACATAATTGCAATCATGGGGGTGGTTTCCCCCATACTGTTCTCGTGGTACTGAATAAGTCTCATGAGATCTGATGATTTTATCAGGGGTTTCCGCTTTTGCATCTTCCACATTTTCTCTTGATGCCACTACGTAAGAAGTGCCTTTTGCCTTCTGCCATGATTCTGAGGCCTCCCGGGCCATGTGGAACTGTAAGTCCAATTAAACCTCTTTTTCTTCCCAGTCTTGGGTATGTCTTTATCAGCAGTGTAAAAATGGACTAATACAGGGGTTGAGACTTCAGTGAGCCATGATCGTGCCACTGCACTCCAGCCTGGGGGACACAGCAAGACCCTGCTACAAAAATTAAAAACTTTTTTTAATTGATCAGTGAACTATAAAGCCTCTAGAAGAACATGGGAACATCTTTGTGACCCTGGGTTAAGGAAAATTTTCTTAGATATAATGCTAAAAGCATGATGCTTAAGAGGAAAAAATTAATACGTTGGACTTCATCAAAATCAAGAGCTTAAGCTCTTCAACAGGCACCAAAAAGAAAATGAAAAAACAAGCCTCAGAGAGAAAATGTCTGCAAAACACTTTATCAGATAAAGAACTTGTATCTATAATACATATAAAACTCACAACTCAAAAATAAGAAACCTGACAACCATGTTTTTAAAATGGACAAAATATTTGGACACTTCACCAAAAAGATATATGGGTACCAAATAATAAGAAAACAACCGGCAGGGCGAGGTGGCTCACGACTGTAATCCCAGCACTTTGGGATCCGAGGCGGGTGGATCATGAGGTCGAGACCATCCTGAGTAACATGGTGAAATCCCATTTCTACGAAAGATACAAAAAATTAGCTAAGCATAGTGGCACCCCTGTAGTCCCAGCTACTCGGGAGGCTGAGGCAGGAGAATTGCTTGAACCCTGTAGGCGGAGGTTGCAGTGAGTCCAGATTGTGCCACTGCACTCCAGCCTGGGCGACTGAGTGAGACTCCGTCTCAATAAAAAAAAGAAAGAAACAAACAAAGAAAAAAAAAACCTATTTTTTTAAATGCGCAAAATGTTTGAATACTTCAAAGACAATATATAGTTGGTAAATAAGCACATGAAAAGATGCTCAATATCATTAGTTATTAGCGAAACACAAGTCAAAACCATAATGGGATACCACTACATATGTACTAGAATGTCTAAAAATTGCAAAGACTGATAATACAAAGCACTGGCAGGGATGTGGAGCACTGGGATTTTCCAAGTGTAAAGGTGGAATAATGTAAAATGGTACTTTGGAAACAGATTAGGCAGTT